>NC_000006.12:70792200-71095230 GCF_000001405.40 Homo sapiens | reverse complement strand
CATAACACTGAAAAAAATCTAAAGGAACAGAAAATAAACATAATTATCTCATGGTGAGATTATGATGATCTTTTTGATATGTTTTCATATATTGTAACTTTCTTTCAACTGGCAAATGTTATATTTATAACCAGGAAAAAAGTAAGTAAAATATTGGAAGTATTCTTTTTGAATTTTTAATTTTTGTGAATACATAGTAGTTGTATATATTTATGGGTTACATGAGATATTTTGATACAGGCATGAAACGTGTCATAATCACATCAGGGCAAATGGCATATGTATCACCTCAGGCATTTATTATTTATGTTACAAACAATCGAATTATACTTAGTTATTTTTAATGTACAATCAAATTATCTTTAACTATAGTTCTCCTGTTGTGTTATCAAATATTAAATCTTATTCATTTTTTCTAACTATTTTTGTACCCTTTACCATCCCCATTTTTCCCTGTATCCCACCCCTACTACCTTTCCCAGCTTCTGGTAACTATCCTTCTACTCTCTTTCTCCATGAGTTAATTGTTTTAATTTTTAGGTCCCACAGATAAGTAAGAACGTGAGAAATTTGTGTTTCTGTGCCTGTTTTATTTCACTTAATGACCTCCAGTTCATCCATGTTGCTGCAAACGACAGGATCACATTCTTTTTTTTTAATGGCTGAATAGTACTGTGTTGTGTATACATACCACTTTTTCTATATCTATGTATCCGTCCATCTATCCATTCATGGATACTTAGGTTGCTTTCAAATCTTGGCTATTGTGAATAGTTCTGCAATAAACATGGGAGTGCAGATATCTCTGATATACTGACTTCCTTTCTTTTGGGTGTACACCCAGCAGTGGAATTGCTGGATCATATGGTAGCTCTAGTTTTAGTTTTTTGAGGAACCTCCAAACTGGTCTTCATCATGGTTGTACTAATTTACATTCCCACCAACAGCGTACCAGGATTCCCTTTTCTCCACATTCTCACCAACATTCGTCATAGCCTCTTTTGGATAAAAGCCATTTTGACTGGGGTGAGATGATATCTCACTGTAGTTTTGATTTGCATTTCTCTTATGATCAATGGTGTTAAGCACCTTTTGTATACCTGTTTGCTATTTGTATGTCGTCTTTTGAGAAATGTCTACTCAGATCTTTTGCCCAGTTTTTAATTGAATTGTTAGATGTTTTCCTATAGACTTGTTTGAGATCCTTATATATTCTGGTTATTCATCCCTTGTCAGATGGATAGTTTGCAAATATGTTCTCCTATTCTGTGGGTGTCGCTTCATTTTGTTGATTGTTCCCCTCGCTGTGCAGAAGCTTTTTAACTTGACATGATCCTATTTGTCCATGGGAGTATTCCAATGTGTTCAGAGCCAGTCAAATGCTGTATAGCAGGGCACATGAACCAAAGTAAGTACCCAACTAAATTTTAAGCTTTTATTTTCTACAGGAACTCACTCGCAGTGCTACCATGTAAATATTTTTAGATGAATACTATTTCCTTTTTCCTGAAAGTTCTCAATATGTCTACCTACCACTTCTGAACATTGGCAACAAAGGCTTATGTAATTTTCCTTTTTGTATGTTATCATAACAAAGACAAACAAGTTTTAGAATCTAAAAATTCTTGCAGGAAGAATCTCTATCAATATTTATTCATTTATTCAATAATAGAGCATTTTTAGTCCAATGGTAAACTGAGACAAATAAATATGACATTATAATACAGAATGATGTTATGATGGAGCATATAGTAGAGCTGCTTAGAAAGCACCTGACCTACATTGTGGGCCTTGCTCCTCTCCATCCCTCCTC
Organism: Homo sapiens; assembly: GCF_000001405.40. Lineage (NCBI taxonomy): Eukaryota > Metazoa > Chordata > Mammalia > Primates > Hominidae > Homo > Homo sapiens. The sequence goes on along the minus strand of NC_000006.12, from coordinate 71,093,417 downwards.
AGGGACTCCTAGCAGAAACTCAAATAATTTTGACTTCTTCAAAATCAATGACAAGATGTCTTTAAACTTCTCATGTAGGCGTACAAACAACTCTGATGTAGGTATGAAGGTGGTAGTGAAGGAGAAACGAAAGGAACATAAATCATACATAAATCTCATTATTTCTGACTCTTCATCAACAATGAATACACATTATAATCTGAATTAATTATACTGCCACACGGTTTATGGGGATATTTCTAGTTCAGTGCAGAGAGTGAAGGGTTTCACCACTGGTCACTTGATCCATAAAAGTTGGTGGATGCCTCATAGTATAGATAGATGCATTTCCCATCTATTGACCAAGGAGCAAGTTCAGGGAAAGTAACTTGATTTGTAACGATCAGCTATCTTTCTTCTTGCGGCATACATACAACGCTATATACTGTAAAATAGATGTATGTTAACATATGTTTATTCATAATTATTTATCTAATTGTTGCAAAAATACCAAATGTAAATCTTGCTTCTGCCTGGGTGATAATATTAAAAGGCTCCCATGTTCTTTGTGCAGTTTCTCAAATTGGCATCAGTGGTTCATTAATATTTAAGAGACCTGCAGTATCATATTAGCTAATCATACCAAAGACTCTCTTTGGAATCTGTCAAGCATAGACCTGGCTTCTATTTTTATAGCTTGATGTGCTCCATAGGCTGATCCGACTATTTTTAAAACTATCTATCAATCCCACTTTGACTAGAAGAAAATTGTCTGCATTAAAATGCATACTTTAACCAAGGTAAATATCACCTGAGATTAATATAATTTGAATTGCTTTTTCTGAGAAATAAAAATGGCAAATACATATCCTCCTTGGTTCTTTGCACAAGGGGGCCGATTTTTGTAAAACTAAAGGAGTAAGTCCTCGGGAAGGATTTGTATAATGTAAGACAGGACAAAGGATATCCACCGTCCCTCAGGCAACCCACATGGCTCTTCTGCTCTTGCTCTCCACTAAGTGCAGGTACTCCTAAACACGCACCAGAATATTCATCTGGATATGGAGTTATATGCAATGATCCCGCATGTGGTCTTGTCCAGGGGACCTACAGAACTAAATAGGAATATGCCTACATCAGGTGCAGAGACTATCTTTGTAGAGTTGACTTCATTCTCTGGTGACTGTGAAGAAACAGGAAAAATACTAAAGATTTCTCAGTTAGATTTAGTATTTACTGTATGTAATCATTGCCAGCCATTTCCAACAATAAGTAAACCATTATCAAGTGCTTACTGTATAAAAGGCACTCTCTCTGCTGGACCCTGTGGGAAAATCAGAAAGGTTAAAAAAGAACCTGCTCACAAGCCCTTACAACTTGGTTGGAAGGAGACTCTAAATATGAGCTGATGACCAACTAGTAAAATGAGGCATATATATGTACTAGATACTGGGGCAGGCTATGTAAGGAAGCCCTTATGAAAGCTGTTTATTTAATACTAAGCAAAATGTCCAAATTTTGGTGTATCGTACACTGGTTAATTCTCCCTGACCCGTAGTTTCCTCACTTTCCACAGAGCAATCTCCCATCTTTAACAGATGAAGCTTAACACAAGAGCAGCACAAAAACCGTGAAAAAGAAGGTAAGCTTATAGTGTTTCTTTAAAAATTTTTCCTCATTGTGTGTCTCTATCTCTTATAGTTTATGTTTAACACTAATTATCACCAATATTTTCAGGGTTTTTTAATAGCAAAAGCATTTATGAGTTTAGAAACATTTGTTTCATTCATTTCCTGTTATTTGGAGAAGGCCTGATTAAATGGTGTCTTAGCCCTGGTCTTCTAGAAAACAAAGCTTAAGGCAAAGATTAAATTGCTAAAAACATATTTGGGAAGTGCGAGCCCAGGGACGTAAGGATAAAGGAAAGGGAAGCAAAGGAAAATGTAATGCAAAGTGTTGCTACGTTAGCTATTGCTTCACAACTAGCCATGGAGAAATACAGAAGTTGCTCAGCAGGTGTGTTCACTCCACAGCAGAACTTCTCCAGAATGTTGTAAGGAGGAAGTACACCTTACAGTAGTCCACATTGCAGACAAAAGAAGGGGAACTAATAGCCCACTGCCATCTCGCTCTTCCCTTTGAGCAAGGTTTACCCCATTGGAGACTAACTCCCCTGAACTTTGAGGTTGCATGAATCAGCCCCATCTGTGAGTGCTCAGATCCTATTCAGCTCCCTGGTGACCGACAGATCTCATTCACTACAATGTAGTGCTTCACCCAAGTTCAAAAATGGAGGGCCAACCAGTGCAGGAGAGAGACAGAGAAGACATTATTATTACAGCATTATTGAGGACACTGGAGAAAGTGTACCAGATTTGTATCGGATGGAGATGGCTTACATAACATAATCTCAATTTCTCTTTACAGCTCTCAAAATATTTAACATAATCATTTTTAAACAGTAAGCATACAGTAGCTACTGGTTCAACAAGCAGCATGAGACATTGTAAGTCTATGGGTGGCAACCCCCAAACTTGCAGATATAATGTCTGTAATAAGCAGAAGAATGGCCCCAAAGATATCCATGTCCTAATCCCCAGATCTGTGAATATGTTAGGTTACTTGGCAAAAGGGACTTTGCAGGTGTGATTAAGCTGAGATAGGGAGATCAGCCTGGAATTATCCACGTGGGGAACTCTAATCACAAAAGTCCTTAAACATGTTGAAGGGAGGAACAAGGGAGGTCAGAGCAATGCCACGTGAGAAGGGCTTCACATGCCGCACTGCTTTGAAGATGGAGGGAAAAAAGGACACCAGTCGAGGAATGGAGGCAGACTCCAGAAGCCGGAAAGGGCAAGGAAACAGCTCCCACCCCGGGCCTATGGAAAGGACACAACCCTGCCTACACCTTGATTTTAGTCCAGTGAGACCAATCATGGCTTTCTGACCTACAGAACTGTAAGATAATACACTTTTGTTGCTTAAATCACTACTAAAGCAACAAGATGTGGTAATTTGTTATGTCAGCAATAAAAACGAATACTGTAGTCTCCCCTTATCTGTGGTTTCACTTTGTGCAACTTCAGTTACCTGCAGTCAACCACCATTTGAAAATACTAAATGGAAAATTCCAGAAATAATTCATGAGTTGAAATTGCATGCCGTTCTGAGTAGTGTGACAAAATCTCACTCCATCCTGCTCCATTCCCCCAGGAGGTGGATCATCCCTTGGTCCAGTGCATCCATGTGGTAGATTCTCCTTGCCTCTTATCACATAGTATCTGACTCGGTTATCAGATCAACTGCCAAGGTATCAAGTGTTTGTGTTCAAGGAACCATGATTTTACTTAACGATGGCCCCAAAGATCCAGAGGAGTGATGCCGGCAATTCGGATATGCTACAAACAAGCCATAAAGTGCTTCCTTTAAGTTAAAAGGTGAAAGTTCTTGACTTAACAAGAAAAAAAATGTCTTCTAAGGTTGCTAAGATCTATGGTAAGGACAAACCTTCTATCTGTGAAATTGTGAAGACGGAATAAGACTTTTGTGCTAGTTTTGCTGTTGCAGCTCAACTGAAACAGAAAAGCTATGGCCACAGTGTATGCTAAGTGCTTAGTTAAGAAGGAAAAGGCACTAAATCTATGGGTGGGAGACACAAACAGAAACATGTTTCAGTTGACTATAATCAAGTTTGGTTCTATTCTTGGTTTCAGGTATCCACTGGGAACCTTGAAACATGTCCCCCAAGGATAAGGGGACTGCTGCACAGTGTCTAGGAAATAAACAATTTCTGTGAGGCTCTTCTGTCCTTCTGTCACAAACCTTAGTTCATTCTTACCGTACCATCACTTTTTTTTAAGAAATAGAAGACTTAAATGGTGTATGTCTTAAATGATGTTGGTTTTATAATATCTCTAATTAGTTAGAAAAATAACGTGTTATAATGTTTAATGTGCAAATTTAAAACCATACCCACTAAAAGAGATGAATTTTTTTAATGATAAAGGAGCCCTTTACATGAATGGAAAGAAAAAGGAAACATGTAAATAGCATCATCAGTTGTTAAATATTGAGGAAAGCAAAGGAGGAAAAAGCAAGCAGGAAATTTGGTACCAGATTTGGCCCAATGTGAGGAAAAATCTTCTAAAAATTAAGTTGCATGAGATATCTCCCTATCTCAGAAACAAACTTGGGAGATGACTGTTTAAACACAGTTGGTATAAATATTTGATAGATATTATGAAGGAAATGAAAGCTTCTGATGTGTTACCTTTATGGTTCCCCAGCCTTAAAATCCTGTGATTAATCTAGGGAATAATTATATTAACTTTATTATATTAATGGCATAAAAAAGGAGAAATACAAAAAAAACAATAGAAACTAGATACCAGGAGTGTATCTACAGGCAAATGCAAAAAAGAAAAGTCAAGCTGAGTTAAGAGGAAAAAAGGAAACTCTGAAATGAAATGTCTATTACATTAACCATTGCTAGAAGTATACATTAAGATTGATTTGTGTGAGGTATCTCTCTAAAAGAAAAACTGTGCCATATCCCAGGTATTACAGAGACATAGTTAAAATAAGGAAATTGTGGCAGGAAGGATTTAAGATATCAAAGAGCTGTGTATATAAGAGATGCGTAAACATGACAAAGAGGAGATAGATGACATTAGTACTGGTGAATGACCTAATATTTTATAAGAGAAATGATGATATTAAGATCTCTGGCTGGCAAAAGGAAATCGTTTTGGCAAAATTTGCAATATGGACAAAAATGGTGGAAAGATAATTCTTAGACATGATGACATGGTAAGAAGTACATTTTAGGATAGATTTTCTGAATGTTATAAAAGATGGAAATGACAACACCACTGATCACAAGGGATTTGAATTGACCAGAAATTGTTTAGAGACTGCGCTATAAAAAAAAAAAAAAAGAAAAATCTGTTTCCTAAGTGTGCTGAAATGTGTTTACAGCCTTACATAAATTATTGAACAGTCAGCATCCTGAAAGCACATTTACACTTTCGTCCTTGGAAATGAATCAAATGTGTAATGAGGAAGACCAGAGCAGAGATGTAAAATGATTCCAGGCTGTCTACATTTACAGTATAATGGGCTTGGTGGGATTAAGATATGACTTAAAGGTTCACATCACTAACCTCTTTATGTTTCATCGCTCTCTTTGTGCAAAAAAGGTTCTGACTAAGTGAGCCCTATGTTTCTTACAGCTCCAGAGATTAAGGCTATGCTTTTCAGTATGGCCATGTAATATTTTTTTGACCTCAATCTAATTTTTTTTTAACCCAGGCCTCAGTGTAATAACTTATCATGCTCTTGTCTTTACGTTTCCATTTATAATGATTTGAAACTTTCCTCTCTTCAACAGTAGGAAACTTTTCCACTTTTCAACAACCCAAATCTACTTATTCCTTGGCCTACACCTGCAAATCTCATGTTTCACAGATTGTAGTTAGGGTCCTACCTAGTAACTACACTCTGAACTAGCCTGAAGTTTTTTTCCATCTCAGTTACTCACTCTGTCACTCACAACTCTTTAATTCATTTCTAGATCACATAGAAGCTTTTGAATATATATTAGTTCTCTATTGCTGCAAAACAGGATGAGAGATGGAACTGAAATGGGGTGAGGGTGAGTTCACTGAAAGTCTTTATGAGAATGACAGTGCACTTCAGATTCCCCACCCTAATCCTCATCCTTTATCTCTCGTCACTATCCCAACACTAAGGGCATAGTAGGGCATTTTACTCCTAGTCAAGATAGAGGGGTCATTTCTAAAGCAACTGAATTAACCATCTGGAAAAGCTTAAGGTTTAAGGTGTGGGATTGGAGTTTCAGCTAGCTTCCTACCAGCTAGTGCTTATCAGCAGACACACCCTGCCCTACCTCGTGATCCATATATGCACAGTATACTCAGAGCGATGTCCTGCCTATGGAAAAACTCACCTACTGTCACAAAGCAGGTGTGATATGTAGGTAGAGAGATTCTTCTGGCATCAACATTAGCATCAACATTAAAAAGAAAAACCAAGGCAAACTAACAGAAAATCTGACTCTGTTATCTGAAATGTTATTCAGGAGACAAAAGAGCACTAAAAAAAATAAAGCTACCAAGCACTGGGATGAGGCCATAGGAGACTAAGAAAAATAAGCAATGTTAGTAATATCTTTTGAAGAGAAAAGAAAGAAAGAAATGTCCATATCAAAAAAAAATATGCTTGCAAAGAAAATTTATGGAAGGACTACAGGTAAAAATAACAAGTATACCTTATTTAAATAAGCTGATTTTAAATTCAGAAACAAGCATAGAATCATAAAAAATATATATGTTAAAAAACGTCTCTGGCAGAAGGAATATCAGTTTCTATTAAGCTTTGAAGAATTTCTTCTCTTTCTCACTGCTACACAGGGAGGGAAAATTATATTCTAAGGTAGAAACAGAGGTGGCCTGGAAAGAGATGCTTGGGCCATCTTCCGAGGTCAATCACAGTGTGATCCAGAAAGCACTGAGTTCAGAGCAAGCAAACCTTGTGAAATGGGAGGTTTTCCCTTATTCCCCTCACCAGGTGTGCAATGGTGGTGTGGCTCACTTCTTTGGTGCTCCACTGCTCAAACCCCTAGGGGAAGCATGAGGATGGTCAGGTCATGGGGGGCAGTTTTGGGCTCCGACCCATGGCAGCATCTAGGGTTGAGTGTTTCCAGCTCCCGAAGCCCCAGTGGGTGTGTGTTACAGTGTGCTCTTTCGGCTTTGCTGTCTGCAAGTGGCTTGTGTTAAACAGCTCAATTAGACCCTTTGCCTTATTTCAAGGACAGCGGGCTTTCTGTATCCCAGGGTTCTTGCCCTAGTGTACTGGAAAAATCGGATCATGAAACAGGAGTGTTTGTCCTCACTTGGGTCCGTGGGCACAGGCCCGAGGGTGGAGCCCTCGCCAGGGACCCAGCCCTTCTCTACCCAGCACTTCCCTGACCCTCTACTGTATCACTTGGGCTCTAGTTCTGTCCCAGCCGGTAATTACTGAGCACCCTTAAACAAATCATTTCACATTTATGGGCCACTTCGTATGTAAAATGAGGCCATTTAATTACATGATCTGTGAGGCCCATTTCAGCTATGAATTGGTGATTTTTTTTTCACAGAGAGACTTCAGAAATGTACCAAAAGCAAAATCTGAACTAAGATGACCCATTTTTTGCTCTATTTTTATTCAAGAGAAAACAGCAGCATACAGACCACAGCCATTCAAGAAAGCCTCACCATCTACCTAAAGAATAGTTTTACATCCTCACTTTGAAATAGACATTTTGAAATACACCTAAACATACAGACAGAGAATAGAAATATACCAAAGGACATGTCGATACAAAGTAACATTTTTTAATTTATGGGGAAATGGCAAAAAATAATATCATGGCTTGATGTGTGGAGCTGATCAGAGTCCTGAGTGATGAGTAGGATTTACTTCCTGAGTCTGGATTTGTTAGAGCATCAACCATAAAAACAAAATTAGATAAGCTATAAATCAGGAGTCACCTCTAGCTTCATGTCTCTGCCTACCCTGACCAAAAGGAGGAATATTCAGCAGAAGTGACCATGGGCCCTTTCCACCCAGCCCTGCACAGGGGGAGATGACTTCTCTACTCACTCCTCTGTGAGTTTCCTTAATGACTTACCTCCCTGCAATTACTCCTTTCCACACAAAGAGATCTTCTCTATAGGCACTATAAATGCTGGCCTTCATTTGTGTAACACTTGCTAGTACACAAAACTCCCACTTGCTAGTACACAAAACTCCCTCACGTAAGGCCTTTCAATTGATACTCTCAACAACCATGTGAGATTAATAGAACAAGATGGAAGAACTCAGACTCAGAAAAGTTTTGCAGCTTGTGTTTCACAATCTGCTAAATCAAGGCAAGGCCAGCATTCCTTATAACATCAAAATAAAAAGGAAAACACAAGGCATCAAGTGACCAGAGCTCATTTAAGTGTTAGCTTTTGTTTCTCCTATAATTAAAATGTTAACCATGACCCATACATGCTGGGACACACTGTATGAAGGTTGGAGTCCTCGACCTTCCCAAAGACCTTGGGCTCCAGCACTGGGACAAGACAGACACACTTGGCTTATGGCTGCCTCTGCAAGCACAACCCAGTGACTGTCTCTCATGCACCTTGATCAGAAGACAGATTGAGTGCCCTTTGGAAAATTAATGAGTAAACTTCTCCCTTACCTATTTTTCTATCTATCCATTAATATCAAATTTTAGCAAAATTCTCCAACTACAAGAAATTTTGTACAAAGACCCTCAAGGCACTGCATAATTCTCTCTCTTGGTTGAAGATATGTAAACTACATAGGGGCCCAGTTTTATTCTTCGTAAAGAAGTAATAGTTACACCAATTAGCTCCATTCACTTCTGACAAAAGTGAAACATTTAAAATATGTACCCTTACACATCTCTATCATTCTATGCCTGTATCACTACTCATCTGTACCATTCTACACCTGTATCACTACATATCTGTATCATTCCACACCTGTATTACTATACAACTGTACATCCCACATCTGTATCACTACACATCTACATCATCCCACACCTGTATCACTACACATCTGTACATTCCACACCTGTATTACTACACATCTGTATCATCCCACACCTGTATTACTACACATCTGTATCATCCCACATCTGTATCACTACGCATCTGTACATTCCACATATGTATCACTATACACCTATATCACTACACATCTGTACCATTCCATATATGTATCACTACACATTGTATCATTTCATACCTATATCACTACACATCTGTACATTCCACACCTGTATCACTACGCACCTGTATTACTACAGATATGTATCGTTGCACACTTGTATTACAACACCTCTGTATCATGGGTCTGGGGCCCAATTTAGTGGATTTGGGTGGAGACTTCCCAGAATACCAGGGTAGATCTTCACAAAGTAGCACACACAATCACTCCTGTATTGTGTGTGTGTGTGTGTGTGTGTGTGCCTGCATCTGTATCTATCTATCATCTATCTATCTACCTATCTATATCTATCTATCTATCTAAATGGTTTTGAGTCTGTCTCCTCTTCTAGTCAATAAGCTTTTTCAGGAAAGAGACACTTACTCATTATTTTCCCCTATTCCCAGTATGGGTTAGGCAATCATTGAATATTTAATACCCACATAAATAAAAATATATGAGTCTTAGAATTAGACAAGCCTGTGTGGCATCCCTTTGCTACTATGTCTTAGCTGGGTGACCTTGAGCTAATTTTGTTTTTTTTTTTAAATCTGTATCTCAGACTTGTAGATAATCTGAATCTCAGATGTATAGAGTTCCTTTTCTATAAAGTGAAGATAGTGCTGCATAAGTTTCAGGGTTGCTGAGAGGATTAAGGGAAGAGTTATGAAAGTGCCTGGCACAGTCCAGGTATATTGAGGCACTCAGTAATGCTACTTTCCCTTCTCCCATAAAATTGAGATTGAAGTAATCATCAAATATGCATTGAATATCAAAAATGTACAAAAATTAATTTTCATCCAAATTTAGTACAAAAAAACAGGATATATTCTCACTAGCAAGGGCTACTCTAGAGGGGGACATAATATCATATTTGATACTTCCAAGAACTATGCTAGTTTATTGCCTGAAGAAATAACAGCTTTACATGCAGCAAGGATGAGCTTTCTGGCAGTTAAAACTGCTCTAAAGAATCACTATTTGTTGCCACTAGTTAACCCAGCCAATCGAGGCACACCCCGAAGGAGTCTTTTAGTGGAGAGAGTAAAGATTCCCAAGCTGCATTTTTAAATGCTTCTAAAAATGAACATCCCAAAGGGACGAATTTTTAAACGCTTAAGGGTATATGAATGGGGCATAGTATAAAATGAAGTCGAGATTTGGCAACCATCCAGCACAAGTATTTCTCTGCTGCTGAGGCAAACCCTCAAAAAGAGCAGGCAGCAGAGCCACAAGTCCTTCCTTGAAGAAGGATGTGGCTGGTGCCTCTCCATGTCCACTACTCCCATCCTGTCCCTGCAAAGCTCCCGTTAGAAACACCAGAAACTCACTCTGGTACTAAGACAGGAAGTGGGAATTCTGGAAAAATCTACAGGAAGCCCAGAGAACCAGCATCAAATAGGAAAAAGTTGGGAAAGGCATAGCCAAAACCCTGCCACCAAAACCTTCTCCTTAGCCGACACTGGACAGTGGACACCAACACAAGTCCACTCTAGACTATGCCTCAACCCCTCCAAACATCATGGCCAGCTGCCCCTTTAGGCCTCTCCCTAAAGAATTGTTTGTGACCTTAGGAAGCAATTAGAGGTGGTTTTCGGCAAAATCTATTTGCTGCTTGGGGTTCTAGGCAGCTTCCAGCTTGCTTCCACAAGATGAAAAGAAGACATATTTTTTCATTTGCTAGGGGAAAGAGGCCGTATCTCCCACCTATCTCGGGAATCTCTCAGAATCCAAAGGATATTTGGCTGCTATGTTGCCAAATGCAAATGTCCATCACAGCTCCCCATTCTCTGTTATTTTCCCTGTCTTACACTTGAGGAAATTTGCCAACAGAGCACAGGAAGTGGTAGAGTTCATGTAACTCCTTGAATATACACTTTTTCTGCACTCACTGACAAATCAAGTCTGATTTTAAAAAAATTAATTCAGTTTATCAGCTTCCTGACAAATCACTTTCATTGTTCTATGAAGGCATTGTCTAGGATTTACTATTGTTATAGTTCCTCCAGCCACTTAACTGCTTTTCTTTTCCCCTATAAAGGCATTTTCAGATACTATAAAATCTGAGAGTCTGCATCTCCTTTTCCATCCAAGAATAAATCACAGGGACAATACACTAAAGTTGCATGAAAATACACAAGCTGAGCTTCAGCCAAAGAGCCCGACTCACTCAGAAGCAACTGTGCTTATGCGTCAGGATGCTTTATGATACAGCTAAGTGAAGTCAAGTATCTCGCCCTCTCAAGTACAAAGATCCTTTAAATAGATGGCTATATGTGTGACTCTAATCGCCAAAATCTGGGATCAATTATGGAAGTTAGTCAGTCCTAAAATTTTATTTACTATCTGATACAGATATTTACTTTCACTTTCAGATTTCATAGTCAGCTGGAAAATTTATTTAGCTGTCCCAAGATAACCATTCGTAGGTGTAATTTCTCATGCCAAGAGTTTGCAGCCATTTGCTATCTGCTGTAGTTCTTGTCACTGCGAGGGGGAACTAAAGTTCCAAAAGAAATCTGCCATGAAAAAGTAACATAGGGTGGCTCAAACAAACCCAGTTCAACCTTATTTTCCTTTTCTTGTTTGACTACAGGTGGTAAAAAATCCATCTTCTCAGACTACCTTGCTGATGAAAAAAAATAGCTCTGTGACACAGTTCAAGCCGATGAGGTATGAGCAGAAGAGTTCTCTGACTGTCTGGAAAGTCTGATTTCCTGATACAGACACCACTCTTTTCCCCATGCCTGAATTCTAGATGTGTTGATAGATACTGTGGCAGCCATCCAGGGACCATGAGGGGTAGACCAAGAGAATTCCAGAAAGGTTGACTTTGTTATAACTTCAACCTCTGAACCACTTGCCTACTCTGAACTATGCTGAATGAAGCAAAAAATAAGTAAATAAATCCATATGTGTTTAAGGCTATATTAGTCTGGCTTCTGATATTCACAACCAAAAGCAATCCTTCCCTTACAAGTCTGACAAATGAGAAGTTATTATTCTTCCCTGGAGGCCATGCAATCACCCTGGAGAAGGTGGGACTGACGGTGAGATCAAGCGTTTTCCTGTGATCACAGAAATAATGTGGTGATCTCAGCCTAGAGCAATAATATGGATATATAGTGCATTGATCCCCAAAGCAAAAAGTCATCTTAACCTTGCATCCCCATCTTAAATATTACTGCTAATTAACATCCTAATCTCTCAGCCAGCACTGGATCTGCCAAAAAATAAAAAAATAAACATCCTAATCTCAATCGGTTAAGTTTATTTTGGAAACTATTCTAAAGCCATCAAAATCTGCTAATTGAGCAAAATAATGTATTACAAAATCATTGTTCCGCATTTAAACTTGCTTTTAATTCTGAAAAAGGTCTTTGGCATATAAAATTAAACATTCTATGTTGCTTTCTTCCGGATCCCTTTCCTGAACAAAACACTTCAATCGTTTCTTGGAATTTATAGAATGTAATCTAACTCATTGCCATGGCCTAAAAGCCTCATGTGATCTAATCACTCCCCAGCCTTATAAAATGCCTTCTCTCACTCATGCTACATCTCTGACATGTCTCGTCTCTGTTCCCAAGTCTGCAAGTCTGACCCTCCCCAAGATTTTGCCTCAGCGTTCTCTTCCCACACTCCTATAATGACAAGCTCTTTCCAGCTGTTCTTGGCATGAACATCTCATCTTCAAAACAGCCTTCCCTGACCGCATGACTACAGCAGCCTCAACACACTATTACTTTCATAGCACCTTCCAAATTCATAGCACCTTCCAAAATTTTAGTCATTTCCTGACTAAATAAATAAGTGGATTTATTTATTTGGTTACTAATTGTCTCTCCCCATCCTATTAATATAAGTCCTAATATAAGAACTTTGCCTATGTCCAAAAAATGTAACCTATAGATTAGAAAACAAATTGTTTAAATAGATTATTTTGTTTCTTTGCCAAGTGTTTTTCAACACACTAAGAACATCTCAAACTGTCTGTTTTCTAGATCATGCATACAATCAGCAAGAATAATAATAGCTAATGACAATGTAGTTCTCACTGTGTCAGGTAATATGAATGCTTTATATGTATTAACTTATTTCATCTTCACAACAATTCTGTGAGGTAGGTACTGTCATTAGAACCCCATTTTACAGATGAGGAAATGAGAGGGTTCCCTAGGGTTGCCCAGCTGGTAAGTAGCAGCGTTGGGGTTGACAGCCAGCCACTTGGCTGCAGGGTTCTTCCTTGCAAGCATGACCCTGCTGCTGATTGACAGCCTCCCAATAATGACTCCCTTGCATTGCTACAGTGCTTACCTCATTTTGAAGTTCTTTCATGTGTGTTATATTAGATGACATAAGGTTACGAACTTGTCAGGGATGATATTTATAGTCCTGTTCTATTGATGAGAATACTAAGATGCAGCCATAGTAAGTGATTTACTCAAAATCATAATAGCAGCTGGTAGAAGTGAAATGTGACCTGGGAGTTCTGATTCCTGGTCCAGAATTTTTCCTTTGGCACCATGTGGTCCATGGGCCTAACACAAATCCACACAATGTGTTATTCCCCTCATAGGAGTCCCTTTAAAAAATCCATTTCTAGTGGAAGTTTTATTTCTTTCCTACATTACGGTAATCAACAATGTATATTATATATTGCATCTGGACCCTAAAAAAATCTTTTAGAAGCAATCATGTCCCTACATGTTTAACTGATGATGTCACCCTGGACATAACCACTTTTGTAATGAATATGAAAGCAATTGGAAGCTGTGAGACACTTTACAAGCATGAGCATACTGGAAGTCACTGATTTTACATCAGTAATTATTCTCATGTATAATTGTCCTCTATCACCATTTACAAATTCCCAAGGAGCAAGAACTGCATAATACTTGTTTTTTGGTACTTATTTAGAACAGCTGAGAAGGCAATTTCCACTTGAGCAAGAGTTTGTTTCTTCTTTTACGAATCAGAATGAACAGTCCCAAAGGTTTTGAATGAGTTTAAGTTATCTCACTCTAGCTAATTCTGTCAAACAACAAATGGTTATCTGGCATCTGCTGCAGCCCAGCCCCATGCTAGGCACCAAGGAACACAAAGTAGTGGAAAACACCAGGCATGCTCCCAGGAAGCTAACCCTCAAGTTATGGATACAGAGTTAATGCATTGCAAACAATTAAAGAGCAAAATATAGCAACATGTAATTTATGATGAATTCTCTGGTACAAACAATACGAGAACTTAGGAAAGGAAAAAGAAAAACAGGAGGAGACTTCAACAATACACAGGCTACTTTCTGCACATGGACCTACAAGGTTTGCATAAATTGCTATCTTCATGCTTTAAATATATATAGCATTGAGTCGGTGACTCAAATGGTGTGGACAGTAATCATAATGTATGACTAAGAGATGCATATTATTTGAATAGAATATGTAGGAAGGAGGACATAGGAAGTGTCCCATCCTTTGATTAGAGGTTAGAGAGCAGCATTCTGAGAGATTTAGTATCATGTGAGCAATCCATGTGTATAGAACTCTTACAAAGACCAAAACTTAAAAGCTAAATATCTCCCAAGTATCTTCTCATTTGTTTTATTGTTTTCTGACTCTTAGAGTCAAACAGATATTTGAGCCCAAATATTTTTAAAATATAAAGTAGTGTGTATATTTAGGACTAGATTCTATAGAATTGGAGCCTGACTGAATGAGGGAAATGAGAAGAAAAAAGGAGTTTAAGATGACTCCCAAGTTTATACAACTAAGGAGATAGTGGGGCCATTTCCTGAAATGGAGAATATAATTAGAAACGTTGGAGGAAATGATGAGTTCTGTTTTGGACATGCTTAGTTCGAAATTCCATAGGGCATTCAGTGGAGATATATAAGAAGTAGGAAGAAACAATCCTCTCAAGTTTAAGAATAAGGATCTTGAAGACATCAGCATATGGATGGCAGTTGAAGTCATAAACATGACTCATCCACAGAAAGTATATAAGGTTGAGATTTTAAAGAACTAACTATTTAAGGGTAGGCATTTAAAGAGAAAGCTCAGACAAGGTAGCTAGAAAAGGAGCTGGCAGTCAGAAATGAGCTAGCTGGGGAATGAAAGCCAAGAAAAAAAGTTTTAGAATGGAGGAGAGATCTGTGGGATTAGGCATACAAAAGATCAAGTAAGGCAAGGACTTAAAACTGTCTACTATAAAAAAAAAGATAAAAGATTATTAGTAACCTTGGCAAGAGCAGTTTGCATAGAGAAAAAGAAAAAATGGACTGCAGAGTCAATGGAGTGACCAGAAATTTAGACCTACCCTCCTAATGAACACAACTAGAAAAGCTGAACAAAGTATACTAAAAACCATCTTGATGGCATCAAAGCATAAAAAAGATAGTGAAGTATCGTTGGGTCAGTATCTTGGGGAAGATAGATCTCAGAGAAGTAAGGCCAATATATGGAACCACTTTTCTTCTAGGGGCACTTGCCGCTTCTAGAGGTGTGCGACCAAGAACCTAAGAGCCTGAGTAGAGCTTTTACAGTTATTGAGAAGGTGGGGGACAAGGGTTGAAGTGTGTGTGGGTGGAGCTAGCTTTGAGTTAAGACCCCCCTACAAAGGCCACTACCCTCAGAACAAAAGTGAACCAAACATAGATCCTTATAGCAACTGCGACTCTACTTAGAACCATCACAGTCTTAGGTCGAGGTTGTTCTAGGGAGAAGAATATATGTCTGTTTTCTCTAGGGAAAGATAACATCACCCTAAGTGTCAAATTTTCTCACTGTTTTGCTAAAATAATGACTAGCATTCAATCAAAAATAACTAGGCATATTCACCAAAAGGTGTGTATAAGAAAGTTAGCCTCCCTGAATATTAAAGTACCAAACTGAAAACTATAAACAACATAATGCTAAATAAACTGTGATGCAGTCACACAATGGAATACAACATAGCAGTGGGAATGAAAAAAACCACAGCAACTACATGAAGTGGTATGAATGATGCTCACAAAGATAATGTTAAGTGAAAAATAGCAAAACACATAAAAACACATACTTTATTATTTCACTAATATAGAGCCCCAAAACCAGACAAAAACTCATCTATAGCATGTTGATGACAGAATAATGGTTATCATTGGGTGGGTAGAAGGGGAGAGAAGGAAGAGATAGTTTCTAGAAAGGTTTAAAGAGGGCTTTTGGGGATATTGATAATGATATGTTTATTGATATAAATAAAGGCTACATAGATTTAATTCGTGAAAATTTATCATGCTATATACTTATATGTGCACTTTTCTGCTTGAATATTTTACTTCAATAAATTTTTTAATTAAAAAACTTTTTAAATAACAAGGTACATAAGATAATTAAGCAACAAGATGTAAACACTTCAAAAAAAGAGACATTGTTTATACAACAGAGGCTCCATATATTTTTGGTATCAAACATAGGCTTTAAACTAACTAAAAGTTTATGTTGAAGGGGATAAAAGACAAAACTAGGAAATTTTTGGAGTACTGTAAATTATAAAACAAGGAACAAAATGGGAATTTTAACCTGCAAAATATAAAAACCAAAATAAAGATTTCAAAGAATAAATTTAGCAGATTAAATAGTTGAGAAAATAGTGAACTAAAAAAGAAGAAATTATTCAGAATAAACCATGGAAACTCAAAAAAGATGAAAGATACAGAAGAGAGGGAAGAGACATAAAGGATACAGTAAGAAGTTCTAGCATGCATGTAAATAGAATCCTATTAGTAGGGAAGACAAAGTAGGTAAAAAACAATATTTGAAAAGTTGATGACTAAGAGAATGTTCTAAAATTGATTAAAAACATGAAGCCAGAGACTCAAGAAGTACTATAAACTCCAAGCAGGACAAACAAAAAAGAATTTTCACTACATCATCATAAAGCTGCAAGACAAAGAGAAAAATACTAATGAGTGGCTGAGGGAAAGGACTGATTATCTTCAAAAAAGCCAAAATCAGACTGAAAGTTTAGTACTTAATATTAGAACTAGAAATAGAAGTCTAAAGAAAATGAAATAATGTATGTAAATGCTAAAAATAAATAATGGCAAACCTATAATACTATGTACTGGAAAAATAGTTAATGTTTTCAGACAAACAAAAACAAAATACTTGTCATCAGCAGATCTGCACTAAATAAAATGCTAAAAGGTGTTTTTTGGGAACAATGAGAATGATTCCAATAAAAGATCAGGGATATAAGAAGCAATTAAAAGCAACAAATGATCTTAACAGGGTTCTTTTGAAATAGGACCCATCTCTTCTTCTTTGCTTATCAGTCATTCCTCTGTCCTCATTGGTTGTGTAGGGTAGACAATGACCAAGTTCATCTTTCTCAGACTCATCCAGGAAAACCTCCATTATACACTAAAATGTATATCGAAGAAAAGTTTTGAGTCTCCAGAGTGGTTCAGGGGCAGTTCCCTGTCAAAGACTTCAAAAATAGGAATGATTTCCACAGGGAACAAGTCAATGCCCCTGAAATGTCAGTCCCATATTATTGGACAGGATCTGAGCACCAAAGTTGTCTGCCTCCACATGGCATTAATCTCCTTCCAGCCCACTGAGTCCCTGGGGCTGAAGATACTGGTGATGCCCAAGAGGCTATCATGCCATATGCCAAGCTTCTCACTAAAAATGTTGGTTTTCTCCAGCATGTTTAGCAAAATCTGTGCCTAAGGCAGCTGGTTTTCTTCATTCTGCAGCCCAGCATCCAGTTCCAACTGTTAAGGTTTAAATTTCCCATATTTGTTTTCCTCTGGGTTCATCTTTTCAGTTTCTACCTGAACTTCTCAAAATGTCCTGACATTTTTTTAGTTTATTTTCACTTCCTCCAGTTCCTGAATCTGATTCACTTTCTGAACTCAATCTATTAATTCTACTTTTCCTACTCACACATCATCTTCTTCTTTTCCAAAAGGTATTTGTAGCTCTGATATTCATCTTTCGTTATAAGAAGCTAGTTAGATATCTAGTCACTCTAAAAACCTATCAGAGCACTCCTCACACAGTGGGTCAGTTATATCTCTTTGACTTTGCAGGAAGTGAAAAAAAAATGACCCCAATAACCTTTAGAGTGAGGCTGAAGATATCAATGGTGTGCACCTCTTCATTATAGTGAAGCTTTTGAGAATTTATCACACATGATCCCCCATCCCCATCCCAGAGGGGTCACCATGAGGCTCCACCACATAAGGATCTGGAGTTACAACCTTTCTGGAGTTAGGGTCTTTCTCCAGGTTCTTCCCTGACTTCTCCTAGACTACCCTGAACAGCAGAGCTGGGAGCTCCTCAGATGGTAAAATCAAGATCTTGAAGCCTACATCCAGTTTCAGTAGCTGGCTAGAACGCCGGCGAATGCCATGCTCTGAGGACGTGGCAGTACTACCAGAAATCTGCAATCTCATCTGTTTTTTAATTGGAAAATAAATATATTTATTTTTAATTTTTTTATTTTTAATTTTTGTGGGTACATAATAGGCTTATATAATTATGGAGCACATGAGATGTTTTGATACAGGCATACATGCAATCCATAATAATCACATCATGGAAAATGGAGTATCCCCTAAAGCATTTATCCTTTATGTTACAAACAATCCAATTATACTCTTTTAGTTATTTCAGAAAGTAAAATTAAGTTATTATTGTCTACACTCACCCTGTTGTGCTAGCAAATAGTAGGTCTTATTCATTCTTTCTGGGTTTTTTTTGTACACATTAACCATCCCCACCTTCCCCCAACCCTTCCCTCCCACAACCATTCCCAGCCTCTGATAACCATCTTTCTAACTCTCTATTTCCATGAGTTCAATTGTTCTGATTTTTAAATCCCACAAATAAGTGAGAACATGTGATGTTTGTCTTTCTCTGCCTGGCTCATTTCACTTAACGTAATGGTCTTCAGTTCTATCTATGCTGTTGCAAACGACAAGATTGCATTCTTTTTATGACTGAGTAGTACTCCATTGTGTATATGTACCAAATTTTCTTTATCCATTCATCTGTTGATGGGCACTTAGGTTGCTTTCAAATCTTACCTATTATGAACAGTGATGCAACAAACATGGGAGTGCAGATATCTCTTCAGTATATTGATTTTCTTTCTTTTGGGTATATACTCAGGAGTGGGATTGCTGGATCATATGGTAGTTCTGTTTTTAGCTGCAATCTCATCTTGATCCCAAGCCTCCTCTGGCTCCTCAATTTCCTGACCTTTATTCCTCCTTCTAGAACACTGATCTTCCTCTAGAACCACAATCTTACTAATAATATCTTGACACTTTCCCATAAAACCTATCAATGCCCTCCTGGGTCCCTATACTTTTATACCTTCCTTTGCTCCTTCTAATCCAGTGGTCTTTCTAAAAGGGAAATTTGATTATCTCACTGGCTTCAAAACTTTCCATAGCATTCCTTCTTGGACAAGAGTGATCTTTTTTAAATGGACATTTGTGCTGGCACTCCCAGTATCTGTCTTCCTAACATCCTCAGGTTAAAGTGCAATTTTTGTCATAATTTGTCATACAGACCCCTACCTGCCTTTCCAGTCCCATCTCTTACATTCTTTGGCTTCTCCACTCATAGTTTCCTCCATATCTTCTTACCTGTACTGAATTGACTTTCAGTTATTCAAAGGCTGCATACTGTTTCATCAACCTGGAAGACTACTTCTTAGCCTGGCTAACTCACACTCATCCTTGACTTATATGTCACTTCCTCCAGGGAGTCTTCCTTGCCCTCCTAATCTAGTGTAGGTGCCAGCGAGTTTCCTTACAGTTACACCGGAACTCTCTTAACCCACCAAATTATATAAGTAAATGAGTGGGAGAAAAAAAAAAAAGAGTAAATGGGAATACAGGCACAAAGTCTAGATTCTCTTTTCTAGAAAGGTAACTTTAAAAGGATGAGGAACCATTAAATATAAATATAAGCAACATAAGATCATAGCCATAGCATGAAGTTACCAAGGATAAGCGGTATTATTAGTGGCAATGGATCCCTGAGGAATACAGAGGGGAGCAGCCCCAGGGCTTAGATGGCAAGGTTAGTCTTGGATAATTATAATAGCTAATATTTATTAATTACTTACTACACACAGAATGCTATTTTAAGTCTTTATAGATGAAGAAACTAAAGCACAATATTAGCTGAATTTTACTGCTTGTAAGTTAAAATTCAGGACCTAAATCCAGGCAGCCTGGCTCCAGAGAAAGTGCTCTTAACCACACTACTAAACTGGACCTAAAGAAGCACATTTTCTTCTTTAAAGCTGAAGGAGAAGGTTTATATAGTTTATCCAGATAACATAGGGTTAGGGAGAGGAAAGAGGGAGCAGGTCTCTACAGCTCCCACTTTTTTCAGGGAGAAATTAATGTCATTCACTAACATGGTGGAGGTTGAGGGGTAAGGTAGAGAGGAACTGAGGGGAACGTAAAATGTTGGGGTTTCTGCTGTGTTATTTGGAGGCATCTTATTCACAAGTGGGTTTCTTAAACCTGCACTAGTCAAAGTATGGTTCATGGTCCAGGGTTGGTGTGCAAGCAATTTGTTACCTTTCACCAACCCATAAAATATTGAAAATGAGATAAATATTTAGAATTTTATAGCAAGTTGACATTGTTGCAATATCCAAGTGCATGAGGCAGAGCCTCCTCTCCCTGAATAGATAGAGATGAGCTCAAGTGCTGCAGAACTCATGCATGTGGCAAGAACATTGGAAATTTAAAAAAATAATAACAATAATAGTAATAACTGTTCCTTTCTACCAGTAATGAGAGAAGCACCAATTAAGGAGAGAAGAAAGGAGTAAAGCTTTGGAGGATTGCAGAGCTGACTCACTCCAAGATGATCTCACATTACTCTGACATCTGAACTGCACTCCATGAAAAAAGAAAATGCAACTTCTCTAGAAATGGCTTTGCACTCTCTGGGGAATGGTATAAACGAACATGGACAAGTCATGCAGAAAATCTGCTGAGAGTACTGCCCTGTACTCTGTGACCGACATTACTGAAGCAGAGAGTTGTAACGAAAAGAATGAAAAGACCTTGGTTCTAGTTTCAGCTCTGCTCTGACAACCTCTATAATCTTGAGAAAGTCACTTAATCTCTTTAATCCATTTGATCCTCAGTGTGATCATTTAAAAAAAAAAAAGAGTATCTGAGGAACAAGAATAGGGGAGAAGAGTGTTGCCCTAGGTAATCCCTAAGACTTCTTTAAGCTTTAGTATCCTATTCTTATTCATCCGATGATTCTGAGAAATTCCACCTATGAACGCTAAAGCACATTTAGCCTGTGGCTTCTCAAGCAAGTATCATAGAAACAGAAATTATAAGTAGTTATTATATCAGGTGAGATCTCACATAAATAGGGTACGTGTGTTCCTTATAAGTGCGTTGCAGAAATGGCAAAGTGATTTTCTGGTATTTCTTGAGTTTATGACAGTGTTGCATGCAAATGCTTTATCTTCCGTAAGAGATACTGTGTTCCTGGTGTACTTTGTTTATGAAGAGTCTTGCTCGTATTTATATATATTTTTAAACTTCAGTAAAAATAATCATCAGAAAAAATAAATGCACCTAAATGTCCCAAATTCCATGTCTAACTATTGTTATATTAAGCCCCATTTGTCTCGGCTTTTTAGAACTAGAATCTAAACAAAATATTCACTTAATAAATAATTGGTATATTCATGTAAATATATGGCATTTTTGGCTTAATGATGGTGTTCAAGTTTTTCTACACCCTACTTCCTCTGTTGTTCTGTGATTTGATGGCCTATTTTTTGTGTATACTTATATAGAAACTGAAGGGCTCTGCAGAGCGTACATTATCCTCATTCTAAAGGGTTAGATAACAAAGGACCAAACTTGGGCCACAGCCCAATTGTTCATTTTTATTTTGGTGAGAACATTTCATTATCTTCCTGTAGGATCTAATAAAGTATTGTTTAACTGCTTCTGAGTAGTTCTTATAAACTATTCTATGTACCTCCTATTCTACTTGATTTCATTGAAAGAATGTCTCCAATTGAATTGTGATAGATAGCAACTCAAGATTGGTTTCTACAGAACAAAATAGTAAACCCTAAGTCACACTTCCCTTTGAAATCCTGCATCTTGGCAGGTGTTATTAAAACTCTTTGGTTTGCATTTAAATAAGGTGCTAATTTATTCCTTTACACGATTTTTATGAGAAACTAATTTTCCAGAGCATTTTCAAATCTGTGGTTTAATATTTGCAGACTTGAAGAAATACTGTTTTGCTGCCAGCATCTGGTCAATGACATATTGTTTATTTCCCGATGCACTATCAGGCACAGTTTTAAATAATAAAGGCAGATTACATTTATTCTTCTTTAATAAAAGCAAATTCTATGTCTTACTCAGTAATCATTTTAAAAGAATCAAAATACAGTCAATAAAAATAAATTAATCATTTTTGCCATTTACTTTTCCACAAATTAATGTTAATTATACTTAGATGGAAATGTCTTTGCTGTCAAATTCCTCCCAGAAAACATATTATGTCTGATTTTTTTTAATTCTGGCTTTATTTGGATACTCAGAGGGTATAAAAAATCTACTAGACCTTTTAGTATAATTATAATAGTGACAATATATTTAATCTGAGATTTTGGTTTTACCAAGGCAATAAGAAACAATCATAGTTTATTTCCAACCATCGAATCTATAATCCCTCATTGTCAATTGCCCTTAGATCCTATGGGAACTTTTTCCCTGAAGGGGAAAAAGAAGACCTTGAGAGCTTGTAGCCTAGGAAAATGACATACTGAAAAGGAAATATTGAGTAAGGAAATAACTGAAAAGTAAGCCAAAGAGAAAAACTAACACTCACCAACAATCTGAAAGTCTGGTATATTTTATTTATAAAATTTTTGTTTTTCAGTGTTGCATATGGAAATTTGTAAAATAAAATAAAATTTTTGTTTTATCTCAGATACATGGCCATAAAGCCATTTTGAACATTTTATGACTAAAACCCAAAGTCTACGTCCTTCTGTATTATATTGTAGCAAGAGAACTCTTTGTGCTAATTGTGTTACTGATGCTACTGAATTTGCCATTCATATCACAGCTTTTCAGAATTTTGATTACCCACAATGGTTATATTTTAAGGGAAAACATATATTTTATCTGCTAAAGAGTTCATAGCATTTGACCATCCCAAGTTCTTATTTGCCCCCCTGAGACAGGGAGACAGGGATTTTACCAACTTACAGATGTAAAACCCTGAGCACCCAGAGACTAGTTTACTGTTTTACCAAAGGTCACACCAGCTGTGGCAGAGCTAGGATCAGAAAACCAAGCTGAGCTGGTTTTTCCACTCGTGTGTTTTCTACACACTCCAAGGTTTTGGCTTCTATTCTTCTTTCAGGTTTCAACACAATTTAGTGGACATTTAATGATGAGAATAACATATGCTTTCTTGATAAACAAAAATGCACCATGGCTATGCTCAAACAATCAAGTCATCTCAGTGTTTGTGAATCTTCTTTCTCCTCTGCTTCCTGCAGAACAGGGAGGTATTTAATATCAATTAAAGATGCATTTAATAGTTTTCACTGAGGCTGAGCCATCTGTTACCAGTTCTGTTCAACTTACGGTTCTAGAAAAAAAATATTCCTCAATACCTGAATTACATGAACACCATTTCAAAGTTTGTATTCATTCACTATCATCCCAAAAATATAAAAAGTTTAATATAGGAAATTATTTGATTTACCAAATTTAGATTGTTATCTAGGCAAGAAACCTCCCAATTTTAAAAAGGAAATGAGGGAAGAGGTTTGGTAAAGATTGAAAAGATGAGAAAGGAACAAAGTTAGTATGAAAAATTAATTGAGAGAATGATAAAATGATGTGAAAAAAATACATCCCTTCCTCCTAATATGCTTTATATTGATCTTTTTTCATAACTATATATTTCACTTAATAGTTTGAGTCACTGAAGCTTGCCTGTTCTCATTTGCTCATTTTACTCTAACTTCAATATTATTTTACATTGTCTCATTCCTGTAAAACATTTGCTCATACCATCATTTAATATCAATTAAAAATGACTTGGTAGGAAGAGAAGATTTGATTAATCATTGAAGGTTGAAACTTATTTCAAATCCCACCTCTAATGTGAAACCATCCATTTATTCCAGGAGACACACGGATAGACCCCAAATGTGATGGTATGGTTTAAATGTTTGTCTCCTCCCAAACTCATGTTGAAATGTAATTGCCATTGTAACCATCTTAAAAGGTGGGACTTTTAAGAGGCAATTAGGCCATGAGGGCTCTGCCCTGATGGGAGTGGATTATATGGATAAATGGGATTAATGTCATTATCACGGGAGTGGGTCTGTTACTATGGGAGTGAGTTCCTCACAAAAGGATGAGTTGGGCCCATTTCTCTTTCTCTCATCCTTTCTTGTCCTTCTGCCTTCTGCCATGGAATGAAACAGCAAGAAGACCCTTCTGAGATTTCCCAGTCTCCAGAACTGTGAGAAAAGAAATTTCTGTTTATTATAAATTACCCAGTCTCAGGTATTCTGTTATAGGAGCACAAACAGACTAAGAGATGTGAAGAGCCCATGCAAGACCAGGGGAGAAAGGTCCCAGTGCACCAAAGTCAGGAGGGAAGGGGAGGGCGAGGGAGAGGGTGAAGAGATGAACACCCTCTGATTCTACCACCACTAATAGGCTGTAAATTCTCAGAAGAGTTACTAAAAGTTATGCAATGTCTTAAATCAGAGAAAATATCTCTGCTGATTTTTTTTGTTTTTGTTTGTTTGTTTGTTTGTTTTTTTGTTTTGTTTTGAGACGGAGTCTCGCTCTTTCGCCCAGGCCGGATTGCAGTGGCAAGATCTCGGCTCACTGCAAGCTCCGCCTCCCGGGTTCACGCCATTCTCCTGCCTCAGCCTCCCGAGTAGCTGGGACTACAGGTGCCCACCACCACGCCCGGCAAATTTTTTGTATTTTTAGTAGAGACGGGGTTTCACCATGTTAGCCAGGATGGTCTCGATCTACTGACCTCGTGATCCGCCCGCCTCGGCCTCCCAGAGTGCTGGGATGACAGGCGTGAGCCACCGCGCCCGGCCTCTGTTGATAATTTCTTAAAAAAACAACTGAGGCCGGGCGCCATGGCTCACGCCTGTCATCCCAGCACTTTGGGAAGCTGACGCGGGTGGTTCACAAGGTCAGGAGTTCAAGACTAGCTTGGCCAAGATGGTGAAACCCCGTCTCTACTAAAAAAAATACAAAAAATTAGCTGGGCATGATGGCGGATGCCTGTAATCTCAGCTACTCGGGAGGCTGAGGCAGAGAATCGCTCAAACTCAGGGGGCAGAGGTTGCAGTGAGCCGAGATCGCGCCACTGCACTCCAACCTGGGCGACACAGTGAGACTCCATTTCAAAAAAAAAAACGGAAAAAATGACTTATCTTTGTACCCAGACTAGCATGGCCAAGCCTGGGGCCGCTTCTGTAGATACTGTTGGAGTGAAAAGGCATAATTGAGAGAATCACAAGAAACTAAGCCAAACCCTGAGGGGGCTCTCGGGCAGGCCTCACAAAGTCTGCAGAATTGGGTTTGGGCCAGGTGCAACCAGATTCCCAGAAAATGGAGGTTGGCAGAGGATGTGATCCCTTTCCCACCACGGCCAAGCTGCTGTTGTCAACTAATAATAGTCTCATGCTTCTACCTTCCTTGCCTCATAATCATCTCTTCTCTGAAGCACTTAGCTCAAATGCATTTATTGACACTCTGCTAATTCTTGTGCTTTAGACTTGCAAACAATAATATGAGAGGGTCTTGCCAATAACGGGGTAAGATCAGGAAGGAATAAGGAAAAGAAAAGCAACAGCAAAATTTAGAATACTTCTTAGATGTTAGCCCTGCTTGTCTCTATGTACATATGGTCCTGATAAATTATTATTTACTTAGCATTATTTTCAGTTAATAATTTTAAGTACTTAAAGTATGTTCATGGATTTTCAGGAAAAAAATATGTGTAATAGTAGGTTACATGTATATATATATATGTATATATATACATGTAATAGTAAGTTACATGTATATATATGTATATATAATAGAAAAAAATATATGTATATATGTAATAGAAAAAATATATATGTATATGTAATAGAAAATATATATGTATATATAATAGAAAATATATATGTATATATAATAGAAAATATATATATATATATACAGCAGAAAAACATATATGCCAAAAAAAGACCTCTGAATTATCATTTATAATTAAAGAAAGAATGAAATACAGTAGAAAGAAATCCCAGAGTAGCCAAGCCTCAGCATGAGCCCCACCTCCATACTCTTCTAATTGTTCCCACCCACTGATTTTCATTGAGGACAATGGCCCTTGGCCACTTCACTCATAGATAGGGCTGTTCTAAGCCACATGACCTGGTACCTTGGTCAAGATGTTTGGACCACAAAGATAATAAGAAAAGGGTAACAAATCTAAAGTCTTCCCATAACCTAGAAAGGAAACTGGTGTGAAAGTTCATCCCAAACAAACAAAAAAATAACATGCCAACAGTTATAATAATTTGGATTGAATTACAGGGTAAACCTGAGCAGTTGGTAGGGGCAAGTGGAAGTGAAAGCACAGAAGAACAGAAGGCAATGTGCAGACTCCTGCTGTAAAGAAAATACATCTGAAGAAAAGAAAAGGTCAGATGGCTGTGCAAAGAATGAAGAGAAATCTGATGGATCAAAGCTAAATGAAAATGTGTCCAATGGGTCTTCTTTCTCAACTTTCTTCACTTCTTTCCTACATACCATGAGGTCATATTTTGGGTGGTAAAATTGCTTCTGCTTTTTAAGCTACACATATTAAGTAAAGTAGTTCGATATACCATGGGCTAATGATGAGAACTCAAAAATCCTCTTTAGAAAATTGACAATTTGTTTATTTCCATTGCTACTGTTAATCGTACAAGGAAACGACACAATCTTCTTTGAATATTTCTGAATGGTTAAAAATTTAAAATAAGATGCATTGTATATACTCACTTTTCTATGACTGTGCCTATATCCTACACAGTAAAAAGATTATGTTTGCCCAAAATTGAATTATTGTGCCCACATTAAAATTATAATGTTTTTGAGGGTCTCATTAAACTATTCCTACAATGTTGTTGGTTGTTCAAAATCAAGTATAAATCTATGTTTTTTAATACATATGTGGCTACTGGCTCCTCTGTCCAACTGCTGATTCTTGCACAGTGAACTGAATTTACTTCATAGGTATTTATTGAGCACTCATATGTGTAAGGTACTCTGCTATGTGCTTGGAGTTTTTTCCAATCTTTTACAATATTAAGAATCACTCAGAACATTTGTTTAAAAAAATAACTGAGGTCCAATCTAAATTCCTGAATCAGAATTTCCACGTAACAAGGGCTCCACATTATTCTTAGCCCCGAGGAAGTTGGAGATAACTGTGGTAGAAGACAGAAAGATGAGCAAAGCTCAGCCCCTATAGTCCAGTAATTCAAGAGTTGAGAGACACTCTTAACAATGGATAGATCGTTTAAACAGAAAATCAGCAAAGAAACATCATACCTAAACTGCACACTAGACCAAACAGACCTAACAGACATTTACAGAATGTTCCATTTAACAGCTGCAGAATACACATTCTTCTCAACTACACATGGAACACTCCCAGTATAGAGCATATGTTGGACAACAAAACAAATCTTAACAAATTTAAGAAGATAGAGATCATATCAAGTATCTTTTCTGAACTCAATGGTATAAAGCTAGAAATCAATAACAAAAAGAACTTTGGAAACTTAAAAAATACATGGAAATTGGAATAACCAATGGGTCAATGAAGAAATTAAAAGGAAAATGAAAAAATTTCTGGAGAGAAACAAGAATGGAAACACAATATACCAAGACCTATGGAATTCAACAGAAGCAGTTCTAGGAGTTCATAGCAATAAATGGCTACCTCAGAAAAAGAAAGATTTCTAATAATCTAACATTGCTACTCAAGGGACTAAAAAAATAAGGACAAACTAAACCCAAAATTGGTAGAAGGAAGGTTATAATAAAAATCAGAGCAGAAATAAATGAAATAAAGAATACAGAAACAATGCAAAAGATCAATGAAATGAAAAGTTGGTTTTTTGAAAAGATAAACAAAATAAACAAATCCTTATTAAATAAGACAACAGAAAGAATACTCAAAATCAGAGATGAGAAAAGAGACATAACAACTGACACCAGAGAAATACAAACGATCATATGAGACAATTATGAATAATTATGTCAAAACTTGATAGTCCAGAAAAAAAAATAAATTCCTGGACACATACAATCTATTAAGATTGACTTATGAAGAAAAAGAAAGTCCGAACAGGCCAATAACAAGTGAGGAAATATAATCAGTAATGAAAATTATCTCTAAAAAAAATACAGATAAAATACAGATAAAAATTTTTTTATCTCTAAAAAATAAACAGAAACAAAAAACAAAAAATACCACCTCAGAACCTGATGGCTTTACTGCTGAATTCTACCAAACATTTAAGGAAAAACAAATTCCAATACTTCTCAAAGTATTCACAAAAAATTAAAGAAAAGGTAATACTCTTTCTGTGAGGCCAGTATTTCCTAATACCAAAACCACAGAAGGACACAACAAAAAAGAGAACTACAGGCCAATGTCTCTGATGAACATAGATGCAAATTCCTCAACAAAATACTAGCAAACCAAATTCAACTGTACATTAAAAAGATCATCAATTATGATCAAGTGAGATTCATCACAGGGATGCGAGGATGATTTAACACGCACAAATCAATAAATGTGATTTGTCACATTAACAGAAAGAAGAACAAAGACCATATGATAATTTCAATAGACAGGAAAAGCGTTTGACAAAATTTCACATCCCTCCAAAATAAACAACCTTTAACAAATTTGATATACAAGGTACATACCTCAATTATATGGTTTGGATCTGTGTCTCCATCCAAATCTCATGTTGAATTGCAATACCCAGTGTTGGAGTTGGGGCCTGGTCAGAGGTGATTTGA
Organism: Homo sapiens; assembly: GCF_000001405.40. Taxonomy (NCBI): domain Eukaryota; kingdom Metazoa; phylum Chordata; class Mammalia; order Primates; family Hominidae; genus Homo; species Homo sapiens. The sequence goes on along the minus strand of NC_000006.12, from coordinate 71,064,517 downwards.
TCATGGGGATGGATCCCTAAGGAATGGTTTAGAACCATCCCCTTGGTGCTGTCTCCTGACAGAGTTCTCACGAAATCTGGCTGTTTAAAAGTGTGTAGCACCTATCCCCAGACCCTAGTTCTTGCTTCTGCTCCACCATATAAGATGTGCCTCCTTCTTCTTCATCTTCTGTCATGATTTTAGGTTTCCTGAGGCCTCCCAAGAAGTAGAAGCTGCTATACGTCCTATTCAGCCTGCAGAAGCATGAGCCAATTAAACTTCTTTTCTTCAAAAATCACCCAGTCTCAGATATTTCTTTATAGCAGTATGAGAATCGACTAATACACTCAACATAACAAAAGCCATATATGACAAACATATAACTACCAGCATACTAAGTGGGGAAAAATTGAAAGCTTTTCCTCTAAGATGTGGAACAATAAGAATGGCTACTTTCACTACCTATATTTAACCAAGTATTAGAAATCCTGGACAGAGCAATTAGACAAGAGAAAGAAACGGAAAGGAGGAAGTCAAATTATTCCTGTTTGCAGATGACATAATCTTATACATAAAAAAACCCTAAAGAACCCACCAAAAAGCTGTTGGAACTAGTTTTTACACAAATTCAGTAAAGCTACAGGATAAGAAATCAGTACACAAAAGTCAGTAGTGTTTCTACATGTCAATAGTAAATTATCTGAAAAATAAATCAAGAAAACAATTCCATTTACAAGAGCTACCAAAAAAATTATATACCTAGGAATAAATTTAACCAAGGAGGAGAAAAATCTCTATACTGAAATCTGTAAAACATTGATGAAAGAAATTAAAGAGGACACAATAAGTAGAAAGATATCCCACGTTCATAAATTGGAAGAATTAATATTGTTAAAATGTCCATTCTACCCAAAGTAATCTACAGATTCAATGCAACCTCTGTCAAAATACCAATAACATTCTTCACAAAAATAGACAAAACAATCCTAAAATTTCTATGAAACCACAAAAGATGCCAAATAGCCAAGAAGATTTTGAGCAAAATAAAAAAACAAAAACAAAGCTAGAAGTGTGACACTTCTAGACTTCAAAACATATATGTAGTTGTAGTATCCAAAAGAGCATAGTGTTGGCATAAAAATGGACACACACACCAATGGGAGAGAATAGAGAGCTCAGAAATAAATCTATGCATCTCCAGCCAACTAATTGACAAAGATGCTAAGAACACACCTTGGAGAAAGAATAGTCTCTTCAGTAAATGGTAATGAGAAAATTGGACATCCACATACAGAAGAATAAATCTGGACCCTTATCTTTCACCATATACAAAAATCAGATCAAAACAGATGAAAGACTTAAGTGTAAGATCTGAAATTATGAAATTATTTCAAGTAAATATAGGAGAAATGCTTCATAACATTGAATTGGGCAAGGACTTTTTTTAATAAGACCTCAAAAGCACAGGCAACTAAAGCAAAAGTAGACAAATGAGATTACATCAAACTAAAAAGTTCTACACAGCGAAGAAAATAATCAACAAAGTGAAGAAAAAACTCAGAATAGGAGGAAATATTTGCAAACTATTCATCTGACAAAAGACTAATATGAGTTGGAGCTCCAACAACTCATCAGCAAATAAATAAATAATCTGATCAAAAATGGGCAAAAGGCTGTAATAGATAATTCTCAAAAGAAGATATAATAATGGCTGACAGATATATAGAAAAATGCTAACCATCACTAATCGCCAGTGAAATGCAAGTAAAAACCACAATGATATATCACCTTACTTCAGTTAAAATAGATATTATCAAGGAGACAAAAGATAACAAGTGTTGGAGAGGATACAGGGAAAAAAGGGAACCTTTACACATTATTGGTGGGGATGTAAATTAGTACAGCATACTGGAAAACAGCATGGAGGGTCCTTAAAAATTTAAAAATAGAACTACCATATGATTCAGCAATTCCACTACTGGGTATATAAATCACTACATCAAGAAGATATTTGCACTCTCATGTGTATATTGCTGCACTATTCACAATAGTCAAGATATGGAATCAACCTAAATATCCAACAATGGATAAACAGAATAAGAAAATGGGGTATATATACACAATGGAATACTATGCGGCCACAGAAAAAAGAATGAAATCCTGTCATTTATGACAAAATAGATGAACCTGGAGGACTTTATGTTAAGTGATATAAGCCAGACACAGAAAGAAAATACCACATATACTCATTCATATACAGAATCTAAAAATGTTGATCTTATAGATGTAGTAAAGAGTGGTTACCAGAGACTGGGTAGGGTGGTGGGGAGAACGGAATGAGAAGAGGTTGGTCAGCGGGCACAAAGTTATAATTAGATACAAGGAATAAGTTCTGGTGTCCTATTATACAGTAGGATGATTATAGCCAACAAAAAGGTATTGTAGATCTCAAAATAGCTAGAAGAAAGTATTTAATGTTCCCACTACAAAGAAATGATAAATGTTTGAGGTGATGGATATGCTAATTACCCTGATTTGATTATTATACAATGTGTACATGTATTGAAACATCACATTGTACCCCATAAATATGTATAATTATTATGCATTAATTTAAAATAAAAATAATAATTTAAAGAAAACATGGAAGAATGAAATGAGTATATAAGAAGTAATATCAGGCAGAAGAGGAAGAGATCACATATGATGGGGAGAGTGATAGTTATGATGAGAGATATCATAAATGGATTGATAGATTTCATATGGTAGAGACGATGGCATTTCACTAGGCATGTACAGACAACAGCAGGTATGGATGTAGGAAAGTGTGATATGTACTTGAGAAATGGAGAGATGTCCAGCCTAATTTGACTATAATATATGAGTCTGGCATACAGTGGGAAAACAGAACCAATGGAGACAGGGAAGCCTTGAATGCCAAGGTAAAGAGTACCTTTTTATGCAGGTGGTAATGTGATTAAATCTATTCCTTATAAATACTAATCTGCCAGAGGTAATTAGAACAGTTTGAAGTAATTGAAAATGGTTAAGCCAGAAGCCCCAAAAGACATCATTTCAAAGGACCAAAGGACCAGTAATGAAGGATGGTGATGATGAACTAGAAAGACCATTATTTATGTCAGGTCACTGGAAAGATGGCTGTATTTCATCTTCACTGTCCTATTTCTTTAAAAATGCAAATGTATACAATGTTCACTCAACAAATATTTATCAAGCACTTTCGGCATGCCAGAGCCTTTGTAAGGTCCTGGCGTCCCAGCCTTTACCACTTTGCTAATGGGTTAACGTGGCAGACAGAGGCACCAAGGGGAGCAGGGGAAGGGTTAGGAGATTGAAAGCAATTACTCTGTAACATTCTTCTTGTGAATTTACTACATGGGTATTTTCTACACTTGATTTCCAATAAGGAGAATGTCTTAACTCCTTTTGCTGAACATATTAGTCTCAATTCATTGAAGCTGAAAGTTAAGAAAGAAAACTTACCAGACAAAACCTTGGAGAATAAATGCCTGTGTGGTTTGTGGCACTCCTAGACAGTGCTGTACTGTCTTCATCACCAATTTATATGGGATACTGCTTACCTGCTGTGTCCACTTTGGGCCCACATTGTCAAAATTGTGCTTAAATTCCCATGATCAGACACTTTTCTGAACCACATATGAATGGGTTTTTAATCCAGATCTTTAAAAAAAATTTATGAGTTGAGAATTTCTTGAACCCTACTTGTAATGGAAAATATTAAGTGTACTAAAAAGTCTGTATGTGGGGATATAAATATACACAGACACACACATTCACAAAATACAGACACACACGCGGTAATTGCACCTAGTATTCCAACATATTTACATAGATGTAAAGTACCAATCTCTTTGCTAGAGTACTACTAAAGCCCATAGCTTGAAGTATCCCTTAGCTTGAATAAAACAAGATAAGGATGCCATTTTCGTCAGCATTCTCTGCTTCTGTCATTGTGCAAACTTCACCCCTGACCCACCTCTCCATTCCACACTAGCATGTATCCCCACTGACAAATGCACTTCTGCCTAGACTCAGAATTTTCTTTTATCAAAACTAACAGGCTAAGCTAGGCATGTTGGCCTGTGCCTGCAGTCCCAGCTACTCAGGAGGCTCAGGCGGAAGGATCGTCTGAGCCCAGGAGCTCAAGTCCAGCCTAGGCAATACAGTGAAACCTTGTCTCTATACAAATAAATAAATAAATAAATACATACATACATACATACATACATACATACATACATACATACATACATGAGATGGAAAACTGACAGGCTAACTATATGGTGTTCTCAGTATCTGCATCAAACTGTTCAAATTTATCTCCTCCAGACTCAATATCTGCAGATGCTAATAGATTCTGCAAAAAGATCCACTCAAGATGCCTGCTGCAAAATCCTTAGCAGTGTCATCTGTGTTCTCTTCAGGCCCTAGAAGTCACTGTTTCCTAGTTGCCCTGCATCTTGCCAGAAGATGCTCCCTCTCCTGCAGTGGCCAAAGTTAAAAGCAACCCAGTTGAAACCTTGCCAGAGTGTGATGTTTAGTCATTCCTTGTTAACATCTGAATTTGACTTCGAGTTAGGGAAAAGCAATGAAAAGAGTAATCAAAGGGTACCTCATAATTCCATAAGATGGAAGAAAATACTCCTAAAATGCTCCCAATGGATTGTTTCAATACTAGAGTTTTCTTTCCCTTTTTACTTCTCAACATGATTCATATTTTTATTAACAAGCTTTGCAACTTTATAATAAATATATATGTGTTTTTAAATAACTAAATTGTGTCTAATGGGATATATATTGATTTTTGCTTAAATATGTTCGAAGAATACACAAGAAACCAATAATATGGAAGAATACACAAGAAACCAATAATATGATTACCTAAGGAGAAAAGATCTGGGTAGCTAGAAGATGCAGCGGGGCCGGTGGGGGCAGACTTTTTACTGCATACCCTCTTGTGCTTTGAATTTTGAACCATGCAAATGTACTTCCTAGTGGAAAATAAAATTAAAAACTAAGTCAGTTAGAACAGTAGGAAGGTAATAAGGGGAGGATTTATTCATTTATATATGCATTCTGCAGGCATTATTGGCTATATATGCCAGGCATTGTGCTAGGTGTTGGGACACAAAGATGAATAAAGATGCAGCTGATTTCAAGCAGCTCACAGTGACTGAGATTTGGATATGTTTCTTCCACAGCAACTATTTGTATTACTATTTGAAAGCCAGTGAAGAAAAAAAAAAACCTCAGGGAATTTTGTTATCACTGGAGGATCCAGAAATATTTATGCTTTCTTCTCAAAACTAAATTGTGTGCCTAGTTGAAGGCAAGTGGGTCTTGCAAAATTAGGCTGGACCTTTTATAACTAAAGAGGCAGCTGAGATTGTCCTTTAGAGCATGGTTTTAGGAATGAGATGAGATTTGATTTTTACTCTCAACTTTGTTCCTCACTAGCTGTATGACCTTGGGTAAGTTACTTAACATTTCCAAGCCTCATATTGTCTACAGAATGAAGATTCTAATGAACTTACCTCATAAAGTTATTGTGAGAATTAAATTTTAAATGTGTGCAAAGCATTTTTTTATACTTGTTATTATTATCTGGAGAGAAATCCTGGATTCTCAATAATAAAACTTGTCTACTTGAAATCTCTCACAAAGGTTAAAGAAAATACAATTCAATTTCTGCTGGCAGATTCCTCTTAAAGATGCCTATTATTTTTTTCTCCTAAAACTCTTGCTCCCCAAAATGAACATTTGGCTGACAGCTTAGCCAGAATGCAGAGTGGCTCCCAGGGAAAGGGGGCACCTTCCAAAAATCCATGATGAATATCCTTCAGCTATATAACTCCACAGGCTTAAATTCTACTTTGTAGCCAGGGCCTAGGGCATTAACCTTCTTGGCAGTTTCAAGTCACACACTGTGCAGAAATCAATTTCTTTGGGGAAAATATATCATGTATTGAAGCAGGTTAAGATCCATGATTTTTATGTGTATTCTGCATAGGTACTTTATTTTCACATTTTTAAGCTTTACATTAAAATAAGTCCATAGTGCCATGAAATAAAACATTGATAAATTTTACACATACAGAAATAATATATCCATATTATGTAGCAAAATAATAATAAGCAAAGTCAAAAGACAAATAAATTGAGAAAAGTATCTGCCACTTATGTAACATACAAAGCTAATCTTGCTAACATACAAAGAGTTCCCACAAACTGAGAAGGGAAAAAAAATCAATCTAATGGAAAAATAGGCAACAAATCTGAACAGATTGTTCACAAAAAAGGAAATGCAAATAGCCGTTAACATGAAAAGATGAGCAACCTAAATTGATACATCAATTTTTATTTAAGATATTGGCAAAAATATAAATGTTTAGTAATATACCCTGCATGGTGAGAGGTGGGGAAACAGTCACTCATCCATCAGAGGTAGACGGACATGCAAATTTGTGCAGTCCCCATGAAGAGTAATAATTTTCTGGACATGCCATCCCAAAATATGGCATCTTGGTGTTGAATATTTTAAGCTGAATGAATTTGATAAAACAGCAGATGCAGGGAGGTCACTCTGACCTTCCCCCTACCCCTCTCCCCTAAAGCAGGTCATAAGATTCTCATGTGAGAGGTGCCATCCCTCTACCCAAAGGAAAGAAACATCCCTTTCTCCAAAGACAAAGGAACAGAAAGGCCTTTCTACATTTCCCCACTTTATTATCAATAGATCATATTATTTTTTACCTTATCATATTTCTCCACAACTGTCCATTCTTCATCAAGCCTAGCATAAAGATACTCAGGTTTACCTTCTTTGGGTCTTCATATCTTTATGAAAGCTCTAGTGTCTCCTAAAACTTAAATTAAATGAACTTGTATGCTTTTCTCTTGTTAATCTGTCTTTTGTAATAGGGACCTCAGCCATGAACATAAAATGGGTAGGAAAAAAAAAACAGAAAAAAAGTTATTTTTGGTCTCATACAGTATCAATTTGGCAGTATTTGTCAAAACTTAAAATGCATATGTGTTTGATCCAGCAACTTCACTTTTGGAATTTATCCTACAGATGTATTTGTACACCTTCAAAATGATAGATGTACAAGATTATTTATTCACTATTATTTGTAACACAAAAGTTAGAAGCAATGCAAATGTTAAATAAAGAAATTAAGGTACTGTATTTCCATACAATAGAATACTGGGAAGCTGTATGAATGTATAGCTAGACAGAGAGACAGACATTATAATTTTTACCCAGACATGCTGGCTCAGGCCTGTAATTTCAGCTACTCAGGAGGCTGAGGTGGAAGCTCACTTGAGCCCAGGAGTTTGAGGTTACAGGAAGCTATGATTGCACCACTGCACTCCAGCCTGGGTGATGTCTCTACAAACAAACGAACAAGATACATATTACAATTTTAAGAAGGAAAGTTTACATATACTAACATGGAAAAAACTACTCAATATTTACTGTAAGTGAAAACAGCAAAATTTAGTAGTCTTTTTATTTGCTACCTTTTATTTTTTAAATTGACATACAGTAACAATCAGTTGCTTGGATGTGCATACAAAAAGCTCTGAAAGAAAATATATTGCAACTAACCACAGTGATTGGGCAGGCGAGGATGTGAACTTGGCAGAGGGGCAAAAATAGGAGGAGAAAAAAGGCACATACTGTTCCAAAGCTTTTGTTTTTTGGCCTACTTGAATTACCACTTGAATTTTTTTAATTAAAATTAAAAATGTAACTGGAGCTGGAACATGAAGCCCCTTAGAAACCATTGCCCATTTCTTCATGATGAGAACGGTTTTAAGATGAAAGGTTGGAGATTTCAGTTGGACACACTGAGTATCTGAAAAGACCATGTCTGGGGGCCATCGCAGGAACAGGAGAGTGTCATCTGTAGAGAATGTGACTGGGAACGGGGGCTGTGGCATTTCTCAGAAGATTCTGTACCATTCTAAGTGCTTCTTATTAACCTTACAATTTTAGTATCAGAGTGGATTTGACATCAATTCTCTCTTGTGTTTCATGTGAAAAGCCTTTATGTTTGTTTTAATCTTATGGGACTAATTGGGTACACGAGAGACTGCACAGTGTTGTAAGGAATTAAGAATCTGAACTGTGGAGCCTGACAGCCTGGGTCCAAACCTGGCTTCAATTCTTGCTGGCAACATGGCTTTTGGCAAGGACATTACTCCTCTGTGCCTCAGTTTTCCCATATGTGTAACAGGGATCACAACAGCACATCATCCTAAGACTGCTGTGAGGACTGAATTGGCACAGAGCACTCAGGAGAGCCTGTGTCTCAGAGCCACAGTAAGCACTTCCTGTGGCAGAGCAGGTTCTAAGGCCAACACAGAGCTGAGAGCTGGCATGACCTTCAATACTGAAGGGATACACGGTTCTAATTAAGGTGTCTATACACCCTTCTTGTTTTCACAGTGAGCAAAGCATTTGCCAACTGAATAAAGCAATACAATTTGCAGTTGTAATATCCTATTAAAGTAAAACCATTTAATTTTCCTAATGCAATATGGCTTCCTCCATTCTCGTGAGGTCCTCATTGCTCAAGTTTGGAATGGAAGTACAAGAATAGTGATGATTCCAAGAAAGGACTTAACCCATCATCTTTTCATCCACTTGCCTCAGCACACAGGGACTGAATGGGATAACCTAAAACAAGACCAAGGACAACTTCATATTGTGGACCCAGGGGGACCGAAAGTATCCAGTTGTTCAAGGACAAGACACTCAGCCCCTCCATTCCTATCTGTGAATACATGCTGTGGTCTTTGTTCTCAGCACCGTCAGTATTCTGGAGTTGTTAGCACTGCAGATTCTAACGTGTAGGTTAGGAATTGATTTGGCTTTCTGACTATGAAAAAAATAGAACACCTTTTTTTCTAGGGCCTTCCAAAATACGCAAAATCCAGACTCATACTTTCCATTGATTTTAATTATTCTCAAGTGCAATGTCTACAATTTTTACTGTGTTATAATGTTCTATAAGTTATATTATTACATGCAAGTTACAATAAAGCTTGAGCCAAACTATTATATGAAATTACTATAGTAATACCATGAAAAATGATGCACTCATGTGAATAAAGTGACAAATACATCAGAAAAAAAACAAGTCTGAATATCATTTGGAAGTGTACTCTAGCAGCTATGGCATCAAGACACTCTTTAGAGGATAATGTTTCTGGATGAACTCAAGCACTCCATATGCTGCTAATGATACCTAATGGAAGTCATTTAAATGATTCCACATCCTGTTATATATCGAAGTCAATAATCAGTGACTTAATTTGGGAAGCAAGTAAGTAGTTTTAAAATTATTATGTAAAAAGCCGGGAGCGGTGGCTTACACCTATAATCCCACACTTTGGGAGGCTGAGGTGGGTGGATCACCTGAGATCAGGAGTTCAAGACCAGCCTGGTCAACATGGTGAAACCTCGTCTCTACTAAAACTACAAAAATTAGCTGGGTGTGGTGGCACACGCCTGTAATCCCAGTTACTCGGGAGGCTGAGGCAGGAGAATCACTTGAACCCAGGAGGCGGAGGTTGCAGTGAGCCAAGATCGTGTCACTGAACTCCTGCCTGGATGACAGAGTGAAATTCCATCTCAAAAATAAAATAAAATAAAATAAATAATTATGTAAGAAGATACTATGTAGATTAACTTTTCTAGGTTTGCTGATCAATTAAGAGGTCACAATCAAGCAGAGCCTACATTCTTCTAAGTGCTGCAGTGAACCACTTTCCTCATTAATAAAATCCAACAGTCCTAAGTTCAAGCAGGCAGCTGTTGCATTTATCATACTTATATTTACAAATGACTTTAATGACCACATAATGTTGTTATTATCACCTTTTAGAAATGATCCAGAATTTGTTTTCTTTGAACTCCTGTGGGCCCTTGCATTTCAAATGTGGAATATATTTACTGTGTTTCAGCTGAGGGGTAGAAGTACATTTCACCAATTATTTAAAAGTAATGAATATACAATAAGCCAGACATAGAAGCACATTTCTTGCAAGTCCCACTTATCACAATACATTGTCATATGAAAGATTAAGATCCAAAGCTGGGGAAATTGACTAGCTATTGTACTTTCTAATAGTTGCTGGTCAAAATTTTCAAGTAGTTTAGATAAATCCAAATCTTGCAAGTGAATTTATTCTCCATCATAATTCTTGAACCTAAGTGTGTTTTATCGCTCATCTTCACTTCCTTTCCACCCAGCAGCCACCTTTGTTTTCATCTTGTGGATTAAGTCTATGTCAGATGAAATTCTAAGCATCCTGAGAATTTCAACCCTATCATAGTCAATTTCACCAAGAAGCTGGAAATGTACAATAGTGCCTTATGCACATTATCACCACCTCATCCCCTGCACTGACATCTCTAGAGCATGAAACGACATTTCTTCTTTAAATGAAGACAAAGAAACTATGAAGATAAGGGAGCAACCAGCACCCAAAACCTTCTTTCTAAGTCTTAAATAAGTGTGTCTTGTATAGCTTTAAATTATTGTGATGCGCTTTTACACCTACAGTTGAAAAATACAGGTTTATCATAACAAACATTCTAATTCAGGAAGAGAGGAAAGAGGGTTTAAAAGAGTTGTTTGCTTTGAGGAAATAGGAGGTAGTAAGGAAAGAATCACAGAATGCCTACTAGAATTAACAAGATATAAATTTCTTCCAGGGTGAGACTGTCTCGCTTCCCTATTCTTTCTCCTTCCCTTCAGCCCCACAACCACCAGCAGAGTGTTCTCTCATATTTTTTCCATCTGTTCAGACAGCTGTTCAAGGCAGACTATTTTTGGTTTATTGATTTCTTCATAAATTAATCACTGTGCAACAAGAATATATCAGATCAAATTATCCTCTCCATATAGGCTCCTGCGATAGAAAAAAATGTTATATACATGTATACATACACAAATGGGCACACGCACACATGAACAGAGAGCGGGAGAGAGTATATGAATTATTTATGAATATGAATCTGTCGAGGCACTTCAATAATAAAAGTACTTAGACAGTGGTATTCACAAAAGTGTTCATGGCAGTTAGAATGGTTTTGCATATATAGTGTATTTTTTTTAAACATCTATTGTGAGACTTTCTAACTGGATATTTATGTGTCTTTAACCCAACAACATAATTTCTTAGGAAGTTGGTCAGAGTATTATAGTTTTTGCAAAAAAAAAAACTCATTAAAGCTGATTTTTGAAAACCAAGGTACATATGCAATCTGTTTATTCACAATTTAGCAACAGTAGGGACCTTATTTTAAGATTAGCAATTAAGCAGTTACCTTTACTCTAGTCTAAAGCGATTTCTCTGGGGTCTTCCAAAATACTTTATTATTCAAATTTATTATTAGTCTTATTGTTAGAGTTAGAAAAAGAAAGGCTACAAAATAAATGAGCCGGTGCCAGCTTACAGGAACTAGATGCACTTGGAAAATAAGCACCAGTATTCAAAGCAACTTACTTAAAGTTACATTATTTGTATGAGAAAGAGAGGTGTAAAAGAAGGGTAGGTTTTTAGCATCATGATTCTTCTATGAGACACTAACACATCCTTAAAAAGTTATTCCCTGAGAAATGTCGATTGGTTATTTTCTGATCATTTGAGGTACAAAGAGTGTGAAAAAAGAACACACTCCAAAGAAACAAATTCTGGGTTATTTCGTTTTGTTCCAGGGCACAACCCAAGGTGTGCAAGCATAGAAAATAGTGACATTACAATGACAGCATAATAGGTGATTTGAACACCAACTTTTTTCTTTTTTTTTTTTTTGCAGGCAGTAAGAATTATTTACTAAGACAGTTATAGATAAAGAAAGGCAGGCTTATTCGAGAAGTAGGAAAACACATTGCCAGAAAGCAACAGCAAGAAAGCAACAGCAAGAAAGCAACAGCAAGAGAGGAGCTGACTGCAAGGAGACAAAGTCTTGCTGGGGATTTTTACCGGGTGGTGTCTGTGCTGTGTGCCAAGGAGGGCTTTGTGCAGTGTGATAACGACACGGTTGCAGCGAACTCACTTGCATTTTTCTATCAGCCAAGGGTCTGGTGATAGCTGGGTGCAGGAAGATGGTGAGTTATCTGTGCAGGAGGGCTGTGTCCTGGACCATGAAGAAAGGCAGACCTGTATAGCTTCTCCGCTTTGTCTTTTTGCTTTCTCTCTGTCCCACCAGCCTGGCTCCTTTTCCTTTATTAGGACTCCACACTTAGGACACGCCAGGCACATCCCATTTGCTCCAGAGAGGAGGCCATTGTTATTAGTAAAGGTGAAGATGGAATTGGGGTACTCCTTCCTAAGCTCAGATGATCCCCTGATTCTTTCACTCATCAGGCCACCTCACATCCACTCATTGTTTCAAGTCAACCCTGAGCAGAATGGGAAGGTGGGATCGGAGGCGCCTGAGGGAGCACGTTCTGGAAGTAGATGGTGGCGATGATGGGGCTACCTTGTGAATCCACGAAGGCCACACATGCTCAGTGTTTTGTGGATTCTACCACAATTTAAAAATGATCATTTTTTGTTTTTAAGTGCTTGTGCCCCTGCAATCCATGCCCTCAAGAGTGTACAGCCCCAGGGAGGATGTCACTCGGGATAAAGAGGTGCCTTGGAAACATCTGCCTCTCACTCCTTTATCCTCAGCGCAGTTACTGCTCATTGAGAAGGGGGTTTTCAATCACGGAGAAGCTTCCTCCAGCCACAGTGCTCCCATGTGGCCTCTCGGTCCTCAAGGGTCCCTTACTGCCACTTTTTATAGCCTCTTCTTTGAGAACTGCTTGGGGTCCTTCTGATCTCCCTCACTGTGGGGAGCCCTGGGGATCCTGGGGTTACACATATGGTCCTCAGAGAGGCCCGGGCACTCTTGAATCCGACTGTCACTATCCTTTGTTGGGGGAGCTGCTGGTGGTACCCGCACTGTACCTTCCTGGGAAGGAGACAGGTGATCCCTAGAGAGGGTTTAGCACAGCACCTGGGGCAGAGCAAGCGTGCAATGAATCGCAGCTGAATGCTGTAACTTCCACCATGCAAGGGACCCAGGTGGGAGGAAGCCAGTAGGTTTGCAGGCTAGCAATCCGTTCTTGGGGTCTGCACACTCGCAGTCAGCCCTCAGGGGCTACAAAGTCAGCCCTCGGGGTCTGCACACTGGCCGTCAGCCCTCGGGGTCTGCACGCTCGCAGCCAGCCCTCCGTTCTGTCTCCCCTGCAGGAGTTCATCCGTCTGGGCAGCCTCAGCAAGCTCTCGGGGAAGGAGCTCCAGCAGCGCATGTTCTTCCTGGTGAGTGGAGAGAGTGGCTTGTCCTCACAAGGACTGTGTCACCTGGGCAAGCAAGGCTCCCGAGGCCGGACCTCGGCCACCCAAGTGAGTGATCTGGGGTAGAGGAGGAGCAGCCAGAGGTGCCCAGGCCCAAGTTGTTGAGGACAGTGAAGGCACAGTTGAGGACAGGGAATGCTGGAGGGAGGCCTGCTGTTGAACACCAACTCTTATTTTGACCTTTTAAAATGTATAGATGCATACTTTCTACTGATTTTATTGAATTATTACTATAGTTACCATAAGTGCTAATCTGTTGCCAGTTATGTGTTCCTATTTATAAAGAATAAGTAAAGATCCAGTTGAGCTGTATAAATGCAAAACTGTATAGCAGTGTTAGGAATGTTATAGCAATGTTCTAATACATGAACGGAAGCTATAAATAAAAGTCGCAAAACAGGATCTCAAAATCATTTGGAAACTTAACCTGCTTGCTATCTATACTTACATATTGTTCACTGATCCTCAAGTTATAATAAAGGCTCTTGGTAGAGAATTCCATGCCTTACATGATGCTGATGATGCACATACAAATTCTGAGGCAGGCCAGGTTCAGTTACTCATGCCTGTAATCCCAGCACTTTGGGAGGCCAAGGTGGGCGGATCATTTGAGGCCAGAAATTTGAGACCAGCCTGGCCAACATGGTGAAACCTCGTCTCCACTAAAAATACAAGAATTAGCCGGGCATGGTACCACACGCCTGTGGTCTCAGCTACCCGGGAGGCTGAGACAGGAGAATCACTTGAACCCAGGAGGTGGAGGCTACAGTAAGCTGAGATTGCACCATTGCACTCCAGCCTGGGTGACAGAGCAAGACCCCGTCTCAAAAAAAAAAAAAAAAAAATTCTGAGGCATAGTCACTTCCTGCCCATATTCCCACCTCCAGTCTCTGTAAGCAGAAAGAAGACCATGGAAACACAGGCATTATGTTCCCATTCACACATAAACAAGGAGTTTCAGTCAGGTTGGGGGGTTGTTTGGCTCGCTGATGGGTTTTAAATAGAATATCTTCCCTCTTTTGTGGAATCTTGTGGATCAGGTCCCCAAGATAGGAAATGTTAACTATATGGAGAAAACAAAAAAAAAGAGCCATCACTAGATGTCTTTGCTGTGGCCTTGAGCAGACACCTAATTTATTTGGGCCTCAGTTACCTTGTTTAAAATAAGGTGTTGGACTTTATAATCTCTAAGTTTCCCTCCAGCTCTGTGGTTCTAAATCTAGATCTCTTATCTTCTTAAATATGTAGGTGGCCTAAACATTAACAGGAGACCTAAAAGAAGATCTTATTAGTAAGAAGATCTTACTAATACATAACCCATAAATGTGTAAAGTGAGAAATCATACTCTGATTTCTCAATTTACACCTCTGTGGGCTACTTTGTCCTTCTTTCGTGTGGCCTAGAGCTAGGGAGCATGTGCCTGTGAGCATGTTGGGAGCCACTTGGGCCCTGGAAGTTACCACTAAGCTCTGCTTTTCAGATGAACAAAGGGGCCAAGAGAGGACTCCTATAATTATCTGAGACTGTGATAATTTCCAAGAACCGACATTCATCAGTGCACATATTGGAAAGCAGGGCTTCCTACTTTCCAGATGGCACAGAGAGCTACTGGGGGATAATTCTGGAGAATAATGCAACTTACACTCAAATGGGGGCCTTCCAAAGGAGGTGGGCAAAGCAATATTTTCCCTCAATTATAGCTTTATAAGCCAATTCCTGTATTTTACACACCAAGAGTATGCAAATGTTCCTTTCGGGAGAAATGTTATTAAGCATATTGGCAAGAAAAGATGACAAAGCTGGGGTGTAGCTTAGCTATTTTAATAATACAAAGAGCCAATTGCTTATTCTTTGGAGAGTGACTATAGCAAGCAATTAAACTTCTAAAGTGTCAATAAAACAAATGTTGATTACACCCAACCTAAGAAACTGTAATAAAACAGAAACAACTTTTTTTCTCACTTATATGTTCAAGCATGTGGCTTTGAAATTACATATGCTTATTTTCTATTGTCATAAGGTAAGACATTTTCAATTATTGGTAAGAAAAATTAAAATCCTGGTTTCAAGAAAATTATCTTCAAAGATGATGCAGTTCCCCTGAAACAGTTGTAGTTTTTGTTTTCTATCACTCAAGTCTTAATGTTCTCAAACCAAGCCTGGGACTTTTATTTTACTCAGTGTTCCAAGTCAGAATTTCTACATTTAGTTCCTGAATTAGGCACATGGGAAAATTTAATTTAGTTCACAGGGATCTAAGCATTTTGCAAATGTTTCATGGCGTAAAAATGTGTTAAGATATAATTCTACATATTGTATCCTACTCCCTCCAAAAATATCTATTTGAAATGCACATTTGTGACACTCCAGATTAGGTTTTGGAAACTGGGTGGGTAGTTTTGAAAAAGAAAATATGCTTTATGAGATCAGACTGCAAATAAAGGACAATTATTATAATAACAGGAAATCCTAAAAACCTAGAGTATTTTTCTATTAACTTACTGGCTAGGATTTAATAGAATGTTTGCCAGCTATGTTTCCAAAGTCAATGTCCAAAATGCAGACATTGGAAGGAAAAGCACTAAATGTCCAGTGAGCAGCACTGAGCACTGAACACAGTGAATGCCCCAAATAGGTGCTCAAGAGAGCGTGAGCCTCAGCCGTCTGAAAGTTTGGAGTAAGACAAGGAAATGGCTTTGTTTCATCTGAGTTTTCGTTAATGTCAACACATTCTCTCTGAGTGCTGATATTAGAGTCTGGATATTATTTCTAGGAAGAATCTTTCACTGAGCAATACAAAAATGTAAAACACCCAAATGACTTCATAGTATTAACAATATTCCATGCTTGTCTTGTACTTTAAAGTGTTGTAGGTAAGAGTGTTCAAAGACTTTTATATATACCTTTTCAATTTTCAAAACTCTATGATGTGGACAGAAAATGTACTCCCACCTTTGTTTTGCAAATAAGGATTCCGAGATGCATAGAGGTTAAGAAACTGACTGCAGATGACTGGGCTATGAGTAGATCAGGAGGCCCACCCAAGTCTCCTGCTTCCTTCCCCAAAGTACTTTCACCACTCCTCCCTGCTTCATAATTTCTCAAAGGAGTCCTTCTCATCTTCCTCAGCAAACACAAAGCTCTAAAATCATCAATGTGTCCAGTGGAGGAAGGATCTGAGATTGAAGCATCCAAGAGCCTAAATCTCTTTTACATTCAGGCCATTTGTCTAAGAAGTAACTTAAGCTGTCTTTCCAGTGACCTGATTCCAAATAACATGAAAATTGCAGTTCTGTTTCACAGAATCATGTTTTATAATATTTCATTTTGATAGCTTTTCTCCATGGTCAGGTATAAGCCACCGTGGTAAATAAATGATATATTTGTTTGTGTCTTCCTTAAAGGTGGACCCATTCAATGCATTTCCCAGCGGCTCATTACCCAAGAGAGACTGGAGGGCTGGCCGCTTGCGTGACCTCATTTGCAGGATGTACTGCAGTCTGTCTAGCCCATTAGCTATCTAAACCATTTCATTGCAAGACAAACTCAGGGCATAGGGCAAGCAGACTATATTAGGCAACTGCCTCCTACCAGAACCTGTGCAGGTCAGAAAACCAATAGGTCAGTGTTACATGGGTATGTCTGAGCAGATGGCATCTTTGGCAGAGCCTATAGCAGAAGTTTCTAAAATGCCTAGTAATTGGTTCCAGCAGGATTTTCTGGGGTAGGTGTCTGAGGGCTGAAATAGTCAAGGTTCTCATTTCTCTGTGCCTTTTCTAGCAAGAGCCAGCCCTGTCAGAATCAAAGCTTGCTCTGTTTCAAAAGATGCTCTGTCTTTTAGTAACTTATTTTTATCGCTTGCCATTAGTTTTCAAAGAGTCATTCCTTTTACTCTCACCCTTCACATTTCTCCTTTGCTCTTGAAACCTGTTATGCTTTATACCTAAGGACAAAAGCAGCTGGAAATAGGAGTCCTTTCCACTCTCCCACATTGCTCCTTTTCAGACACAAAACACAAAAGCCAGGCTCTGTGAATGAATTGTTGCCACAGAAGTTTGATTGCAATTAATCCCTCAGCGATCATTTTAACAACACTAATAGAGATAGAACACATGCAAACACACACACACACACACACACTCACACTTATGGAAATACATGTGCCTTATATGCATGGCCTCTAAAGTGATTGCTGATGGACAATAGATCGCCTTTTCAAGCAGAAAAGGGACATTTTAAAATGGATTGCTTTCAATAGGTCTTTGACATCTCTGAAGCAGAATTTGTCAAAAATGTTGAGATTCCGACTGAAAGCACTCTCCATACACAAACATACCAAAAGCCTGTCTTGTTGTATAGCTACTTATCCTCTTGCATATTCATAATAAGCATTGTTGTCCTACCTCCGTGAATTCTCCTTGCTTTGTTAGAATCTTGTATATCAGAACTGAAAGAGAACAGATCAACCATCTTGTTTTTCACACAAGAAAACAACAGCCCAGAGGGAAAGTCACTCTGCCAAGGCTACATGATGGTGGCAGCCAGGCTTCGACACTCTGTCCAGTTCTTCTTCCACCACCAGGCCAGTCTGCTTCTCAGGGAATACAGTCTAAAATATTTTAGGCCTTCCACAAATATTTATTGGCCACAACCATGTGTCTGACCCTAGATGACGCCATGGGAAGATACAAAAATAATAAGATAAGAACTAGACCTTCATAAAGATGCCAACAGTAGAAACTAGGGACTACTGGGGGTGGAAGAGAGGGTTTAAACAGTAACTATTGGGTACTCCGCTCAGCATCTGGGTGATGGGATCATTGATACCTCAAACCTCAGCACCACGCAATATATTCAGGTAACAGACCTGCACATGTACCCACTGAATCTAAAATGAAAGTTGAAATAAATAAATAAATAAGAAAAAAATGTGGGGAGATAAAACAGAACTAGACCTTGAGGGTTACTTAATTCTTAATGTCTTTTGTTAGTTTGTTATTTAAAGAGAACACCAAGTAATAAAATATATTGTATAAGATGAAAAGTTTACAGTAACAGTTTTCTAGGTTTGTTGATGTTAGAGGAAAAAGAAGACTTAATATCTCTATGGATATCCCCCATAGTATAGATACCCTTGAAGCAAAATGAATGTCTTTGAAGACCAGAAAAGGATAATTTAACATCATAGAGAGTTTTTAGGAAAAGCACACACACACACACACACACACACACACACTATACAATATATTTGAAATTTAACACTAAACTCACTAACTCTCATTCAAATATCTCTATTTCATAACCAAATTATATTTAGAAATACATACACATAAAGTGTTAATGGATTTAACTTACTATGGTTTTACCTGTTTTAATGTTTCATACGGTAGAGTATATTGGGCCGATTAAATTTAGGGGAAAAAATCTATAAGTAAACAAGTCTTTGTTTCTTGTCTCTCGTTTTGCATTTCTGAAGTCCCATATAAATATATAGAATGTTTTCACTGTTAGTGAGGACACCCAAAGCCTTGCAAAATTGAGCATTCATTCTTCCCAGCCCTGAAGGACCGCCAGAGAAGTCAGGTTTGAAAGACACGTCATGTGACTCATTTCCCTTTTCTTCTATGCATTCCACCTTTTGATCATGTGGAGTTCCAGCTTCACTGTTGAGTGGCCTCGAGTTCAGGGAGATAGAGCATTAAATTTCAAACAGGAACAGATTCTGAATAGGCCTTGGGTGACTGACATACAACCTGGGGATGCAATCTATTTCACTACCAAAAAAAAAAAAAGTCGCTTGCTGTATCTGCAGGCTCTGTGAAGGCTTTCCTGTGAATAAAATCCAGCTGCTGAGCACCTGTGATGGCTGTGTGACCCACAGCAAAAGCTTACATTTAGATGCATTTTCCCCTGTACATGCTTTGCTTTTTTTCTCCTTCTTACTGTCAATGGTCCTTTAACATCCTCACAGCCTTTCCATTTTATATTAAAATAATAATAATTGTAACTATTAGACATTGATTGTATATCAAGCACTGTGCTAAGCACTTTGCATTTCACTAAAACTGCACACCAAGTATACAAGGTAAAAATTTGTAACCCACTTATGAAGAGTACTTAAGTAACTTAACCAATGTCCCCACAAGCAGCGAGGTGGTAGAGTTCAGATTCCAATGTCCAGTTGACATTGCCTGCCATGCAGATAATCACTATCCTCTTCCAACAGTGACAGAGTTTGTTATAGGTTTTTCACCTCAACTTCAAATCCCAAGTTTGCTTTCTATAGTCACTGAGTCACACTTTAAGGACACCTTATCCATCTAGTGGGCTCAGAGAACTAAAGTAAAACTCAATTAATTTTAGGGAAAATACTAGAACACTATTGTGTTCATTTCCTATTGATATGTAACAAACTTAGTAGCTTACACAAGTTAACCACAAACTTAGTAACTTACAACAACACAAATTTATGATCTCACTATTTCCAGGGGTCAATGGTCTGGCACATTTTAGGTGGGTCCCCTGCTCAGGGTCTCATAAGGCTGAAATCAAGATGTCTGCTAGGCTGGAGGCGGTGACTCATGCCTGTAATCCCAGCAATTTGGGAGGCCAGGGTGGGAAGATTGCTTGAGCCCAGGAGTTCAAGACCAGCCTGGGCAACCTAGTGAGACTTCATTTCTACTAAAACTGAAAGATTAGATGGGTGTGGTGGTGCACACCTATGGTCTCAGCTACTCTGCAGGTTGAGACAGGAAGATGGCTTGAGTTTGAGATATCAAAGCTTACAGTGAGCCATGATTGTGCCACTGCACTCCAGCCTGGGTGACAGAACAAAACCCTGTCTCATTATAAAAAAAAAAAAAAAAAAGATGTCAGCTATCCATGTTCTCATCTACAGCCATGACTAGCCAAAGATCTCTTCTCAACTCCCTCAGGTCATTGGCAGGATTCATTTTATTGTGGTTGTAGGACTAACCTCCTCATTGTCTTGCTGGCTGTCAGCCCCTAGAGGCTGCTCTCAGGGCCTCACCAGCCACGTGACTCCCTCCAGCTCAGCAACAGAGAATATCCTCACACCAAATTCCTTTCCTCTTTCAAATCTGTCTAACTTCCTCTTCTGCAATCAGCCAGAGGAAAGTTTCTGCTTTTAAAGAGCTCATGTGATTAGGTCAAGCCCACCCAGATAATCTATCTTAAGGTCAACTGACTGGTACCCTGAATTGCATCTGAAAAATCCTTTCTGCCAGTTAAGGTAACATAATCACAGGAGTAACACCCAGAGCTGGAGATCATAGGGGCCATATTAAAATTCCATCTGCCACAGCAATCCAAAGTCAAATCATCTTTAGCTTACGTTTAAATCTAATCAATTGTTATCTTCCATTATTTGAAAAGCTAATAAATATTGAAGAATAAGAGTTGCTATAACAGAACTTTCACCCATTGATTGCAAAGAAAAGATAGATTTGACAATGCTCTGATTTGCTCAAGCAATCCTCCTGCCTTAGCCTCCCACAGTGCTATCCATGTGTTATAGCAGTCCCAAGGCACACCAACTGAAGAGCTCTTGCCACTCCCATCTGCTTGTAGGAGTGTTTTGTGGATGACCCCATTTTTAAGGTATATGATTTTAGAATAAAATAAGATAATATTATATCTGTATGTATCTATGTTTTTAATTTCAAGCTGAATTTTAAAGAATGGAGTTTAGAGGTTCACATTAGTCTTTTGGGGCTGCTATAATAAAATACTATAGTCTGGATGGCTTATAAACAACAGAAATTTATATTATAAACAACAGTTCTGGAGGCTGAGAAGTCCAATATGAAGGTGCTGTCAGATCCAGTGTCTGGTGAGGGCTCACTTTCTCATAGCTGCTGCCTTTTCCCTGTGTCTTCATGTGGTTTCACTAGCTCTCTTGGGCCTCTTTTATAAGGGCACTAATCCTATTCAAGTGGATGCTGCCCTCATGACCTAGTCACCTCCCAACACGCTCCGCCTTTCAATACCAACAGCTTGGGGGGTTATGATTTTAACATGGAGGACAAACATTCAGACCAAAGTAAGGGCTAGCCCATCAATTTACCTTATAAGCTCAAACAAAGGGACCACTGTTCCCTGGTATAGCTAATACAGTATCCCCAAATAAAGCTTTTTAAATACAAAAGAACTAGAAAACAGTTTAAAGATCTCAAGTCCCAAATATATCTAATGTGGTTGATCTACATTTATTCAGTTTGAGAACATATTAGCAAAACACAATTTAAAAATGAAAAGCATGCAGACTACGGGTCAGGACAGCTGGATAATAGTTCTGTATTATAAATTACCTCAGCTGAAAACTAAAATAATTAATTTAGATAGCCTCCAGCGGCTACATGCAAATGATCTGTCTCAAGTGCGAAAGTAGTGCTGCTTGATTATCAAACTCCTAGCTCTCCAGGCTCATTCTACTGCAGTCTTCTCTGTCAAGAAGAATGGTCTTCAGACCCAATTAAGGAGAGAATATACATTGTTAAGATGGATTGGGAACTTGGGGTAGGTGAGAAGATTGTCAAATAGCTTCTACTGTTACCAGTGGAAGAGATCTGAGTTACCCCGAGTTATTGGCAGCGAATCTGTATGGATCCACAGCAATTTCAGCCCTTGCCTCCTCAGGAGAAAGAATTTGACTGAGGGGCATAAAGCAGAAAAAGAGACTGAGGCAAGTTTCAGAGCAGGAATGAGTTGATTGTAAAAGACCTTAGAACATGAAAGAAAGGAAGGTGCACTTGGCCCATGCGGGCACATGAAAGTTAAAGAGAGAAAGTCAAGTGTCCCATTTAACCATAATCCTGGGACTTCTATAAGCTCACCTCTGTGAAAGGAAAACATCTTGGGCTCCCCAAATCACTAAGCTAAAGAGAAATGTCAAGCTGGGAATTGCTTCGGACACCTCTGCCTCCCATTCTATTCAAAGCCACCCTCTGCTCACTGAGATAAATGCATATCTGATTGCCTCCTTTGAAGAGGCTAATCAGAAACTCAAAATAATGGAACTATTTGTCTCTTATCTACCTACAACCTGGAAGCCCCCTTCCCACTTCAAGTTGTCCCGCCTTTCCAGAACGAACCAATGTTCATCTTATGTATGTTAATTGATGTCTCATGTCTCCCTAAAATGTATAAAACCAAACTGTGTGCTGACCACCTTGGGCACATGTCATCAGGAACTCCTGAGGCTGTCACAGGCATGCGTCCTCAACCTTGGCAAAATAAACTCTAAATTCACTGAGACCTGTCTCAAATTTTGGGGGTTCACATCTTTCTCTAAGGTGGGCTTTCTGCATGCCCAGTGCTTTCCTTACCCTCTGGAATTGAGCACACGCCATGTGTTTAGGGAGCTATACGCATCACCATCTGAAGCTTTCTTCCCTTTTTCAGTGGAGTGTGCCCCCAGAAGATTATACTTCACCATTTTTGTCTCTTAACAGGATGCCCAGGAAGTTGCTTCTCCCTGGGACTGCATTCAATTAATGTTTTGATGTTGATAGGCGTGGACCATCAGGAAATGGCCTCTCCCTTGTGCTGCTGAATTATTATTTTTAGAGAGGCAAAGCAATAATTGCCCAACCATCACCCAACATTTCTAGTGGGTGAGGGAGAGAGCCCTCTCCTGCCCCACTCATGCCTAACTACCTATAACGCTACCTTCTCTAGATGGGGTTAAGTCTTGGACCTTAATTAATTACATCCCAGAAAGTGGCAACACCTGCAGGTGAAGTCCTTGATTCACTCCCTGGCTGGACGCCTGAATATAGGCAAATATTGATTTAATTTTTGTCAAAACTGGAAATCCTATAAACTGCAGACATTTATCCTATAAACTGTAGACATTTGTCCTATAAACTGTAAATAGATGATTTGGGAAGGCTTAGGAAAGGAAGTCCAAATGGCTAGGAAGTAGTACGGAGTCATAATAAGAACAAGTGTAAACTGGCTGGCCATATGTCCTGTGCAAATTGGGTTACTAGACTGATAAGGAAAGAATATATAGAACAAATCTTGTATCTGTGTAATTACAAGGGTCCCCAGAGACAGGACGGATGAATCTAAGTGTGGGGTAAAGAGCAAAGAGAAATAGGAACTAAGAAAGTCAGGGACAAGAGGGACACTAGTGAGGAGAGCCAAGACCACCTGGTGACCATCAAACAGATCATCTGGAGGCAAAACTCCTTATCTGGGAATTTAGAAGGGAACAAAGACCACCTGGTGACCATCAAACAGACCATCCAGAGGCAAAACTCCTTATCTGGGAATTTAGAAGCAATCAAATTTCCCTAGTTTCTAAAGTCAGCATGTGGTTCCAGGCCTCTTTCAACTTTTAGTTTAAAAGTAACTAAAATTTCTATACATCTCTGGAATGTCACGCTGAAACTCATTTTACAACCCTAAGCTCCTGCCTTAAGGTCCATAAATACCACTAAGGAAAAATCCACTGCGGTGCATTCAGTCCTCTTGCCAAAGCGCTCTACTGCACCCTCTTGCAGCATTCTTCCTTTCTAATAACTTTCCTTTTCAAACCTATTCTGTTGTCGGTAAATTCTTTTTACCAACCTGCGCGTCAACCACTTCCCAATACCAGGGCTCTGACACCTCTCCCGGCAACTAGTACAAGTGGAAGTGGCAGGGAAGACAAGAGAAACCTTAGCCCTGGAGGAAAGGAGGATAAGAACAACTCCCTTTGTGAAGAAGAGACCATGTGAACCCAGGAGGGTGCCCCACTCTCCCAGCTCAGAGGAGATGCTGCAGGAGTCTTACAGAATGGGGATGTCAGTACCAGTGCCCTGGCCTTGGGGCACACAGGGATCAGGATGCCAACCACACTGCAGGGAGAGAAGCAGCACAGGCAGAGACTGCAGGAGCCACCACAGCCCAAGGAGCTATGCAGCTGCTGAGCCAAGCTGCAGACAATGGAGCAATCAGCGCTGGTGCATGAAGCTCAAATTGGGTGCCCTTCAGCTTAAGAAAACAGAGTGCCTTTTCTTCTGTCAATGTTGTGAAGACCCACAGACTCATTTTTACTCCCTTAGATTTGTGGACAAACCTGTTAACTTGACTATTAGCTATTAACTTAGCTATTCAGCAGCGTGGGCTACAGGTTTCTGGAGTCCTTCTGACTGGGACTGAATCCCTGCTCCTCTGCTTATTAGTTCTGATGTGCACAAGTTTTATTCATCCATAAGATGGAGATAGTCAAACTGCCTTCCTAATAGGGGTGTTCAGAAGATTAATTGAGAATTATCCATGTAAAGTGATTAATAAATATTAGTTGTTATTAATACATTGGCTTAAGCCAGTGGTGCCTAGGGAAACCTTAACCAAGTCTCTCATGACATATTTGTGGACAAGATGGAGAAATGAGGAATAGGCATAAACACAATTTTGTGACTTGTAACTGGTTAAGTACCAAAGCAACAGAATGAAAATTAATGAGAGAATATCAGTCTGGAGAATTCCTGTGAATTACAAAAGACCTCCTGAGAGTCTTCAAATCGTTTCCCTACTGCAGGTCCTTGCTTTAATTCTAAGACAAAAAACTGACAAGCAATTCCACAGACCTTCATTTTTATATACTCCTAAAATTACTTAACAGTAACTTGCTAAATCAGTTATTGAAGATTCCTAAAATTTAATATTTACAATCTAACTAAAATTAGCCCATTACTAAAATTACCGAGGTAGCTATACAGCTCAACTTTCTCCAGGAAGCCCAGGAGCTAGATACTACTGAGCTATACTGCAGCACTCCTACCACCTGGGCACACATGCGACATCCAGAAACTGCATTGTTATCATTACATCATCAAGCTTAACATGAGCTGGTCAGAGTTTTTAAGTGCTGCTGTGCGTTACATTAACTTGTATATCACATTACATGTTAACCAATACTCCTCCATCCTCAATCACTTAATGAATATGCTCTTTATTTCCTGGCACTCAGAAGTGCCTGGATTTTTCCCAAGGAAGTAATCACCCTGCCCTGGGAGATTCCTTGAGTACAAGCTGCTCACTTTCCAACATCGCATGTGCCTTGGGTTCAGAAGATAGGGTGGGGATTTTGTTTTTGCTCCAGTGTCTCTCCCAGACCATGATTCATCCGTATTGAATAAAATTTTATGCAGGTTCCTTTGAGGCTCCTGCCTTCTGGCTCTACCATCCTGAACCCTCTCCATCCTCCCTCTAAGACTACGCCCCCGCCCCACACCCGCTGCTTTATCTTCCTTCACTTCCTCCTGATTCCTTGAGGACTTTGGCAGCTGATTCACAATCTTCCCCCTTGCCACAAGTGCTGCCATTATCCTGGGTGGTTGCAATGTTCGTGTGGATGACCCACCCAGATCCTGGTCTCTCAGTTCCTCCCTCTCCTCAGTTCCACTTCAGAGCATGCTTAGCTAAGAGAGCCACATGGGGTATCACCATTGTACAGTATGGCTCCACTCTGAATTTCAAACCCTTTCTAACTACAATCATCTCTCTATCCATAGAATTTTCAAGAGAATTTCTCATTCTCTTCCCTCTTATTCCCAGGACCACATAAATACCTCCAATTCCTCTACTACAACAATGCTTCCTTATCCATGCTTTTCCATATCTAACCCTGGTCCTATGGCCCACCCTTTACCAACTCTCTCACTGTATCAGTTTCCTGTGGCTGCTGCAACAAATTACTGCAAACCTGGTAACTTAACTGAAATTGATGATCTCACAGTTCTTTTTTTTTTTTTGGGGGGGGGACAGGGTCTTGCTCTGTTGCAGTGGCATGATCATGGCTCACTGTAGCCTCAACCTCCTGAGCTCAAGCGATCCTCCTACCTCAGCCTCCCAAGTAGCTGAGAATACAGGTGCATGCCACCACACTCAGCTAATTTTTCTTATTTGTAGTAAAGATGGGGTCTCTCTATGTTGCCCAGGCTTGTCTCAAACTCCTGGACTCAAGTGATCCTCCAGCTTCGGCCTCCCAAAGTGCTGGGATTACAAGCATGAACCACTGCACACTGCTTCTCTCATAATTCTGTAGGCAGAAGTCAGATATCAAGATGTCAGCAGGGCCACACTCTCTCCAGAGGCTGTGGGAGAGAATCTCTTCCATGGCTCTCTCCTAAATAGTTTCCAGAGGAGAAAGGCATGGAACAGATAGGTTCCAAGACTTCCTTGACTTGTAGCCATATCACTCTGATCTCCATCTGATATGGTTTGGATCCGTGTCCCTGCCCAAATCTCATGTTGAATTGTAATCCCTAATGCTGGAGGTGGGGCCTGGTGGTAGGTGATTGGATCATAGAAATGGTTCCTCACGAATGGTCTAGCACCATCCCCTTGGTGCTGTTCTCATGAGAGTGAGTTCTCGTGAAATCTGATTGTTTAAAAGTCTGTGGCACCCCTCACCTACTATCTCTTGCTGCTACTCCAGCCATGTAATGTGTTGCTTCCCCATCACCTTCCTGCACAATTGTAAGTTTCCTGTGGCCTCCCCAGAAGCCAGGCAGATACCAGCATCATGCTTCTTATACAGCCTGTGGAACCATAAGCCAATTAAACCTCTTTTCTTTATAAATTGCCCAGTCTCCAGTATTTCTTCCTTTTTTATTTTTTTTGAGACAAGGTCTCACTTTGTCACCCAAGCTGGAGTACAGTGGTTCAATCTTGACTCACTACAACCTCTGCCTCCCAGGCTCACATGATCCTGTCACTTCAGCCCCCATAGTGGCTGAGACCACAGGCACGCACCACCATGCCCAGCTAATTTTTTTTTTTTTTTTTTTTTTTTTTTTTTTTTTTTTTTTTTTTTTGCAGAGACAGGGTCTCACCTTGTTGTCCAGGCTGGTCTTGAACTACTGGGCTCAAGCGATCTCCCCACTTCAGTCTCTCAAAGTGCTGGGATTACAGGCATGAGCCGCCACACCCAGCCCTTCAGGCATTTCTTTATAGCAGTGCAAGAACAGACTAATACACCATCATCACGTCACCTTCTCTTCTGCCCGTGGGTATTAAACCTCCCTCTGCCTCCCTCTTATAAGGATACATGTGATGAACCTTACAGCCCACCTGGATAATCCAGCATAAGCATCTCCTTTTAAGTTCCTTAACTTAATCATACCTTTTGCCAAACAAAGTAACATTTATTCCTTTGCTATATAAGTAATAGTCACAAGTTTCAGGGATTAGGAAGTGAACATATTTTTAGGGAGCCATTTTTTATACCAAGCACAGTCACCATGAAGGTAGTCTCAGCCTCCTACCCTCCCTGGTGTTCCTCTGCTCCCTGACCAGAAAAGTGTTGACTTTCTTCCCTTCCACTCCTGGGCCGCCGATTGCTGCTGAATCATATCACACACTCTCATAGATAGACACCACTATAAATTCAATCTCTAATCCAGAAAATCAGATCTGTCACTTCTCTTCTGGATAGGCCACACTATTGAGTCAAGTCCAGGGTCACAGATGGGCATGAATGAGGACTTAGATTCAGTTTGAAGTTGTTTTTACTTTGATGCATCCAAACAAGAAGTGCAAGAGATACATACAATGCCAATTGGATGTCGTGGGCACATTCCTACGTCCTTCCTTTTCACTCATGGAGGTATACCAGAAGTTTTGTGGTGTCAGCCACTCCTGTGGAGTGAAGAGAGCCAGAGGACCAAAGAACCATGGGCTGGTTGCCTTTCCTGTGTCCAATAAGGTCACACGCTTAAAGTTGAGGGAGGAAGCTCCTCAGGAAGCCATGTCACCAAGCCCAATGTGCAGGTTCTGGGATTTGTGTTCCCTGCTGTGCCAGCACAGGGGTCTGGGAGCTTTCCATTTTGGCCTCTCTAGAGGCTTTTCATGCCTGCTTAGAATAGAAAGAGTCTCTAGTGATTTCCCATTGTGCTAAGAATAAAATCCAAACCCCTTGCATGACTCCATTATATTCCTCTTAAGTCACTTCTTTCATCTCTTAGCACTCCCCACCAGTAACACTAAAATGCTTGAGGTCCCCACAAGTATTCATTTTTCTCTCTTGCCCCTGAATCTTGGCACTTACTAATCTCCCTGCCTGGAATGTTCTTCTCCCCAACCTCCCCTGGCTTACTGCCACCACCTATCAGGAACCAGGCCCAGCTCCACATCTTCCCAGAGGCCTCCACCCAGCCTCCAAGTCTTCCTCCAGTCCCACCAGCACCACCACAACTCCTGGCTGCTTTAGGTCCCCTTTTCTGACTACAGCACCTTACAAGTTTCTCTGCCATAGCTTTCTTCATGCTATTTTCTGTTTCATCATATTTACAGTACTCTTTCCTGTGACACCACAGGATCCCTGTAGGCAGATGTATATATCCCCAGCACCTAGCACAGCACCTGACATATAGTGAGTGCTCAGTAAATAATGCATGAATAAATTAGTGTATTTTATCAATACAAATCATCTGTAGTGTTTAGGAGCTAGAGGTGTTCATTATTCATAGAAAATAAAATATCAGGAATGAGGAAGGTGTTGGTTCCCCCATTCCCTGCACTGATCAGGCTGGCCATGATGTTCCATGTGTGTGCACCACCATTCAGGAAGGAAATGGATACTGTAGCATGTCTGGTGAAGCCCAAACAGAAAAGCAAGGGCTGGAAACCATGAAAGATGAGGAACAGCTGGAGAAACTAATGATGTTTACCTTGGAGAAGATTTGGGTGCTGCCTATAGGAAGGCAATCTTCCAGTCCTTGAGATGATGCCATGTGGCTCCAATGGAAATGATCTACCAGTCAAAACTGGCCTCAGAATGGAATGGGCTACTTTGGGAGAGAGAGATTAATGTGCCTGAACATGCGGGAATCACTTGGGCTTGTAAAAGAGTTGTCAGCATCATGTGAGCAAGTCCAGGAGATGTTTTCTGCAGACTCTCCAACTCTAATGTTCTAAGGTTCAAATTAATTAGCATGCCGGGCACTTTGGTGCTTAGCAGTTCTGGAACATCCTCAGCTCTATTGTGCTGCACAGGAGTGCAGAGCATTGACAAATGCAGTCCTGGCCAAGCCAATCTCTGCTAGTTGAGTGGAGACAATTCCAGCCAAATCTTTCAGCATGATTGGATTTCTTCTCCCTTCCAACTGTCTGTCAGTGATTACAAAATTGTATGTTTTGCTTTGTAAGACTTGTGACAAACTGATTTAAGGATGATTCTAAAAACAAAGAGCAACCACTTATTTTCAGTTCTTCAGGAGCCATAGAATAGGATTCCAGACACTTCCTGAGCTGATATCATGGGTTCTTGTTTGTACATAGCATCATCATCATTCCTCAGCTGACATGTTTGATTTATGGCTCTTAATATCTTTGAAGTAATGCACTTGGTAATTGTAGTCACTCTATCGATTTTCAGAAAGCTACTTTATACACTGTGAAGCCACCTTCAAAGCCAGTGAATCATGCAGTCTTGATTTCCAGCTGCCCAGCCAGTAATGTGAATATGCAAATAGGGCTCTTGCCGCTATATGGACAACATTTACTCTGGGACAATATCTTTAACTACCCAAACTAATTTATCCATTAGGGAACTGTGTGTTGCTAATCGATTCACTGAACCTTGCTTTAACTATCTCTAGTGCTTTGTGTGTGTCCAAGATGTTCAAATAAAAAATGATCATATGGAGCAAGGAAAGAATTCCTTCCTTTCTGGAAAATACACACAAATAATAATTATTATTTTATGAAAGAGAATTCACAACTGCTAAGAAAATGATAGAAGCAAACACTAAGATTTAATCTCTGTCTGACAGAAGCTATAGTCTCTGTTGAGGCAAGTTTTCCTGATGGATTTCTAAGGTTTTAAGCTGCTGATTTTGGTCTTCTTTTATCCATGTGTATGTTTCCCTCTGAGGCCTATAAACAGCTTTTAGAAGTGGTCAATTTACTCATGCCTAACGGGCCGGGTGTATTTGCTGCTCTCTGCCCTGTAATTTGTTTGCTCGTCATCATTAATATTCAAAACACAGCTTTAAGGACTGGGCAGAACAGGTCATTAATCAATACTGCTAAGAGGAGATGACTGGATTCCCCTGTTTATGTTGCAGAAGCTCTGTCCGGATTAGGCATTTCCCAGTCTCTTCAGCATTGCCCTAAGTGTGCTGATTTATTTGTTGGTGCAATGCCATGGATTGGGAGTCAGAGGATGAGGGTTGCTTCCCATTCTGCCACTGACCAGGTGGGTGATAATATTCAAGCCAAAACTTCCTTAAACTTTGGCCTCATCTCTGTAAAACGAATAATAATTCTTCTACCTACCTCTCCAAACTATTATGAGAATCAAGTAATACAAGTAAGAAAAGCATTCGATAAGTCATAAGTCACTGATCAAACATATGGTCATGTATTTATCACATAAGATGACTGTGAGGAAATACTTCATACTGTTCATGGTAGGTAAAGAAAAAGAAAGGACATATATATAGGTGAAAAATTTCACATGTAGCACATACAGGCCTGTGTCAAGTGTATAGGGATTTTATATAATTTAAATCTGCACTAGTCTAATACAGGACCTTCATAAGCACAGAATTAGACAAACCTCCTACAGATTGTATGAAAGACAAATATGTGAATTCTTATCCAACTACATACAAGCAACAACATACAAGAGGCAGGATTGAGACCAGGCATGTTCTCCAGATGAATGTAATAGTCTCATTGCATTGCGTGGAGTTGAATTATTTACTTGTTCATTTCTCACACTAGTCTGTGAACTCCATGGGAACAATGACATTGTCTCTTTTCTTCATCCCTAGTCCCTAACAAGTGTAGTTTCCTAGGCTACCACCTGACTCTCTATGCAATGCAACTAAATCACTCACTCATTATGTTAAGTGAAATAAGCCAGGCACAGAAAGACAAACTTCACATGTTCTCACTTATTTACAGGATCTAAAAATCAAAACAATTGAACTCATGGACATAGAGAGTAGGAGGATGGTTGCCAAAGGTGGGGAAGGGTAGTGGCGGGATAGAGAGGAGGTGGGAAGGGTTAATGAGTACAAAAAGATAGAATGAATAAGACCTACAATTCAATAGCACAATAGGGTGACTATAGTCAATAATAACTTAATTATACATTTAAAATAACTAAGAGTGTAATTGGGTTATAACTCAAAGGATAAATTCTTGAGGAGATGGATACCCCATTCTCCATTATGTGCTTGCTTCACATTGCATGCCTGTATCAAAACATCTCATGTATGCCATAAATATATACATGTACTATGTACCCAAAAAATTAAAAATAAACAAGTAAATAAATAAAAAGGCAAAGAGAAAAATGTATGAAAGTGCCTTGTAAATGGCAAGAGCTATAGCAATCACAGGAGCAGCTGCAGAAGCAGCCACATTTTTAATTGATGTAGTGGCTGCCTGAGCCTTCAGAGGCAGGCTGGCAGAGAGAGACGAACTCTAACTGCGGCCCCTGTGTGCAACGGGCCAGCCGAGTGAGATGCCCTAGCTTAGAGCTGCGTGACGGCACCTGCAAACTTCTCTCACACATTCATTCTCCTCTTGAGTCTCTGTATTAAAAACTGGACTCTCCTCATTAGCATTTCATTAAGAAGATGGGATTCAAACCAACATAACATTAACAATATGTATACAGTATCTACTACTCGCCAGACACTTTATATATATTATCTGCTTTACTCCTTGAAAAAATCCTTATGAGGTCTATTATTGTCATCTTCATCCTCTTTTTTCAAAAGAAACCAAGGCGTGCAGCAATTAAGAAGTTGCTCAAAATCACACCTTTAGTAGGTACCAATGTCAGGGCTTGAATCCAGACAATCTGACCCAGAGCCTATGCCCAGCAGCAGTACATTACACCACTCATCAGCATGAGAGACATATCCTGTGTTCCTTTCCCTCTCATTCTCCTCTCAAACATGTAAACAACGAATGCACAGAAAGGAAAGGTCAGTCTTTGAGGTCCGTGTGTACATAAACAGGCCTTATCGGCTTGGCCAGTGTCCTGCCCATAGCACTGAGCTGACAGCTACAGTTGAGCAACACTGCGTTTAAAAAAAAAAAAAAAGTTAGAATGTGGCTACATACAGAAGAAATATAAATGTGGTCTTGATAGTGTTCATCCCAGTTTAGGAAATCATTGATATGCATTCACATAAGAAAAGCCTAGAGAGCCCATTATGAGTTTTGCAACTAGGATGTGATACTGAGTGCAGGAAATTACTGGACTGGTGAGTCTCTAGATGAAGTGAGCTAGGAGTTGAAAACTGATTGAATATTTCTCCAGGAAAAATCTGCAAGCTCTTCTACTGCTAGATATAAAAATACAGAGGTTTCAAACCTCCTAGGAATATTACAGTATCTAATTAGGTTTCTTGAGAATGACTAAAAGTACTGACACATTTTCTTTTCTTCTAAAGGGCAAGGTTTTATCCATCATCACTGATTAATACCCAGAGGCATTTTTCATAGCCCCAGCCAGCAGTCAGTGTCAGCGACCCAGGTGGAAAGAGGCTGGGAATATAATTTCCTGACCCGGAACAATGAAGATAAGCCTAGAAAGTGGGATGGAGTAGGAGATAGGCCCAAGATTAGACCATCCCAGTGACAAAGCAAGAGGCACCTAGGAAAGTTTTTAAATAGCCAAGTAGAGGTGGCAGTTTTCCCTTCTCTCAAATATCATTGAAAAGCAATAAGGAGGCCAGGCACAGTGGCTCATGCCTGTAATCCCAGCACTTTGGGACGCCAAGGCGGGTGGATCACTTGAAGTCAGGAGTTCAAGACCAGCCTGGCCAACATGGCAAAACCTCGTCTCTACTAAAAATACAAAAATTAGCCAGACATGGCGGTGCACACCTGTAATCACAGCTACTCAGGAGGGTGAGGCACAAGAATCACTTGACCCCGAAAGGCGGAGGTTGCAGTGAGCCGAGATCACACCACTGCACTCCAGCTTGAGTGACAGAGCCAGACTCTGTCTCAAAAAGAAAAGAAAAGTAATTAAGGAGAATGAGAGACATAAATGTAAACTCTATCTTTAATGAAACTAAGAGGTGTATATAACCCCAAACTTTAGTATTAAAGGAAAAGAAGTCACATGTGGTAAAGCTCAAGATGGGTGCTAGAAGATACTGAACGGAGCACAGTTCTCTAAAGTAAGTGGCACTCTCTGAGGGCAAAGTCAACAATCCTTTGTATGGAATAACAGAAGGGTTTATATGAGAGAGTGGTAGGAGCTAACCTAGACCCTACTTAGCACAAAGGAAAATTAGAGAAGATGGGGATGAATACAGAATCATACTGGATAAGCTATAAATGTAGATAGTCATTGGTCAGGAGACAGGATGGAGAAGACACACCACATCAGAAACCATGCAGCTGCCAGTATCAACTAAGTAGAGAGAAATTGAGACCAAAGTAATTCACACATACCTATGACCCTATAATATGAGGAGAATCCTGAAACACAGAACCATGATTCTCCTTATATTATAGAATTAATTATAATTCTTATGGAATTATATTTTATTCCATAAGACTGATGAAAATTGTGAGCAAATATATTGGCATGAATTCAAAAATGTATTAAGAAACAACTGTCACTATAAAATGAGGGCTCAGAGCAGAGATGCAAGAACTCAGATGAAACATGGGAAGACAATGGGAGCAGCAGCGTTCAAGAAGCAAGAGAAAAACAAAATCATTACCAAAGTGAAGGCCACAACAAAACCAGTCCAAAAGATAATAGACATTGCTGAAACCACCTAAGGGGTACATAGAGGACAGAATTGAGAAAAATAAGCAAATGAAATGGAAATAAATAGTATAAAAGAATTACAATAAAATAATAGAGATAGAAGTTTTTAAAAGATCTAACAGAGTCCTTTTTTGTCTCAACCACAAAAGAATTAAAAACTCAAATTTTAGAATAAGAGAAATATTTAATGATATAATTCAAGAACACTTTTCAATAATAAAAGATCTGCTTGAACCTACATTTGAAAGTACATATCATGTTGCAAGAAAAAAAAGTGACACAAAAGCATCAACACTGTGGCACATCGTGCTAATGTTATTAAACTTCAAAAATAATGAAAGAATTACTTGGACCTCGAAGCAAACAGTCAATTCATCTATTAATGAAAAAAAAAATATTTTGGTCTGAGACCCTGGAAAATATTACAACATTCCAAAAGCCTAAATAGTTACTAGTAAAGAACATATGATCTAAGAATTTATACCCAACAAATTGTTGTTCAAGTACAAACAGAAAAAAAACCCTCAGGGAATATAGCTGCCATGAGCAGCTCTTGAAGAAATTACTGGAAGAACACATTTCAGCTAAACAAAAGATGATGACAAAACTACAAAGGACAGGCTGGCAGTGAGCCCTAAATCTAACTGTAGGAGTAAAACTAAATGTAGGGATTGTGGCTAAAGGATAGAGTTAAAATGCTCTAAATGTAGACAAAATTGCCATAATATAACAAATAAAATTTAGGAAGAAAGAAGAAATTAATGGTGACAGATAATGTAGTGCACTGAATTCCTTATCTTTTATAACTGGGGATTAAAACAGCAATTAAAGACATTAAATCAATAAATAAAGGTATAAATGTATTATATGTAAAGGCAAACACAAACATATCATCAACAAAAAGGAAATGGGGGCAAAGGAGGGAAAATGGAAAAGGTGGAAATGTGGTAATTTATTTCTCAGAAAGATAAAAATTGAAGATTAAACACATACCTCTCTTGGTAAACTGGGAATGAAAGAGAACTACCTTAATCCATTAAGAGTATATACAAAAAATAGCAAATATGCTTTATCCTAGAAAGTTGAAAACATTCTTTTTATGATTGAGAGCAAGATAAGGATGCCCACTATCACCATTTTTATTCAACATTTACTAGAGATATTAGAATTGTAAAGGAAGAAACAATTCTGTCATTATTCGGGAATGGTACAATTCTCTACACAGAAGAATGCAGCACTCTTTCCTGGTATTAAACCACTGTTAAGAAATCAACTGCAAGGGATCATCATGGCAGACAGGAGGCAGAACTAGATTGCAGCTCTGACTCCGATGGACAGAGCAGCATGCGGAGGCTTGCATCATGAATTTTAGCTCCAGAACAACTGCAGGAATAAATCAGGAATCCAGAGAGGACCCACAGACCCTTTGAAGGAAGCGGACTGCTCCTGCAGGACCCAGAAGACACCCTAAATACTGTGAGTGCCCAAACTGCAGAAGTGGGAAAGGGAGTTCCTCTGCCCAGAACACCCACCCCCAACTGGGGAAACCAAAGGTCTACTTTGCAGGAGAAGATTCCGACTTTACCTGATGCTGAGTCAAGTTAGAGAGCTGAGTGAAATAAAGGGGTAGAGGAAGCAGCGGGAAAGGCCCTGGGAGTTTCCTGGATCTCTGAGTAGGCCATTCCTGCATAGCACCACAGGGATCCTTCCGGAGGGCAGCCAGAGGTGCAGGGAAAATGTCACAGGGAGAAGGAAGTCTCCAGCTGAACTTTGTAACAATTTGAACTGGCCAAGAAGCCTCCTGCGAGAACTCAGGGGAAGGGCATGAATCTGGCATGCAGACTCCACAGGCAGGGGAAGAACTGAAGCCCTTTTCTTTTGCAGCTAGGAGGCAGGTCACCTGGGGCAAGTTCTCAGCCCTGCTTTCTCACTGCCTGGAAACAGACCCGGGCTGTTGGCGGGTGGCATGGTGGGAGTGAGATCAGCTCTTCGGTTTGCATAGGCACTGGGTGAGGCCTGTGACTGCTGGCTTTCCCCCATTCCTGACAGCCTGCATGACTCAGCAAAGGCAGCCATAATCCTCCCAGGTACACAACTCCATTGATCTGGGAATCTCATCCCCATCCCTCACAGCAGCTGCAGCAAGACTCACCCAAGGAGAGTCTGGGCTCAGACACACCTAGCCCTGCCCCCACCTGATGGGCCTTCCCTACCCACCCTGGTAGCTGAAGACAAAGGGCATATACTCTTGGGAGTTCTAGGGCTCTGGCCACTGCCGGTTCCTCTCCGTACTAATGCTCTCTGGAAAGCTAATGCTCTCTGGAAAGCACCATCTCCTGGCAGGAGGCCAACCAGCACAAAAATAGAGCATTAAACCACCAAAGCTAAGAACCCTCACAGAGTCCATTTCATCCCCCTACCACCTCCAATGGAACAGGTGCTGGTATCCACGGCTGAGAGACCAACAGACGGTTCACATCACAGGACTTGTGCAAACAACCCCAGGTACCAGCCCAGAGCCTGGTAGACTTGCTGGGTGGCTAGACCTAGAAGAGAGATAATTGCTACAGCTTGGCTCTCAGGAAGCTAGGAAAAGGGGGACAGTATTACATCAAGGAAACACCCCACTGGACAAAAGAATCTTAACAACAGCCTTGAGCCCCAGACTTTCCCTCTGACAGAACCTATCTAAATGAGAAGAAACCAGAAAACCAACTCTGGTAATATGACAAAACAAGGCTCTTTAACACCCCCCAAAAAAATCACACTAGCTCACCAGCAATGAATCCAACCCAAGAAGAAATCCCTGATTTACCTGAAAAATAATTCAGGAGGTTAGTTATTAAGCTAATCAGGGAGGCACCAGAGAAAGGCAAAGCCCAGTGCAACAAAATCCACAAAATAATACAAGAAGTCAAGGGAGAAATATTCAAGGAAAGAGATAGTATAAAGAAAAACAGTCAAAACTTCAGGAAACTTTGGACACACTTATAGAAATGCAAAATGCTCTGGAAAGTCTCAGCAATAGAACAAAACAAGTAGAAGGAAGAAACTCAGAGCTCAAAGACAAGGTTTTTGAATTAACCCAATACAACAAAGACAAAGAAAACAGCATAAGAAAATATGAACAAAGCCTCCAAGAAGTCTGGGATTATGTTAAACAACAAAACCTAAGAATAATCAGTGTTCCTGGGGAAGAAGAGAAATGTTATAGTTTGGAAAACATATTTGAAGGAATAATTGAGGAACACTTCCCTGGCCTTGCTAGAGACCTAGACATAAGGACTCACATAAACTGACAGTAAAGGGTTGGAAAAAGGCATTTCATGCAAATGGACACCAAAAGCTAGCAGGGGTAGCTATTTTTATATCAGACAAAATAAACTTTAAAGCAACAGCAGTTAAAAGAGACAAAGAGGGACGTTATATAATGGAAAAAGGCCTTGTCCAACAGGAAAATATCACAATCCTAAACATATATGCACCTAACACTAGAGCTCCCAAATTTATAAAAACAATTACTAATACACCTAAGAAATGAGATAGACAGCAACACCATAATAGTGGGGGGGACTTCAATACTCCACTGACAGCACTAGACAGGTCATCAAGACAGAACGTAAACAAAGAAACAATGGATTTAAACTATACCTTGGAACAAATGGGCTTAACAGATATACACAGAACATTCCATCCAACAACTGCAGAATACACATTCTATTCAACAGCACATGGAACTTTCTCCAGGATAAACCATATGATAGGCCACAAAATGAGCCTCAATAAATTTAAGAAAACTGAAATTATATCAAGCACTCTCTCAGACCACAGTGGAATAAAACTGGAAATCGACTCTAAAAGGAACCTTCAAACCATGCAAATACATGGAAATTAAATAAACTGCTTCTGAATGATCATTGGGTCAAAAACAAAATCAAAATGGAAATTAAAAATTATTTGAACTGAACTATAGTGACACAACATATCAAAACCTCTGGGATACAACAAAGGCGGTGCTGAAAGGAAAGTTCGTAGCCCTAAACACCTATATCAAAAAGACTCAAATAGCACAAACTGATATTCTAAGGTCATACCTCAAGGAACTAGAGAAAGAACAAACCAAATACAAACCCAGCAGAAGAAAGGAAATAACAAAGATCATAGCAGAACTAAATGAAATTGAAACCAAAAAAACATGAAAGATAAATTAAATAAAAAACTGGTTCTTTGAAAAGATAAATAAAATTGATAGCCCATTAGCAAGAGTAACCAAAAAGAGAAGAGAGAAAATCCAAATAACTTCAATAAGAAACGAAATGGGAGATATTACAACTGACACCACTGAAACACAAAAGATCATTCAAGGCTACTATGAACACCTTTACACGCATAAACTTGAAAACCTAGGAGAGATGGATAAATTCCTGGAAAAATACTACCCTCCAAGCGTAAATCAGGAATAATTAGATACCCTGAACAGAC
Organism: Homo sapiens; assembly: GCF_000001405.40. Classification (NCBI taxonomy): domain Eukaryota; kingdom Metazoa; phylum Chordata; class Mammalia; order Primates; family Hominidae; genus Homo; species Homo sapiens. The sequence continues at coordinate 71,025,878 of NC_000006.12, read as the reverse complement.
CAATAACAAGCAATTACCAACAAAAAAAAATGTCCGGGACCAGACGGGTTCACAGCAGAATTCTACCAGACATTCAAAGAAGAATTGGTACCAATCCTATTGACACTATTCCACAAGATAAAGAAAGAGGGAACCCTCCCTAATTCACTCTATGAAGAGTGAATTATCACCCTAATACCAAAACCAGGAAAGGACATAACCAAAAAAGAAAACTACAGACTGATATCCTTGATGAAGATAGATGCAAAAATCCTTAACAAAATACTAGCTAACCAAATTGAACAACATATCAAAAAGATAATCCACCATGATCAAGTGGGTTTTATACCAGGGATGCAGGGATGGTTTAACATACGCACGTCAATAAATGTGATACACCACATAGACAGAATTAAAAACAAAAATTGCACAATCATCTCAATAGATGCAGAAAAAGCACTTGACAAAATCCAGCACCACTTTATAATTAAAACTCTCAGAAAAATCAGCATACAAGGGGCATACCTCAATGTAATAAAAGCCATCTATGACAAAACCACAGCCAACATAATACTGAATGGGGAAAAATTGAAAACATTCCTTCCGAGAACTGGAACAAGACAAGCTTGCCCACTCTCACCACTTTTCTTCAATATAGTACTGGAAGTCCTAGCCAGAGCAATCAGACAAGAGACAGAAATAAAGGACATCCAAATCAGTAAGAGGAATTCAAACTGTCACTGTTTGCTGACGATATGATTGTTTACCTTGAAACCCCTAAAGACTCCTCCAGAAAGCTCCTAGAACTGATAAAAGAATTCAGCAAAATTTCTGGATATAAGATTGATGTACACAAATCAGTAGGTCTCCTATACAGCAACAGCAACCGAGTGGAGAATCAAATCAAGAACTCAACCCCTTTTACAATAGCTGCAAAAAAAAAAAAAATACTTAGGAATATACCTTACCAATAAGGCAAAAGACCTCTACAAGGAAAACTACAAAACACTGCTGAACGAAATCATAGATGACACAAACAAATGCAAACACATTCCATGCTCATGGATGGGCAGAATCGATATTGTGAAAATGACCATACTGCCAAAAGCAATCTATAAGTTCAATGCAATCCCCATTAAATACAACCATCATTCTTCACAGAATTAGAAAAAACAATTCTAAAATTCATATGGAACAAGAAAGGAGCCCGCATAGTCAAAGCAAGACTAAGCAAAAAGAACAAATATGCAGGCATCGCACTGCCTGATTTCAAACTATACTATAAGGCCATAGTCGCCAAAACAGCATGGTTCTGGTATAAAAATAGGCACATAGACCAATGGAACAGAATAAAGAACCCAGAAATAAACCCAAATACTTACAGCCAACTGATCTTCGACAAAGCAAACAAAAACATAAAGTGGGGAAAGGACACCCTTTTCAACAAATGGTGCTGGGATAATTGCCTGTCCATATGTAGGAGAATGAAACTGGATCCTCATCTCCCACCTTATATAAAAATCAACCCAAGATGGATTAAGGACTCAAATCTAAGACCGAAACTATAAAATTTCTAGAAGATAACATTGGAAAAACCCTTCTAGACATTGGCCTGGGCAAGGATTTCATGACCAAGAACTCAAAAGCAATGCAATAAAAACAAAGATAAAGAGCTGGGACTTCATTAAACTAAAGAAATTTTGCATGGCAAAAGGGACAGTTTGCAGAGTAACATCCCACATTCTCCCACATACATTCTACCCACAGTTCTGAATAAAGAACTGAAAGGAAAAGGAACTGTGGGTTGCCCTGTCTTTCTCTTCCTTTATGCCATGAATTTTTCTGTAAGTGGTTGGCTAATGCAGAGAAGTGACATGAATGAAAAAGGATATGATTGGGTTTCTTGGCCATTCGTGTATGTCTTAGAATGTCATTGTCTTCTTTTTGCACTTTAAGAAAGTTCTGGTTTAAATGAAAAACATGGCCTCTTGGGGCTGTTGGCATTTCCACTTAGCCACATCCATAACACATTTACCTTGTATTCCTTTGAGAAAACAAAAAATTCTCATGTATTGTGGGTCTACCAGAATCCTATAGTCACAGGGCCTCACAAACACTACATGAAAACAGATACTGAGGAATGGTAGGCATGCTTATTGTGCATATCTCTGTTCACTCACATGCTTCGTTGTTCCATCAGACATAATTTCAAAAAAAAAAATACGAGTTCAGAGATAAAATTGTTAACAATTTCATGAGGATGACAGCTGGGCATTGAAGCAAGGGCAGGGCCCTCCTGAGCACAGGCCCAGTGCAACTGCACAGGTTACACATCCACAAAGCCAGCCCTGCATCCAGAAGTTTACTATTAAATGAGAAAATCTGGATGAGCATAGCTGGTTCTCACTTCTCAGTGTTTTTTTTGTTTGTTTGTTTGTTTGTTTTTTTTGGTCTAATGTAATAAATGCTTAGGAGGGACATTATTAGAGCCATCATATTGAAAATATGTCTGAATGACAGGTATTATGTTGTAAATTTTGACTTTTCAAGGTTCTATTTATCAGTTTATTATCAAACTGTCTCTATGTGAGAGAATAGAGTAGTCTTCTGAGCGTTCTTGGTGACATTGCTACTGAATTCTTATGATTATTAATGTGGGATATGGAAATTTCCCCTAAAGAATTAAGAATGAATTCTTAAGTCTGGAGTTATTCTTCAGGGAATACATTCAAACTGATAACTCCGGGATTAGTATTCAGTGGAGAAACAAATGGGATTTGGAAGTGCTACTTGCTCCCATTGTCAATGTGAAGCTTGTCAAAAATGTCTTGGGTTTCTCTGCATCATTTGCTTTCCCATGTAACAGAGACCACACAAATGGAAGAAAATATTTCAGTCGTTGTGATGCCTATCCTATTGAGAACTTTCCAAGACATGTTTGACTTTCAGTTGCCCCAAAAACAAAGTTGGCTCTATTATAGAAAGTGACCAGATGCCTGGGATGGAAAGGAAAGTCTCCATGTTTTTCATAAGCTGTATTGGGTGCAAACATGTCTGAAGAAAATGTCCTTGTAAGTAACCTGGGGTAATTCACTTAGCTCCTCAAGTGTGAAGGGGCTGGTAATAGCAGTATCTAGCTTAGAAGCTTAGTGTGATTTAAATAAGACACGAAAGATTGAGTATAGTGCCTGATTCAAAGAAAGTGCTCAATAAATGTTAGCTACTGTTATTAGCTGATTATTCCAAGTGCTTGGTAAGTTGCTATATATTAGTCATGTTAGAGGGAAAGATGATGGAAACAACCCACATAGTCCTATTCAGCCAGCTTCTGCTTTTATCCTGCTGGAATATTGATTGGAGATATTTATTGGAGAATCCTCTAAACGAGTCCTCCAGACCTTTACCATCATAGGTTCCCACCCTTAAATAATGTTTCCTGGACTTTATCAAATGGTCCAGATGATAGACAGGTTGAACAACTTATTCTATGGCCCCTTTCCCTGGGCACACAACCTGGCACTACCTCCAGAAGCTCACCTCTCTAGTGTAACCAGTCACAGTGGGTCCTCAAGGACTCCATTTCATCTTAAATGCATATCAGAATTTCTTCCCATTGCGGGCAGGAAGGTAAAGCCTAAGTCCCTCAAAACATTAAGAACATTAGAATATGTATCATCATAACTTTTTTAAAGTGTTGGAAAGTAGTATCTCAACAATCTGGATCACAGAAATCCTTTCCTAGAGCATGACTCAAGTGCCTGAAGCCCTAGAGTTTTAGAAATACTTTACACTAAAGATAGCAGAAACATCCCTTCTATCTCCAGCTGTGAGGCTAGTCCCAGAAGCTATTGATTAAATACATCACAGCGTTGAGCACACAGCAACTTCTCAGTCAAAAATACTTCACCTAAGATGAATAATCACCTTAATAATTACCATCAGAGCATCAGCCTAGTCCTTCTCTGCTTAAATAAATGCAAAAGAAACTGCAAGTGCCATAGGCAGAGGGGTATAGGAAGGTTTCCAGAGGGGGAAAAGAGCCCATGGAAAGAAAAATAACAAGAAATTAAATGACACACTGTGAAATCAACCATAGATAAAAGAAATCATGAGATAAATTATAAAATATTTTGAACTGGGTAAAAATGAAAATCGTATATAAAATTGTGTGGGATGCAGCTAAAGCAGTGCTTAGAGGGAAATTTATAGCTTCATTTGCTTATATTTGAAACACAGAAATAGAAAATAGACAAGTAATAGAGAAAATTAACAAAGCAAAAATTTAGTTCTTTTGAAAGATTAACAAAATTTATAAATGTTTAGCAAGGCCAATGAAGAAAAGAAAGAAAATACAAATTACCAATACCCAGAATGAAAGGTGAGGCCTACCTACAGAAACAACATATTTTTAATTGACTCATTGTAATTGTACATATATTTGAGGTAAAATTTGATGTTTCAGTACATATATATGTTTTATAATGATCCAACCAGGGTAATTAGTGTGTATCTATCACCCCCTGCATTTATCATTTATTTGTAGTGGAAACATTCAAAAGCTTCTCTTCTAGCTATTTTTTAATATTCAATACTTTACAGTTAACTGTAGTCACCTGCTGTGCAATTGAACACAAGAACTTATACCTCTTAATTGTATTTTATACCTATTACCCAACCTCTTCCCATTCTCCCCTTTCCCTACTCTTCCCCAGTCTCTAGTAACCACTGTTCTACTCTCTGCTTCTATGATATCAACATTATTTTTCAGATTCCACATATGAGTAAGATCATGCAATATTTAACTTTCTGTGTCTGGTTTATCTCATTTAACATGACATTTCCCTGGTTCATCCTGTTGTTGCAAATGATGGGATCTCATTCTTTTTTATCACTGAAGACTCTTCCAGTGTGTGTGTGTGTGTGTGTGTGTGTGTGTGTGTGTGTGTGCGTGCGTGCGCGTTTATCTCATGTTTTCTTTATGCATTCATTAACTGAAGCACACTTAGATTGATTCCATATCTTAGCTATTATAGTGTTGCAATGAACATTGGCGTGCAGACATCTCTTCAACATACTGATTTCATTTCCTTTGGATATATATCCAGTAGTGGGATTGGTGGATCATATGGTAGTTCTCTTTTTAATTTTTTGAAGAACCTACATACTGTTTCCATAATGTCTGTACTAGTTTACAATACTAGTGTTGGTGGCAACAGTGTGCGTTCCTTTTTATACACATCCTTGCCAAAATGTTTTTTGTCTTTTTATAGTAGCCATTCTAACTGGAGTGAGGTGGTATCTTATTGTGGCTTCGATTTGTATTTCCCTGATGATTAGTAATGTTGAGTATATTTTTATATACCTATTAACCATTTGTATATCTTATATTGAGAAATGTTTATCAAAGTCTTTTGCCCATTTTTAATCAGATTTTTGCCTTATTGAGTTGCATTCCTTAAATATTCTGGATATAAACTCCTTGTCAAATATATTGTTTGCAAATATTTCCTCCCATTCTGTAGGTTGTCCCTTCAGTCTGTTGATTGTTTTCTTTACTGTGCAGAAGCTTTTTGGTTTTGTGTAACTTATTTGTCCATTTTTGCTTTGTTGCTTGTGCTTTTTTTATTTCAATAGTTTTTGGGGAACAGGTGGTGTTTGATTACATGGACAAGTTCTTTAGGTGTGATTTCTGAGATTTTGGTGCACCCAACACCCTAGCAGTGTACACTGCACCCAATGCTTTTTCAGTCTTATTTTAAAAATCCTTGCCCAGCCCAATGTCATGAAGCATTTTTTCTGTTTTCTTCTAGTAGTTTCATGAATTTGGGGTTTTATGTGAAGTCTATAATTCATTTTGCATTGATTTTTTAATATGGTGAAAGGTAGGTCTAGTCTCATTCTTCTGCATGTGAGTATCCAATTTTCCCAGCACCATTTATTGCAGAGACTGTCCTTTCCTCAGTGTGTGCTTCTGGCATCTTTGTCAAAGATCAAGCTGGCTGTAGGTGCATAAATTTGTTTCTGGGCTCTGTATTCTGTTTCATTGGTCTATATGTCTGATTTTATGCCAGTATGTTGGTTTGGTTACTATAGCTCTGTGGTATATTTTGAAGTCAGGTTACTGTGATTCCTCCAGCTTTGTTCTTTTTGCTCAGGACAGCTTAGGCTATTTGGGGTCTTTTGTGATTCTATATAAATTTTAGGATCACTTTTTCTATTTCTGTGAAGAATTTCATTGGTATTTTGATAGTGATTGCATTAATCTGTAGATCACTTTCAGTAATATGACCATTTTAACAATATTAATTCTTCCGGTCCATGTACGTGGGATATCTTTCCATTTATTTGTTTTCTCTTCAGTTTCTTTCATCGGTGTTTTATAGTTTTCAACATAGAACTCTTTCACTTCCCTGGTTAAGTTTATTCCTAGGTACCTATTTTGTAGCTGCTGTAAATGAGATCATTATCTTGATTTCTTTTTTAGGTAGTTCAAAACTGGCACATAGAAATGCTACTGATTTTTGTATGTTGATTCTATATCTTGCAACTTTACTGAATTCATTTATTAATTCTAACAGCTTTTTGATGAAGTCTTTTAGGGTTTTCTCTGTATAAGATCATGTTGTCTGCAAATAGGGATACTTTTACTTCCTTCTAACTTCTTTCTCTTGTCCAATTGCTCTGGCTAGGATTTCCAGTACTATATTGAATAAAAGTAGTAAAAGTGGGTGTTCTTGTCTTGCTCCAGATCTTGAAGGAAAATCTTTCAACTTTTCTCCATTTAGTATGATGTTAGCTGTGAGTTTGTCATATATGACCTTTATTATGTTGAAATACATACCTTCTATACCTAGTTTGTTGAGAGTTTTTATCATGAACAGATGTCTAATTTTGTCAAATGCTTTTAAAGCATTTATTGAGATGACCATGGTTTTTGTCTTTCTACTAATGTGGTGTATCATATGTATTGATTTTGTGTATGTTAAACCATTCTTGTATCACTGGGATGAATCTCACCTGATCATACTGAATGATCTTCTCCATGTGCTATTGAATTCGGTTTGCTAGTATCTTGTTGAGAATTTTTGTATCTATGTTAATCAAGGATATTGGCCTGTAACTCTCTTTTATTGTTGTCTTGTCTGGTTTTGGAATCAAGGTAATTCTGGCTTTGTAAAATAAGTTTGAAAGTATTCCCTCCTCTTCACTTTTCTGGAATAGTTTGAAGAGACAGAAACAACATATTTTTAAAGGATAAGGAGCTATTATAAATAACTTTGTGCTAAAAAATTACCAAAATTTATTACATGAGAATTTTTTTAATGAATGGCCTATATTTGTTAAATAAATTGAATTTAAAATTTAAAACCTCCCCACAAAGTAATTTTCAGGCCCAGAAATTTTCACCAGTAAAGGATAGCTAAAACAACATTTAAAAGGAACATTGGATAACTTGTGTTACCTGATTTGAATTCAAGACTTCATATAAAGATACCATAATCCAGATAGCATGATATTAGTCCAAAAATAGGCACAATCCAGATAGCATGAAATAGTCCAAACATACCAATAAAATGGAATCAAAATTTAGAAATAGACCCATGCTTATATGATCAATTAATTTCTAATATATGCTAAGTGGTTTGGTATCATAATTTATTTAGTCATCTTATAAGGTAGCTACTTGTTATTAGTATGCCCTCATGAGAAAATTGAGACACAGAGAGGTTATATAACCAGCTAAGGGCTACACTGCTAGCAAGTGGCAGGGCTAATCTTCAAAACCAGGCAGTCTGCTCCAATAATCTATTCTCTTAACCCATGACACTGTTCTGCTTTTATGACAAGTTTTCCATTATTGAGTTAACATTGCAAACCTCTGGGAAAATTTATAATTAAAGGTATAAATGTTGATATAAATCAAACCTATAGTATTAATATTTTAAGCTATGTTTAGGGGGAAATATTAGTGAATATTTTATTTTAATTACTTATAATATTTAGAGACATGTATGAGTTATTATAGATAAGCCTAGAGACAACTTGGATTTGTTTTGCATTTGTTGTTGTATTGTCGTTGTTGTTGTTGTTTCTTAGAGAGAGGATCTTGCTCTGTCACCCAGGCTGGAGTGCAGTGGCACAATCATAGCTCACTGCAGCTTCAAACTCCTGGGCTCAAGCAACCCTCTCACCTCAGCCACCTGAGTAGCTGTGGGGGGCGCTTGCTATGTTGCTCAGGCTGGTCTTAACTCTTGGCCTCAAGTGTTCCTCCCACCTTGGCCTCTCAAAGCACTGAGATTACAGGCACTAGCCACTATGCCTGGCGTTAGATTGTCATTTTTAATGTAAAACTAAAAGAGAATTTGGCCAACATTCTAAGCAGTATTGGAACATTAAAGAGCACTTAAGATTACCCTGGGTGTACCAAGGGGTGCAGACTATAGAAGTGGTCCATTCCAGCATAAGGAGTATTTTGTCACTGTTATTGATAGTATGTCAGTACATGATGATAATAAAAGGCAGACCAACAATACTTAATTGCTTTTATTATTGTTTTTAAATTATCTACAGATCACATACCCCTTTACTGTCTGTACCCAAGAGTGGACCACATCTGTCACTCCCATTGCTATGTCACTACTTTAAACTCCCCATATTTGTAAGTTTAAAGTTTCATATTTATAAGGATTATTTAAGTTCTTTATATGATCTGTTTTTCAGACAATTGGATTTCTTGAAGAAAATAAAGAACACCAACTGTAGAAATGCAATTTAAAGTATATAAGAAAAATTAATTCAGTCGTAAATGTTACTTTAAAAATAATTGTTAAAATTTTATAGATTTATAAACAGAAAGCTAAGATTTGTGAGTTGAACCTAAAGGCTTAAGGAACGATAAAGTTTTTTATGTGCCAAGCCTTTTATAAACACTTTTTGCACATTAACTCATTTATTCCTCACAACTACCCCATTAGTATTCCCAGTTTACAGCAGTGGAAACTGAGACCTCAGCTAGAAGTAATAAAGGCACCTCTACAGAGTTGTGGTGAAGGTTAAATGATTTGATGTGTACAAGGATAAGTCCTTGGCCCAAAGTCAGAGTAAGGAGAGCTAAGACTCAAACACTGACACTGCTTGACTGAGCTCTTAAAGTTTTGAATCTGTAACTTTATTTAAATTGAATATTAATTTTTAAGATAAAGATAACCCCTGAAAATGGCATAAAAGCCATCCTTCAAGGATACCATGGGTGTCAGAAAGAACATTGACATTATCAACCCCATAAGTAAGATATTATTATTACAGAAGATAAAACTTAGATTGAGGTTTAATAACCTGCCCAAGGTTAACCACCTAATAACTGACAGAGGCAATATTCTGTCTCGAATCTGTCTAACTCCACAGCCAATAGTTTCAACCACGTGGGCCGAAAATGCCCTAGCACCTTGCTACTCAGTATGGTCCACAGACCAGCAGCACAGAGGCATCACTTGAGAGCTTGATTGAAATGCAGAATCTCAGGCCCCACTGGCAAATCAGAATCTGCATTTTAACTAGATTTCCAGGTGATTCCGTGCACGTTAAAATTGAGATACACTGCTGTCTCTGACCTGCCCTCTAACTCCCTGCCATTGAGAATCTCCTGGGCCTCTTAACACATCTTCATTATGTTTCTATGAAATTTTCTGCTCAGCCCTTCTGCTAGCCAAAGGGCATGAACAAGGGGGTAAAGATACCTGATTGATGAGCGTCAGAGAAAAGAGGTAGGTAATAAAGAAGAAGGGAAAGATGTTGAAGCTTTCTCTGAATGTTTTAACTGGAAATAATCTCGCTCATCCACATCACTCACTTAATATGTACTTAAAGTCTAATCTTCTTATCATTTCAAGTGTCCTTGTTTCATCTCTCTAATCATGTTTTAAGCACATTATACATAGGATGTGTATGAGTAGTGGATAGAATAATTTTTTATGTAGCCCTGACTACATGAACTCCCAATTTCAATTGGCTATGTTGAAATAATAAGAAAAAAAAATGTGAGTCCATCTTTTCATGGCTTAACATTTAAAGGATGAATATAAACCTTAATTCCATCACTAGTTCATTAGTTCAATTCTGGCTTAACACAGGTGCTGCCAACCTGTCCCCATTTTTCTTTTCTTTTTTTTTTTTTTAAACAACACTTCAAGCTTATTCTTTCCAAAATCAATTTAACTATTTTCCTCCAAAAATGACTTTTTATCTTATAGTATCTCAACTTACACTAAGACTTTCCATTCAGGCACCCCAGCATTACATCATGGACCTCAGTTCCTCTTTCTCTGTCCCTAATTACAATTGATCCTACCTCCTAAATCTCTTTCTCATTTGTTTTTGTGTGTTCATTCCTACCTCCATCAGCTCAGTTAAAGCCCCTAATATCTATCACCTGGACCATTGAAACAGCTTCCTAATTGCTTTTCCTGCCTCTGGTTCTCCTCTCTTCAAATGGTAAACAATTTCCTGTCTAGGAAACAAATCTGATCATGTCACTCTTCTGAAAAACCTCTAATGGTTCCACATTGTTCATGGGGCAATGTCCTGACTCTTAACCCAGCACTCAAGGCCCTTGAGAAATGCCCTGGCCTGCAATTTGGGCCTCATCTCCCTGCTCTTCCCCGTGTGCCTGGAACTTTAGTGTCCCTGAATGGCTCACTCATTCCCGGATGTATCTTCTCATGCCGTTCTCTGCCTGGCATGCTCATGCCCCCTCTCCATTACCAAACTCTTAATATTTATTACCAGTCCTAGCAGAGTTGTCACTCCTCCTTGAAGCCTTCCCTACCCACCACCACCCCCCTCTAAAATAGTGGTAGACAAACCATCAGTATCACCTGGAGCTTGTTAGAAATGCAAATTCTCAGAACCCACCGAAGACCTACTGAAGCCAAACCTCTGGGCGTGGTCACAGCAATCGGTAGTTTAACAAACCCTGCAGGTGATTCTAATGCACGTTTGTGTTTGAGAACTACTGCTCTAAAGACTATTTATCAGCTATTTCTCTTCATACTAATGGTAATTACCCAAGTTTCTTCTCCATTACTTAAGAAGAAGTATCTCACATGCAGGAAGCTTGTCTTACTCATCTTAGTTACTTCAGTGTCTGAAACATAGAAGTCTATCAATCGCTCTGCAAATCAAATCCGAAATAAATAAGTTGGGGAAGGGGCTGTGATGGGGAGATATTGGTCAAAGAATACAAAATTTCAGTTGGGATGAATAAATTCTGGAGATCTATTGTACAGTATGGTGACTATAAACAATAATAACATATACTTTTAAAAATATTATATACTTGAAAACTGCTGAGAGATTATCTTAAATGTTCTCACCACAAAACATAACTCCGTGAGATAATATATATGTGAATTAGCTTGATCAATCATTTCACAACATACACATATTTCAAAACATTACATTGTACATTGTAAATATATACAAGTTTTATTTGTCAATTATACCTCACTAAAGCTGGGAAATTTTTTAAATAAATTTTTTACCTAAAATTGAAGAACTCCTGTTATCATACTCCTGGCTTTTTACAGTCCTATCTATAACATTAAAATTTTTTAAACTATAGTTTTTCCTCATGTCCCTTCCCTAACTTGCCAGATTCTCCAGATGTCAATCCTTCCAGAGTTGGATGGTTCTTGTCCCCACAGAACAGAGTGTGAAATCCCAATAATCAACCCAGCATGGCAGGCAGCCTCCAACACCAGTTTTTCTTCCTTTGACAATGGACCCTGTGCAGCAAGCTTTTAGGAACCAGCTTTAGTCCAAGTGCCTGAAGCACTTTATACTCATTCATCTGAAATTGCTGGTTATAGGACAATTTCACAGACACAGACACACACACACACACACACACACACACCCCTTGTTGAAGGCCCAAGTAAATATTTAGCATTATCAATAAGGATAATCCCATTAAAGTGAAATAAGAGAAAAATGTTAATGGCTAAACTGAATATATTTGGTTATTGTTTCTCTTTTGAGAAATATATCTCGTGCCATAATGGTATTTTAGTGTAACTCTAAAGTGTGTTTATACAAAATTAGAGAAACTTTGGTTCCACTTTGTGGCAGCACCATAATGTCTATGTCACATGATGCCAACTATTAAATATTAATACAAAGGCAGGGATTTAATGTCTGTTTCCCCTAGAGGAGTGCCTGGTACGAGGTAGGCTGTTGATAATATTTGTTGATTATTGATTTTTTTATTGGTCCTAATAACTGAATTTTTAGTTAAGCCAAAAAATGCACACAGTATAAATATACAGTTTTCACATTATTTTTGTCTAAAAGGAGCTAATGACTAGCTCCATTTTGAACTACAAAATGCAAATTAGTTTCATGTTTTGTTTAAAATTCCTCAGTCTCCTCTAGCTGTCCCTCTGGAGAGTTCAGGTTCTTCCCATCATTTAATGATCTGTTTACTGAAGCCAAGGGCAGAGTTGCTAGTGGTTAACTTCCCAAAACACTGGTTGTTAATAGTAACAGCTGATACGCTGTTGTCTGGCTGCAGCTGTGCTGGGAAATCAATAGTTCTTTGTTGATTAATAACTGATTTCTCCACTGATCAAAATGCACAGATCAATGCACTGCTCCATCTGGTTGCAGCCTCCACCCCCGCTTCCTCCCCAAATAATGGATGCCTCAGCCAAACTGTAGCACCCATTCCTGCCATCCAATTCATGTTTCATTCTGCTCAGAATATGACTGGGATACCCTACGATGAACAAGAAGGTTGGGCCATACCCGAAATTTGGCTTTCAAATTTTATAGCCAGTTATCTGTGCACTACCCCTGCTTCCTGTCCACTAGATGGTGCTACAGACCTGTGTTTGTAACAGTTCACTAGGCTTTGAGAAAGATTGAAAACTGTAGACAGGTGAAATGCTGTGGAATGTTTAAAATCTATGAACGTTAATTCTTTAAACATTCTGGTCTGTGCATGTGTCTTGGCAGGCACTTTAATAAAAAGTCCATCTAAATGAATGGAAATTCACAACTTGCCCATTTATTTATTACACCTGGCAGCCTGGGGCATACACAATTTCAGGGCAAGCACCTCCTGGCACCTCTGTAAACAATATAAAGCAGCTGTTTACTCAGTGCATAACAATTAATGTGCTCCCTAAAGGGTAGAATTTATGACACTGAATACATAAGAGAATGCTTTGTGATCTCCCAAGACACTGCTCAGTAAAATCAGTGGGTTGTCATATCTCAGGTTCATTAATTGCTCTACGGATCCTAATACCCGGTAGAGAAATCAGAGTAGGAATTTAGCCAGTGAGCTTTTGTGTTTCCAGTAATCACCTTTCAGTCAAGATTGAGGGTCAAATTCATGGAGGAATCCAGTTTTTCAAGGAAACCTTGGCTTTTTTTTTTTTTTTTTTTAACTATGAAAGAACTTCCCTTCTGGTTATTTCTATACCAGTTCTACTGCTGGGGGGATGGGGAGCTAGTAGTAAATATGGCTCATTTGGAAAGTGATCTGAATCCTCTTTTGTAAAAAGGCTAATTTTGTTGTTCTATTGTGTTCTTTCCCTTTGTGGCACTGAAGACCTCTCAGCAATAACATAAATCAAGCAGATTTGGCTTGGAGGCAGCCATCAGCTTCCTGTCCTTGTGACAAAATGGACTTAACCTCATTTGCAATCGACCACCCCCTTTTCACTGATTTTGAATTGTTTGGTTAACTCACTTTGGGAAGGAGTATCAATAATTCAGCATTAGCCAGTTGGCATGTCACCCTGACAGATGGAAACAGCTACAGTGCTATTGATTCAGTTACTCCCTCTCAGGGGGCAGTGGTGAGATTCCACCCACCCTCACTCCCCCATCTCCTGTCTATGGGATTAGTGAGAGAATAGCAAATGGTTCCAACACAGTCACTAAACCCTGTCCAAGACCTCCTGACTACAGCCAAATATGCAAATTTCCCAGGATGTTTTCACATCAGAAAAAAAATGAAGAAGCAAGAGCAAAGGGGGCTGAACAAGGCACCGGAGAAGAGAACTGAGCACCTGGGGGTCAGCAAGAGGTGACCCAGAAAAAAAGCCAAGCCAGGGACCAGCCCCCCTGCTCCTGATTCAGCCCCCCTCCCAGACACATCAGCAAAGGACGGGAGGGAGAAGGAAGCGTGTGTGTCTGTGTGTGTGTGTGTGTGTGTGTGTGTGTGTGCATAAAACAGAGAAAGAGAAGGGGACAGAGACAGGCAGATAGATAGAAAAAGAAGAAAGAGATGGTAAAATTGTGGAGGTTTGGTTGTATACCATGTTTGTTTGGGACTGTGTAATTGTTGGCTTCCCTATTCCTCAGGTTTGTCAGCGGCTGTCACTAAGCACAGTTTAGGAAGGTGAGGGACGGTCAATAGTGATCTAGTCTGGTATTACATAGCTTATGGTTAAAGGCCTTAGTCAAGGAATGCACAACAAAAATGTTTGCTTTGTGTCTATAGTTGAAATAAACCTGTTTTATGTTTATGCTGTCTTTGGATTCATAAAAATTTAGAATTCCATAAAGACTTTGGAGTCTTTATGGAATTAGGACATACAAATTAGGACATCAGTAAGATGGCCAACTAGAAGCTCCTAGCACTCTTCCACACACACAAAACAGAACAAAACAATGAATAAATAACTACATTTTGACTAAAATAGCTAAAAGAGAGCACTAGGGAATAGGAAAAATCCAGCAGGAATCCTATAGAGCTCAGAAACCCAAGATGGCCACATAGAAAATGGAAGAAAATACCTCGCCTCCACCACTCCATCCCCACAGTTGAGATCAGCTTGGAACCAGGAGGGACTTTTCCTTGCAGGGAAAAGGTGAGCAAGAGGATCCCAGCACCCCCATCACCATCTCGGCTACCTGCAGTCTTCACTACTGGAGACTCCTACAGTCCTCACAGGTTCTGAGCCCAGCTGAGACAGTTCCCTGGAGTCCATATGCTGAGCTAACCTTAGAGGAGCCTATACTGCATGCCTCCACTAGCCTGTACTGCTACTTCTCTGCACCACTGTGGAACAGAAGCAATGTTAGAGTGAGCTCTGCTCCAGGGTGAGTAGCCATTGTATACCTCCATCCCAAGAGGCTCAGCCACCCCTGTCCCACATCTACCCAGGAGCCCAGTATCTCTGAGCAGAGTTGCTGCTACATCCAACCCCCAGGACCAAGCTACCACAAAGCCGTTTCATCCTGCCGTCTCAGTTGCTGGTATTCCCTCTCCTCAGGGACAAACTGAAGTGATACCCCACAGCCAGGGATCCAGAACTTTGAACTCTCAGAGCAGTCACACCCCTAGAGCTACAGCTGAGGCAGCATCCAGTCCTGTGGCCTCCTGAACACGGGAAAAGTCATGACCCTGGCCCCAGAGCAGATGTAGTAGCCCATCCACCAGGGACCTCAGGTCTTCTGCACAAGAGAGCAGTTGCACCTCCCAGCACCCCAGCTCATCCTGCACTCTACCATCAGGGATGCAGAGGCTCCACTGAACCTGGTAGCTGAAATTTCTAGGGCTCAGTAGACACAGTGCCTTGCATCCTGGGGAATCAAAGCCTTGGCTGAGCTGGATCACCTTGCCTTCCAGGCCAAGCCACCACAGTTCTCTGCCTACCTGGAACTGAACTAGCCCTGACTCAGGTCAAGCTACTGAGGCACCCCAATCTCCAGGCAGTAGAATCATCATTACACTCCTACCCATCTTCTGGGACAAAGCCACAGCAGCATCTTGCCATCTGGGTCCTTACTGCTGCTGCCCCTGGCCTCAAAGAGCCTGGGCTACTGCCATATCCCACCATCTCAGGGTCCAAAGTCACAATTCTGTGACTCTGTGTGGTACCTCATCCCTTGGGTCCCAAGCTGCCAAAGTGCCCTATTGGTTCTGAGTCCCAAATTGCAACTATGCCCTGATTCTTGGGGCCTAAGCCTCCAGAGCATGCCTTCTTCCCCAGGGCCATGCCAGTGGTATAACTTGCCCCCCAGGGTCAGAACCACAGCTACATCCCAGCCTCATGGGCCTAAGCTGCTGAGATGTGCCCTGGAGCAATAGAACTTGGCTTAGTGGAAGAACTCCAATTCTGTAAGTGTGGTGTGTAAATCATACTTATCTTTAGTATAAAGATGCAACATAAAAATGTTCACAAATAACTAAAGCTACAATAAGTTGTTAAAGACTACAGAATATAAAGAGATGTAAATTATGACATCAAAAATATAAATGGGGTAGAGGGTAAAATTCCAGTTTTTGTATGCAACAGAAGTTAAGTTTTCATCAGCTTAAAATAGTAGATTTTAAAAATAAGGTGTTTTAGATAAGCCTCATGATAACCACAAAACAGAAAAACACTACAGCAAATATACAAAAAGTAAAGAGAAAGGAATCAAAGCTTAGCATTACCAAAAAAATTCAAATCACGAAGGTAAACAAGGAAGGAATAAAGAAAGGGGCTTTAAAAAAAACAGAAAATAACAAAATGGCGGTAGTAATTCCTTACCTATCAGTAATAACCTTGAATGTAAATGAACTAAATTCTCCAATCAAAAGACTCAGACTGGCTACATAGATTTTATAAAAATAAGATCCAATTATATGCTACTTACAAGAGGAAACTCAAGCTTTAAGGAAACACGTACACTGAAAGTAAAAGAGTGGAAGAAGACATTTCATGCAAATGATAACCAGAAGAGAGCAGAAGTGGCTACACTCATATCTGATAAAATAAACTTCAAGTAAAAAGTGTCACAAGAGACAAACAAGGTCATTATTAAATGATGAAGGAGTCAACCAGGAGAAGAGAGCCATTGGAAATTTATATGCATTCAACATTGGAGCACCTAAATACACAAAGCAAATATTAATGAACATGAAGGGAGAAAGAGATAACTAGCAATGCAATAATAATAGGGGACTTCAGTGTCCCACTTTTAACAATGGGTAGACCAACCAGACAGAAAATTAATAAGAAAATACTGGAATTAAGTTGCACTTTTGACCAAATGGACATACCAGACATATACAAAACTTGCCATCCAACAGCAGCAGAATCCACATTTTGCACCAGTCCACATGAAACATTCTCTAGGATACACTATATGGTAAGCAAAAAAAATAAGTCAACAAATTTAAGAAGATTGAAATCATACTTAGCATCATTTTGGACTGTAGTGGTATAAAACTAGAAATCAATAACAGGAAGAATCAGGGAAAATTTACAAATATGTGGACAATAAATAACATGGTCAGAACTACCAATTGGTCAAAGAGATCAAAGGGAAAATTTAAAATAGTTTGATACAAATAATAATGGAAACACGGTGTACCAAAATCTACGGGATGCAGCAAAAGCAGTTCTAAGAGGTAAGTTTATAACAATAAATGCCTGTATATAAAAGAAGAAAGATTTCAAACACATTTGTCTAATATTACATCTCAAAGAACTAAAAAAAAAAAAAAACTACACCAAAAATTAGCAGAAATAAGGAAGTAATAAAAACCAGGACAGAAATAAATCAGAGAACACAAAAATCACAGAAACAATAAATAAAACTGAGTAGTTTTTGAAAAAAATAAATAAAACGGAAAAACTCTTAGCTAGTTTAAGAAAAAAAGAAAGAATACTCAAACAAGTAAAATCAAAAATGAAAATAAATTACAGCAGATGCCTCAGAAATAAAAAGAATCATAGTGACTATTATGAACAATTTTATTCCAATAATTTGGTTAACCCAAAGGACTTGGTTAAAGTCCCAGAAAAATACGATCTACCAAGATTGAACCAAGAAGAAAAAGAAAGCCTAAACAGACTAATAACAAGTAAAGGAAATTGAAGAAGTAATCAAATACCTCCCACTAAAGAGAAGCCTAAGACCAAATGGCTTCACAGCTAAATTCTACCAAGCATTCACAGAAGAATTAATACCAATAATGTCCTTCCCAAAAATAGAAGTAGAGGGAATACTTCCAAACACAATTTATGAGGCCAGCATTACCTTCCTACTTAAGCCAGGTACAGATTTCACCAGAAAAGAAAACTACAGGCCAATTTCTCTGATTAACATTGATGCAGAAATTCTCAATAAAATATTGGCAAACTGAATCCAACAACACATCAAAAAGATTATACATAATGGCTGTATTAGTTCATTCTCACACTGATGTGAAGAAATCCTGAGACTGGATAATTTATAAAGGAAAGAGGTTTAATTGGCTCACAGTTCTGCATGCCTGCAGAGGCCTCAGGAAACTTACAATTATGGTGGAAGGCAAAGGAGAAGCAGGCACCTCCTCCACTGGGTGGCAGGACAGAGTGAGTGCAAGCAAGGAAAATACCAGATGTTTATCAAACCATCAGATCATCCAAGACTCACTCACTATCACAAGAACAGCATGGGGGAAACCACCCCCATGATCCAATTACCTCCACCTGGTCCTGCAATTGACACATGGGGATTACTGGGAATATGGGGTTACAATTCAAGATGAGGTTTTGGGTGGGGACACAGCCAAACCATATCAATGGCCAAGTGGGATTTATCTCTGGCATGTGAGTCTGGTTTAAGATATGCAAATCAACCAATGTGATACATCACATTTACCAAATGAAAGATAAATCTACATGATCATCTCAATTAACATGGAAGAAACATTCAGCAAAGTCCACAAATTCTTTCTTGATAAAAACTGTCAAGAGTTTAGGTATAAAAAGAAAGATTCTGAACATAATAAAGGCCATCTATGAAAAACCCGCATTGTAATCAATGGGAAAAAATAGAAAGCTTTTTCACTAAGATTTAGTACAAGGCACTTCTATTCAACATAGTACTTGAAGTATTAGCAAGAGAAATCAGACAAGAAAAAGAAAAAGCATCCAAATTGGAAAGGAAGAAGCAAAATTATCTCAATGACAGGTGACATAATCCTATCCGTTAAAAAAAATTCCACAAAAAAAACCTATATGAACTAATTAAAGAATTCAGTAAAGTATTAGGGTACAAAATTAACATACAAAGATCCATAGCGCTTTTATACACAAATAATGACATAACTGAAGAAGATATCAAGGAAAAAAAATCCCTTTTATGTTAGCATCAAAAAAATTAAATATCTAGGAAGAAACTTAACCAAAGAGGTGAAAGATCTATACACTGAAAACTATAAAATATTCATGAAAAAAACTGAAGAAGATCCAAAAAGATATCAA
This sequence comes from Homo sapiens, assembly GCF_000001405.40. Lineage (NCBI taxonomy): Eukaryota > Metazoa > Chordata > Mammalia > Primates > Hominidae > Homo > Homo sapiens. The sequence continues at coordinate 71,006,646 of NC_000006.12, read as the reverse complement.
TGATTATGGATTGGAAGAATTAGTATTTTTTAAATGTTCATACTACCCAAAGCAATATACAGATTAAGTGAAATCTGTATTAAAATCCCAATGGCATTCTTCATAGAAATAGAAAAAAACTAAAATTCATATATGCTATGGTTTGAATATGTTCCCTGGAGTTAATGTGTCGGAAATTTAATCCCCAATGCAACAGTGTTAGGAAGTTGGACCTAATAAGAAGTGATTTGGTGTAAGGACTCTGCCCTCATGAATGGATTAATGTTATTATTGTGAGAGTGAGTTAGTTATCTCTAGAGTGGCTTTGTTGTAAGTGTGAGTTTGGGCCCCTCTTGCTCTCTCTCACAAGTGTTCTCTTGCTCTTCCACCTTCCACCATGGGATGACACAGCAAGAAGTCCCTTGTCAGATGGAGGCCTCTTGACTTTGGGCTTCCCAGCCTCCCTAACTGTAAGAAATCAATTTTTGTTCCCTATAAATTACCCAGTCTAAGGTATTCTATTACAGCAATACAAAACAGACTAAGAAAATATGGAAACATAAAGATCCCAAATAGTCACACTCAAAAAATCTGAGAAAGAAAAATAAAGTTGGAGGCCTCAAATTTTCTGATTTAAAATCATATTGCAAAGCTATAATAATCAAAACAATATGGTACTGGCATTAAAAACAGACATATAGGCCAGTGGAACAAAATTGAGAGCCCAGTAATAAATCCAAACATATATGATCAACTAATTTTTTGCCAAGGGTGCCAAGACAGCACAATGCAGAAAGGATAGTCTCTTCAGAAAGTGGAGCTAGGAAAACTGGATTTCCACATTGCAAAAGAATGAAATTGAACCCTTATCTTATACCATACATAAAAATCAACTTAAAGTAGATAATATACCTAAATAAAAGAACTGAAACTATAAAACTTCTACAAGAGAACATAGGTAGAAATCTGAACATCAGTCTTGGCAAAGATTTTGTGGCTATCACCCCAAAACCTTAGGCCAAAAAGCAAAAATAAATAGATGGGATTATATCAAACTAAAAAGCTTCTGCGTAGCAAAGGAAACAATCAACAAAATGAAATGCAGCCTATGGTTTGGGAAAAAGATATTTGCAAACCATATATCTGATAAGAAGTTAGTATCCAAAATTTATAAAGAATCCATACAATACAATAGTGGAAAAATACCCAATTAAAAATGGGCAAGACCTGAATAAACATTTCTTGTTAAAAAACTTAAAAATGGCCAACGGGTATATGGAAAGGTGCTCAACATTATTAATCATGAGGGAAATTGCAACTCAAAACCTCTGTAAGAAACCACTTCACACCCCTTAGGATGGCAATTATCAAAAAGTCAAAAGATAACAAATGTTGGCAAGGTTATAGAGAAAAGGTACTTATACACTGTTGGTGGAAAGGGAGACTGGTAGAGCCATTATGGAAAACAGTATGGAGATTTCCTAAAAAGTTAAAAATGGAACTACCATATGTCTCAACAATTCCTCTTCTGGCATACACCCAAAGGAAATGAAATAACAACCTTGTAAAAAACATCTGCACTCCCATTTTTATTGTAGCATTATTCACAATAGCCAAGATACGGAAAAAACTTAAGTGTCCATCTACAAATGAGTGGATAAAGAAACTATGGCACATATATGCAATGGAATATTATTCAACCCTAAAAAGAAACAAGATCTTGCCATTTACCACAGCGTGGATGAGCCTGGAGGAAATTCTGCTAAGTGAAACAAGTCAGATATAGAAAGAAAAATATTGCATGATCTCACTTATATGTCAAATTTTTTTAAAAAAAACAAATATACAGAGATAGATAACAAAACAGTAGTTACCAAAGGTGAGGGGAAGAGGAAATGTAGATCAGAGGATACAAATAGCAAGTATGAAGGATAAACAAGTATAGATATCTAATATACCACATGAGGACTATAGGTGATAAGAACCATATGGGAGTCATGCTAAATGAGTAGATTTTAGCTGCTCTTGCCACAAAAGCAAAAAAAAAAAGTAAATATGTGTTTTTATGGATATGTTAATTTGCTTCAATATAGTAACTGTTTTAATATCTATATGTATCCCATAATATCATGTTGTGTACCTTAAATATGCAATAAAATTTATTTTTTTAAAAAAAGGCTTTGATCATACCACCTAATTTTTTTATTCTTCATCCCCCAAAGTAGTCTTTGAAAATGATAAAACAGATGAGAGTATGAATAGATTGCTGTAAACAAGCTATTGTTTGAGCATGATGTTGTCCATTATGGGCACCTAGAAGACCTTACTTTGGGCTGGTTGGTTATTTAGGTACTTTTGCAAGGTCCCCTCTGAATTCATGTTCTTCCAGTCGCCTTGACCCCAGAAGCACATCTTCATTTGTGTTACCTGCTGGGCTGTCTAGCAGTCTGTCAATGAGCAACATTGCCATGTTGGTCAAGCCTTCTTTTTTTTTTTTTTTTTTTTTTTGCTTCTTTTTTTTTTAAATTATACTTTAAGTTCTGGGAAACATGTGCAGAACGTGCAGTTTTGTTACACAGTGGTTTGCTGGCATGGTGGTTTGTGGCACCCATCAACCCGTCACCTACATTAGGTATTTCTCCTGATGTTATCACTCCCCTAGCCCCCCACCACACGACAGGCCCCAGTGTATGATGTTCCCCTCCCTATATCAATGTGTTCTCATTATTCAACTCCCACTTATGAATGAGAACATGCAGTGTTTGGTTCTCTGTTCTTGCAATAGTTTGCTGAGAATGATGGTTTCCAGCTTCATCCATGTGCCTGCAAATGACATGAACTCATCCTTTTTTATGGCTGCATAGTATTCCATGGTGTATATTTGCCACATTTTCTTTATCCAGTCTATTATTGATGGACATTTGGGTTGGTTCCAAGTCTTTGTTATTGTGAATAGTGCTGCAATAAACATACGTGTGCATGTGTCTTCATAGTAGAATGATTTATAATCCTTCTGGTATATACCCACAAATGGGATTGCTGGGTCAAATGGTATTTCTACTTCTAGATCCTTGAGGAATTGCCACACTGTCTTCCACAATGGTTGAACTAATTTACACTCCCACCAATAGTGTAGAAGTGTTCCTATTTCTCCACATCCTCTCCAGCATCTGTTGTTTCCTGGCTTTTTAATGATCACCATTCTAACTGGCATGACATGGCATCTCATTGTGGTTTGATTTGCATTTCTCTAATGGCCAGTGATGATGAGCATTTTTTCATATATCTGTTGGCTGCATAAATGTCTTCTTTTGAGAAGTGTCTGTTCATGTCCTTTGCCCACTTATTGATGGGGTTGTTTTTTTCTTATAGATTTGTTTAAGTTCTTTGTAGATTCTGGATATTAGCCCATTTGTCAGATGAATAGATTGCAAAAATATTCTCCCATTCTGTAGGTTGCCTGTTCACTCTGATGATAGTTTCTTTTGCTGTGCAGAAGCTCTTTAGTTTAATAAGATGCCATTTGTCAATTTTGACTTTTGTTGCCATTGCTTTTGGTGCTTTAGACATGAAGTCTTTGCCCACGCCTATGTCCTGAATGGCATTGTCCAGGTTTTCTGCTAGGATTTTTATGGTCCTAGGTCTTACATTTAAGTCTTTGATCCACCTCGAGTTGATTTTTGTATAAGGTATAAGGAAGGGGTCCAGTTTCACTTTTCTGCATATGGCTAGCCAGCTTCACCAACACCATTTATTAAACAGGGAATCTTTTTACCATTGCTTGTTTGTGTCAGTTTTGTCAAAGACCAGATGGTTGTAGATGTGTGGTGCTATTTCTGAGGACCCTGTTCTGTTCCATTGGTCTATATATCTGTTTTGGTATCAGCACCGTGCCGTTTTGATTACTGTGGCCTTGTAGTATAGTTTGAAGTCAGGTAGCGTGATGAATCCAGCTTTGTTCTTTTGGCTTAGGATTGTCTTGGCTATGTGGGCTCTTTTTTGACTCTATATGAAGTTTAAGGTAGTTTTTTCCAATTCTGTGAAGAAAGTCAGTGGTAGCTTGATGGGGATAGCATTGAATCTATAAATTACTTTGGGCAGTGTGGCCATTTTCACGATATTGATTCTTCCTATCCATGAGCATGGAATGTTTTCCGATTTGTTTGTGTCCTCTCTTATTTCCTCAAGCAGTGGTTTGTAGTTCTCCTTGAAGCAGTCCTTCACATCTCTTGTAAGTTGGATTCCTAGGTACTTTATTCTCCTGGTAGTAATTGTGAATGGGAGTTCACTCATGATTTTGCTCTCTTTGTCTGTTGTTGGTGTATAGGAAGGCTTGTGATTTTTGCACACTGATTTTGTACCCTGAGACTTTCCTGAAGTTGCTTATCATCTTAAGGAGATTTTGGGCTGAGACGATGGGGTTTTCTAAATATACAATCATGTCATCTGCAAACAGAGACAATTTGACTTCCTCTCTTCCTATTTGAATACGCTTTATTTCTTTCTCTTGCCTGATTGCCCTGGCCAGAACTTCCAATACTATGTTGAATAGGAGTGGTGAGAGAGGGTATCCTTGTCTTGTGCCAGTTTTCAAAGGGAATGCTTCCAGTTTTTCCACATTCAGTATGATATTGGCTGTGGGTTTGTCATAAATAGCTCTTATCATTTTTAGATATGTTCCATCAATACCTAGTTTATTGAGAGATTTTAGCATGAAGGGCTGTTGAATTTTGTCGAAGGCCTTTTCTGCATCTATTGAGATAATCATGTGGTTTTTTTCATTGGTTCTCTTTATGTGATGCATTACGTTTATCAATTTGCATATGTTGAACTAGCCTTGCATCCCAGGTATGAAGCTAACTGGATCGTGGTGGATAAGCTTTTTGATGTGCTGCTGGATTTGGTTTGCCAGTATTTTATTGAGAATTTTCACATCGATGTTCATCAGAGATACTGGCCGGAAGTTTTCTTTTTTTGTTGTGACTCTGCCAGGTTTTGGTAACAGGACGATGCTGGCCTCATAAAATGAGTTAGGGAGGATTCCTTCTTTTTCTGTTGATGGAATAGTTTCAGAAGGAATGAATGGTACCAGCTCTTCTTTGTACCTTTGGTAGAATTTGATTGTGAATCCGTCTAGTCCTGGGCTTTTTTTGGGTGGTAGGCTATTAATTATTGCCTCAATTTCAGAACTTGTTATTGATTTATGCAGGGATTTGACTTCTTCCTGGTTTAGACTTGGGAGGGTGTATGTGTCCAGGAATTTATTCATTTCTTCTAGATTTTCTAGTTTATTTGTGTAGAGGTGTTTATAGTATTCTCTGATGGTACTTTGTATTTTTGTGGGATCAGTGGTGACATCCCCCTATATCATTTTTTATTGCACCAATTTGATTCTTCTCTCTTTTCTTCCTTATTAGTCTGGCTAGTTGTCTCTCTACTTTGTTGATCCTTTCAAAAAAACAGCTTCTGAATTCACTGATTTCTTGAAGGGTTTTTTGTGTCTCTATCTCTTTCAGTTCTGCTCTGATCTTAGTTATTTCTTCTCTTCTGTTAGATTTTAAATTTGTATGCTGTTGCTTCCGTAGTTCTTTTAATTGTGATGTTAGGGTGTCAATTTTAAATCTTTCCTGCTTTCCCTTATGGGCATTTAGTGCTATAAATTTCCCTCTACACACTGCTTTAAATGTATCCCAGAGATTCTGTTATGTTGTGTCTTTGTTCTCATTGGTTTCAAAGAATCTGTATTTCACCTTCATTTTGTTATTTACCCAGTAGTCATTCAGGAGCAGGTTGTTCAGTTTCCATGCAGTTGTGCAGTTTTGAGTGAGTTTCTTAATCCTGAGTTCTAATTTGATTGCACTGTGGTCTGAGGGACTGTTTGTTATAATTTCCATTCTTTTGCATTTGCTAAGGAGTTTTTTATTTCCAATTATGTGGTCAATTTTAGAATAAGTGCGATGAGGTGCTGAGAAGAATGTATATTCTGTTGACTTGGGGTGAAGAGTTCTGTAGATGTCTATTAGGTCTGCTTGGTCCAGAGCTTAGTTCAAGTCCTGAATATCCTTGTTAATTTTCTGTCTCATTGATCTGCCTAATATTGACTGTGGGGTGTTAAAGTCTCCCACTATTATTGTGTGGGAGTCTAAGTCTCTTTGTAGGTCTCTGAGAACTTGCTTTATGAATCTGGGTGCTCCTGTATTGGGTGCATATATATTTAGGATAGTTAGCTCTTCTTGCTGCATTGATCCCTTTACCATTATATTGTACCCTTGTTTGTCCCTTTTGATCTTTGTTGGTTTCAAGTCTGTTTTATCAGAGATTAGGATTACAACTCCTGCTTTTTTTTTTTTGCTTTCCATTTGCTTGGTAAATTTTCCTCCATCCCTTTATTTTGAGCCTATATGTGTCTTTGCACATGAGATGGGTCTCCTGAATACAGCACATTGATGAGTCTTGACTCTTTATCCAATTTGTCAGTCTGTGTTTTTTAATTGGGGCATTTAGCCCATTTACATTTAAGGTTAATATTATTATATGTGAATTTAATCCTGTCATTATGAAGCTAGCTGGTTGTTTTGCCCATTAGTTGATGCAGTTTCTTCATAGTGTCGATATTCTTTACAATTTGTTATGTTTTTGCAGTGGCTGGTACCAGTTGTTCCTTTCCATGTTTAGTGCTTCCTTCAGGAGCTCTTGTAAGGCAGGCCTGGTGGTGACAAAATCTCTCAGCATTTGCTTGTCTGTAAAGGATTTTATTTCTCCTTCACTTATGAAGCTTAGTTTGGCTGGATATGAAATTCTGGGTTGAAAATTCTTTTCTTTAAGAATGTTGAATATTGGCCCCCACTCTCTTCTGGCTTGTAAGGTTTCTGCAGAGAGATCTGCTGTTAGTCTGACAGGCTTCCCTTTGTGGGTAACCCAACCCTTCTCTCTAGCTGCCCTTAATATTTTTTCCTTCATTTCAACCTTGGTGAATCTGACAATTATGTGTCTTGGGGTGCTCTTCTCAAGGAGTATCTTTGTGGTGTTTTCTGTATTTCCTGAATTTGAATGTTGGCCTGTCTTGCTAGGTTGGGTAAGTTCTCCTGGATAATATCCTGAAGAGTGTTTTCCAACTTGGTTCCATTCTCATCACTTTCAGGTACACCAATCAAACATAGATTTGGTCTTTCACATAGTCCCATAATTCTTGGAGGCTTTGTTCATTCCTTTTTATTCTTTTTTCTCTAATCTTGTCTTCTTGCTTTATTTCATTAAGTTGATCTTCAATCACTGATATACTTCCTTCCACTTGATTGATTCAGCTATTGAAATTGTGTATGCTTCACGAAGTTCTCGTGCTACGTTTTTCAGCTCCATCAAGTCATTAATGTTCTTCTCTACACTGGTTATTCTAGTTAGCAATTCATCTAACCTTTTTTCAAGGTTCTTTGCTTCCTTGCATTGGGTTAGAACATGCTCCTTTAGCTCGGAGGAGTTTGTTATTACTCACCTTCTGAAGCCTACTTCTGTTAATTCGTCAAACTCATTCTCCATCCAGTTTTGTTCCCTTGCTGGCAAGGAGTTGTGATCCTTTGGAGGAGAAGAGGTATTCTGGTTTTTGGAATTTTCAGCCTTTTTGCTCTGGTTTCTCCCCATCTTTGTGGATTTATCTACCTTTGCTCTTTGTTGTTGGTGACCTTTGGATGGGGTCTTTGAGTGGCCGTGCTATTCCTTTCTGTTTGTTAGTTTTCCTTCTGACAGTCAGTCCCCTCTGCTGCCAGTCTGCTGGAGTTTGCTGGAGGTCCACTCCAGACCCTGTCTGCCTGGGTATCACCAGCGGAGGCTGTAGAACAGCAAAGATTGCTGCCTAATCTTTCGTCTGGAAGCTTTGTCCTAGAGGGGCACCTGCCAGATGCCAGCCAGAGCTGTATGAGCTGTCTGTTGGCCCCTACTGGGAGGTGTCTCCCAGTCAGGATACACGGGGGTCAGGGACCCACTTGAGGAAGCAGTCCGACCCTTAGCGGAGCTCGAATGCTGTGCTGGGAGGTCCGCTGCTCTCTTCAGAGCTGTCAGGCAGGAACGTTTAAGTCTGCTGAAGCTGCACCCACAGCCACCCCTTTCCCCCGGCACTCTGCCCCAGGGAGATGGGGGTTTTATCTGTAAGTCCCTGACTGGGGCTGCTGCCTTTTTTTCGGAGATGCCCTGCCCAGAGAAGAGAAATCCTGCAGTCTGACCACATCAGCCTTGCTGAGCTGCAGGGGGCTCAGCCCAGTTCAAATTTCCTGGCTGCTTTGTTTACACTGTGAGCCTAAAACTGCCTACTCAAGCCTCAACAGTGATGGACACCCCTTCCCCCACCAAGCTCGAGCATCCCAGGTCAATCTCAGACCGCTGCTGTGAAGATCAATCTCAGACCGCTGCTGTGCTGGCAGCAAGAATTTCAAGCCAGTGGATCTTAATTTGCTGGGCTCCATGGGGGTGGGACCTGCTGAGCCAGACCACTTGGCTCTCTGGCTTCAGCACCCCTTTCCAGGGGAGTGAACAGTTCTGTCTTGCTGGCGATCCAGGTGCCACTGGGGTATGGAAAAAAAGAACTCCTGCAGCTAGTTTGGTGTCTGCCCAAATGGCCACTCAGTTTTGTGCTTGAAACTGAGGGACCTGGTGGGGTAGGCACCGCAGGGAATCTCCTGGTTTGCAGGTTGCGAAGACCACGGGACAAGCATAGTATCTGTGCCAGAGTTCCTCAGGCTCAGTCCCTCACAGCTTCCCTTAGGTAGGGAAGAAAATTCCCTGACCCTTTGTACTTCCTGGGTGAGGCGATGCCCCACCCTGCTTCGGCTCACCCTCCATGGGCTGCACCCACTGTCCAACCAGTCCCAGTGAGATGAACTGGGTACCTCAGTTGGAAATGCAGAAATCACCCACCTTCTGCATCAATCTTGCTGGGAGCTGCAGACCAGAGCTGTTCCTATTTGGCCATCTTGCCAGCAATCTCCAAGCCTTGATTCTAAGTGTCTCTCCAGGGCCTCTCTTCTGCAACCTGTGCAGCCCCAATCCACTCCTCTTCACAGCAGTGGTTTGCGTGATGTCTCAGCATGTAACCAGGCTCTTCCTGTTGATTTGGGCAGCAACAAGCATAACTTCGTTGTTTGATTCCCTTTCCCTCAGTGAATGATTACTGGACTCTACAGGAGACACTGATAAAATTGCTAAAGATGCTAAAAGGAACAATAGTGTGTCTCTGTCTTGAGAGTGAAAACAGAAGGGTACATTCTGACCGTGAGTATTTAGCCATCTCATTTGGTCTTAGCCAGAAACGTCTCTGAACCTCCAAAATGACAAAATCAATCTTATTGATAATTCACTCTGGCAAACAGATTCACTAAATAGTCTTCTACTTAATAAAAATAACCCACATTTGCAAAAACTCCTTGGTTAATAGTACTTCATTTAATGACCACAAAACCCTTTGATAACACATTATTTTTAAAGATTATCAAAAGTGAAGTTCAGTGGAATTAACTGATTTGGCTAATGCTTCATGGCTGATAGATGGCAGGGCCAGGTCATTTGAATCTAAATCCCACCTTCTCTTTACCGCCTCTGCTGTAAATAATGAAATTCACTGGCTTTATACTGCTGTGTTAATTATATGACTGTATTGGTATAATACTGGAAAAAAAGTTTTCAAATGTTGCATGCTGTGCTATATCCTCACAAATCTATGGAGGTTAGAAAGAATAAAAAGGAGTCATAGAAGAATGGAAATAGCATGGGATTTAGGGTCTGAGTAGTCTGAGCCAGAATCCTCACTACTTATGTGACTTTAGGCAAAGTACTCAACAACAGTGGACTTTGGTTTTCTCATAAAATGGAGATGATAATTCCTACTCAATGCATGTGTTACGAGAATTAGAAATTATAACAAAATAAAAAGAATGTCTTATATTCATGGCACCTAACAAATACTAGCTTTTATTAGCTATTATATTCACTAACTTCAATATCATTTTATTTAAATAAATAAAAGGTAGGGATTTCATACAATCCCAGAATAATCTGTGAGTTTGGGATCTGACTTAGAAGGTGTAGTGTACAAAATAACAGAAAACAGGCCTTGTGTCTTTACAGATGGCAAAAAAAAGATGATGTTTTATCTGCTCTTGTTAACAACTTAATGTTTTCCCATTGTCTAGACACTAAACTGTTCTATTGTCTGTGAAAATGAGTTTGGTTTCAGAAATAAGTTCTAGAAATATTGAAACTTTAGAAGACATTGGGCACTTTGTTTTGTTAACCATCTGACAGTGATATACTCAATTTTGCATCTGATTTCCCCCCCATCCCTGTCATTGTCAATTACTTTGTACTATATCAGGATTTGGAAAACAGTTAATCAGGTTGGATTGCTAGGCAGCCTTGAATGTGCCTTTGATTTAATCACAAACACATGCTGCTGCATTCATCAATGTTCCCTTTATGTAAGCTTCTTCATTATTGTGATGCTTTACCTTTGGCCATAGCATGCCTGTTTGCTGATTTCCATGTCAGAGAAAAATGTTACATAACCGAAGTACTCACAGGAATGAGCACCAAAACTAAGGAGTAGAGTCAATGTAAAGATGTAACTTAGCAGAAAAGTTCAACTATTCCAAATCTATGAAATCTGTATTAGAAAATGTTATATGTCAAGAGATAGTAACAATGCCTGCATTCCACCAGGCCATACTTCTCTGGTTAAAGCAATACAATGGTTGAAGAAGTACAATGACAATATAAAAAGAAATTTCAAGGATGGGCTCAAAAAATGGAGCAAAGAACACTACAGGTATTGCATGAAGACACTAAAGGTAAGAAAACTATGGCAATATTATTTTATTATGGCCTTTATTTTTTTTAATTAAAGACTATTCTATTTTTTGTAAGTGAATTTAACAACAATGACTTTGTAGAATATCTGTGTATGAACTAGGAAGACTCACATAATTATTGGTTCTTCATGTCTCTCAGCTACTTCCAGCTGGAAATGTGAAAATGTGAAAGTTGTGTTGGCATTCATCAATGCAGCCAGTTCAGGAAATTCCTGGCACTTGTCCCTGTTTTTCTTGACACTTTTCTGGGTGTCACTTTCTATGTTTAAAATGGAGAGTTTGGACATCTAAAGCTATTTCCAACTCACCATTTGCAAATTTTGTAGCATTTTATATTTAACTCACTTATTATCTCTTATGAGCCCCATATTAAACTTTTGAGATAGGTCAGGAAGATATTCTTATCTTCATTTAACCCACGAAGAAACTGCTCTCCAGAAGCCACTGCCAAGCAAGTCATTCTAAGTTTCACTGCTAAAAACTAGACTGCTAGACAACCTACTACTTTGAAGAAGGCGTTTTTAAAAGTGCTATTTTTATTCAATGTGACATGCAGTATTATTGAAATGCAGATAAATTTTCAGTCAAACACTAAGATAAAGTAGCTTCTCTGTGACCAAGGATTTAACTTGATTAACTGGCAATTTCGAGTGTTTAAGGGTAGAAATTAGCAGCTTGACTGTGTAGGGCAATGGTTTAATATAAAAAAGGGAGCATTCAGAGAGAACACAAGAAGGTGTGTCTCTGGGAATGAAAGTACTTTATAACATCAGTGGACAGCCTAGAGCTATGTGAGTTTCTTCTTTCTCATTCAAATTCTTTCTTAGCAACCCTTCTCAAAAATAAAATAGAGTGGGGTGCAGTGGGTGGCACATGCTTGTTGTCCCAGCTACTCAGGAGGCTGAGGGAGGAGGATCCTTTGAGCCCAGGAATTTGAGGCCAGCTTGAGCAACATAAAGAATACAGTTCTTCATCCACGACTCTGTAGGGCCAGCCTCTAGAAATACTGCCACCAGTCTACCTATGACCTTGGAATTTCAGGGTCCAGAAACACAGAGATCCACCCTCAACTTTCCATTAGGGAAACAAGAAAAAGCTGGCCAGCTCCTGACACCACTGCCACTACCTGTAGTAATTAAAAACACATTTAAAAAATTTGTATACTTTTCCCTTCAAGCAGTAGAGCTTAATTCCCCTCTCCTTGAGAGTTCACTGGACTTAATGACTCTCTTACATAGAAATACAGCAGCCACAGGAAAAAATGAAATAAAATTCTGACACAGTTTGATCTCTCACTTTTATGCCAAAGCAGAAAGATTCATTTATTTCTTATTTATACTATTATAACATCATCCCCAATTTTTCAACTGTAATGTGATTTCAAAAATGAAGGCTGACTAGCTATGACAAGCCCACATTACAGTGACTCTGGCCCTTGAGTCTTCTGTGGCATCATAAATGTGAACTCAAAGTTATCTTCAAGGTAAAACCAGCTTAATTGTCCCATAGAACTGATGTTTATGGTTTATCTGAATAAACATAAAAATTGATCCTCCCAGTCTTAAAACTTGAGAAAGGTACAATTGTCTTATCTGAATTCCTTTCTCAGAAAACCAACCATCAGGCTTTCCAGATAATATCAAGGAACTGAAACACACCAGATCACTGCATCTGAACAATGTCATGCCAGACAGGTGGCAGACCCCTCACCCACCTGCCTCCTGTTGACCAACTTCTCTTCTTAGCCGCCTCTAATTCCTGTTTTCCCATACATGGTTACATTTCTTCCCTGCTAGATAAACCCCAATTTTAGTCATTCAGGAAGATGGATTTGAGACTGATCTCCATTTCCTCAGCTGCAGCACCTTACTAAAGCCTTCTTCCCTGGCAATACTTGTTAACTCAGTGATTGGCTTTCTATGTGTGAGCACCCCTAGACCGAACCCCTGGTGTTTTGGTAACAAAGGTAAGCTATAGGTGTAATAGGAGGCATAAGATTGATTTTTTTCTCCACAAACCAGAATGTATGTATGCAATTGAATTTTAGACCCTTCAAAGTAGGCATCATGGAGAGGATAGATCGTGCTGCTGAAGCTCAAAATATTTTTGGAAATGCCTTTAGAAAAAATTTGAAAGGCACAAAAGTTTGTCTCATTGTGGTCAGACAGTGCATATATACTTGTGTGTGCATGTGTGTGACTAAAAAAGATTTTTAGTGACTAAAAAAAATTGCCCAAGCTTGATTATTAACTATATGCACAAGAATTGACTTTGGGTACTCTTGGAAATAACTAAAATTCAATTCCATCTTTAAAAATAAAAATGTGATATTCAAGAGGAAGGTACTCAGCAAGTGCTAAGTGTTCAATATCATTATTCAATTGAAATAAATGTGATGTAGCCCCTTGAGAGTTAGAAAAATTCTCTCATACAGAATTCTCAGTCTCTTGCTTTCATCCTCCAGTATTTTGAGCCTTTTTTTTTTTTTTTTTTTTTTTGGAGATGGAGTCTGACTCTGTCGCCAGGCTGGAATGCAATGGCATGATGTCAGCTCACTGCAACCTCCACCTCCCGAGTTCACGCCATTCTCCTGCCTCAGCCTCCCAAGTAGCTGGGACTACAGGCACCCACCACACGCCCGGCTAATTTTCTGTAGTTTTAGTAGAGATGGGGTTTCACCATGTTAGCCAGGATGGTCTCAGTCTCCTGCCCTCATGATCCACCCACCTCGGCCTCCCAAAGTGCTGGGATTACAGGCGTGAGCCACCATGCCCGGCCAAGCCATTCTATTCTTACGTGGAAGGAGTATAGAGTCCTAATATTTGTTGAATACAAGAGAGTGCAAGTTAGTGCATTTTCATTTAGCCCTCATGCTCCACTGAGAAATAGGCATTATTACTACCATTTAACACAGTAATTGAGCAAATGAGGCCCAGGAAGGTATGGTAGTTTGGTAGTGAGTAATGAAGCAAGCAAAATGGCCAAACTCATTTGGGCTTAAAAGCCAGTATTCTTTTGATCATATTGCCACAACTCTAGAAGTAACCAAGTTCATTTTGGAGGTGTATTAGTCCATTTTCACACTGTTATAAAGAATACCTGAGACTGGGCAATTTGTAAAGAAAAGAGGTTTAATTGACTCACAGTTCCACATGGCTGGGGATGCCTCCGGAAACTTACAATCATAGTGGAAGGCAAAGGAGGAGCAAACACCTTCTTCACAAGGCAGCAGGAGAGAAAGAGCAAGCACAGGAGAAACTGCTACTTTCAAAACCATCAGATCCCATGAGAACTCCCTCACTATCATGAGAACAGCATGGAGGAAACCACCCTCATGATCCAATCACCTCTCACTAGGTCCCTCCCTCAACATGTGAGGATCAATTCAAGATGAGATTTGGGTGAAGACACAAAGCCAAACCATATCATTCCACCCCTGCCCCCTCCCAAATCTCATGTCCTTCTCACATTCCAAAATACAATCATGTCTTCACAATAGTCCCCCAAAGTCTACAGCCATTACAGCATTAACCCAAAAAGTCCAAGTCCAAAGTCTCATCTGAGACAAGGCAAGTCCCTTCCACCTAGGAGCCTGTAAAATGAAAAACAAGTTAGTTATATATAACAAGTTAGTTATATAACCCAATATACAATGGGGTTATAGGCATTGGGTAAATATTCCCCTTCCAAATGGGAGAAATTGGCCAAAGCAAAGGGGCCACAGGCCCCACTCAAGTCCAAAACCTGGCAAGTCCCTCATAAAATCTTAAGGCTTCAAAATAATCTCCTTGGACTCCATGTCTCACTTCCAGGGCAAGCCAATACAAGAAGTGGGCTCCCAAGTCCTTCAGCAGTTCCACCCCTGTGGCTATGCAGGGAATACCCCACACAGCTGCTTTCACTGGATGGCTTTGAGTACTTGCAGCTTTTCTAGGCACACAGTGCAAGCTGTTGGTGGATCTACTATTCTGGAGTCTGGAGGATGGTGGCCCTCTTCTCACAGCTTGGCTAGGCAGTGCCCCAGTGGGTACTCTGTTTGGGGGCTCCAACCCCGTATTTCCCCTCTGCATTACCCTAGTAGAGATTCTCCATGAGGGCTCCACCCCTGCAGCAGACTGCTGCCTGTACTCCAAGTGTTTCCATATCCTCTGAAATCTAGGTGGAGGTTCCCAAACCTCAACTCTTGTTTGCACACCCACAGGCCCAACACCAAATGGACACTGCCAAGTCTTGGGGCTTGCACTCTCTGAAACAATGGCCCAGGCTGTACCTTGGCCCCTTTCAGCCACCTCTGGAGCTGAAGCAGCTGTGAAGCAGGGCACCATGTCCAGGGTGTGGAGGGAGTGGCCTAGACCCAGCCCATGAAACCATTTTTCCCTCCTAGGCCTCAGGGCCGGTGATGGGAGACACTGCCATGAAGCTCTCTGAAATGCCCTGGAGACATTTTCCCCATTGTCTTGATGCTTAACATTTGGCTCCTCGCTACTTATGCAGATTTCTTCAGCTGGCTTGAATTTCTCCCCAGAAAATGGGTTTTTTTTTTCTACCACATGGTCAGGATGCAAATTTTTCAAAGTTTTACACTCTGCTTCCCTTTTAAACATAAGTTCCAATTTCATACCATCTCTTTGTGAATGCATACAACTGTACACTTTCAGAAAAAGTCAGGTCACATCTTAAATGCTTTGCTGCTTAGAAATTTCTTCTGCCAGATACTCTAAATCATACCGCTCAAGTTCAAAGTTCCACAGATCTCTAGGGCAGGGACAAAATGCCACCAGTCTCTTTGCTAAAGTATAGCAAGAGTGACCTTTGCTCCAGTTTCCAATAAGCTCCTCATCTCCATCTGAGAACACCTCAGCCTAGACTTCATTGTCCATACCACTATTAGCATTTTGGACAAAACCATTCAGCAACTCTCTAGAAAGTTCCAAACTTTCCCACATCTTCCTGTCTTCTTCCGAGCCCTCCAAACTGTTCCAACCTCTGCCTATTACCCAGTTCCAAAGTCGCTTCCACATTTTCAGGTTATTTTTATAGCAGTGCTCCACTCCTGGTACCCTACTTTCTGTATTAGTCTCTTTTCACACTGTTATAAAGAATACCTGAAACTGGGTAATATAAAGAAAAGAGATTTAATAACTCACAGTTCCACATGGCTGAGGAGGCCTCAGGAAATTTACAATCATGGTGGGAGGTGAAAGAGAAGCAAGCACCTTCTTCACAAGATGGCAGGAGAGAGAGAGCAGAGGAAACTGCCACTTTTAAAACCATCAGATCTCACGAGAACTCCCTCACTATCATGCAAACAGCATGGGGGAAACCACCCCCATAAATTGGGGTCCCTCCCTTGCCACATGGGGATTGCAATTTGAGATGACATTTGGGTGGGGACACAGAGCCAAATCATCTCAGGAGGTATGAATTCTGACACTATATATTTTTAATGAATTAAATGACTTTGCAATCATACCTCATATTTCAGAAATACCATATTTTTGGGGACTTTGGTATATATATATATATATATATATATATATATATATAGAGAGAGAGAGAGAGAGAGAGAGAGAGAGAGAGTTCGATTTCCTTTATTCTTTTCACAGCAGTCCTTTCTTGGTTTCCATTTATCTTATGTGGCTCATAAAACATTATTTATACCCTTTTAACTGAATTAGCTAAAAGGAAAACCTAAAGCAATTCCTAGTGATCTGAATAATGTTCATCATAAGAAAAATGCAAACTGTCAAAAACCATGCCCTATATATGGGCAGACACTGCTAACTTCAGTCCTTCCCACCATTAGCCTTTCTGAGTTGCCACCATACCTTCATCCTCAGGTTTTTTTCAATGGGTAAAGAAAGAGGGAGAACACTTTCTTTCCTCTGCCATCATTGATTATTTCATTACGTAAAAAGAAGGTATCAAACAGATTTGGTAGAGTATTAGCTTTTATAGAAGGAAGTAGGGCATAACATGTTTATCAGGCAGAACAGAGAACTTTAACAAAGGCAGAGGCTTTGGGGTACAGAGTGCAGTCTGATTAAATGTGCATTACTCACCAGCCCAACTCAAGTCTATGCTGTTAATCCCCATGGAGGCCTTTCAAACAGCACACCTGGAAATGAGTGAAAAGAAATGTTCTCCAGAGATGAGATCAGTTTCTTCAATTCAAGGCAAATGCTTAAAATAAGAGATAAAATTGTGCCAGGCATCAATGGGTTTTTAGTGATTACTTGGTTTACTGTCCATGCATGACATAAACATTGTAACTCCTTTTGGAGGGAAGCTGAGCAAAAAAGCTTTTTGCATGGTTGGATATGATTTGTTGCAAACACAGACATA
The DNA here is from genome assembly GCF_000001405.40 of Homo sapiens. NCBI lineage: Eukaryota > Metazoa > Chordata > Mammalia > Primates > Hominidae > Homo > Homo sapiens. The sequence continues at coordinate 70,989,469 of NC_000006.12, read as the reverse complement.
TTCAAAGGTAGTTAACTAGAATTTATAGAATGCTAAGGCATATTTTTTCATACATTTTTTTCTTCCTTAAATATTAAAACAATAGTAAACATTAAAACAATAGTAAACATTCTTTTTAAAGACTTTGCCTTAGATGTAGTCTACTTATCTTTTCCATAAAGGCAGGAAAAAATAATACCCCTACAAGATATGTACCATTTATCTTGGCAAATACATAAATCCTGTGTATTTATTATCATTAGGAATGTCATAGTGGAGCAAATAAAATTTCAGGAAAACAAAGATTGTACCTAAGGTGATAAAAGTTAGGCACATACAGACACCCTTATTCTGCAAACAAATCTGTCTAAAATGTATTTCTCTGACTTTTTAAAAGGAGTATGATCATTTAACTTTTACTTAGTGTCGTATGTTATCATTATAGACATTGGTTTTGGTATATTGTATTTTGATTCTCAGTAATGACCTTCAGTGCTAATAAAATATGTAAATAAATTTTCCTAGGTGCCTATATTTATGTAATTGAGGATTTTGCAATTTTCTGTATTCCAAAGGCTGTCGTTTCCCAATATATTGGCTTCTCAGTGAAACCTCCCAATAGCACACCCTCCTCACCTGCCCACACTTATGAGCGCACACTCAACACAACACATGCATTCATGTCCATCAGTCTCTCTCTATCTCTACTCTATCTCTATCTCTATTTCTCCCTCATTACATCTAATTCCCTGCCTTCTGAAACCTAGGAAGTACCAAAGATCACCAGAGAAACCAAATAAGCAAACTTGTTAAATCAAGTTTTACATAATTCAAGGTGTACCCTAAGGCAGGTTCCAATTTCATCCTACAGGATTTCCTCACTACCCAAAGAGGACTCCTCTTATTTTGAGTATGTAGCTGTCTAAGGAATCATTAAGAATGCCAGATATCCAACCACCAGATAGATGGGGCATGACTTTTCTATCTCCATCCAGTAATTTGGTTGAAATTTCTTTCTTTACTTGGGGCTAAATATTCTCACTACACCCTAATTATCCTGTACATTGGCAAACAAGATTCTTTTTCTATCCTCTTTCACACAATTGTAATGTATTATTTCTCTTAAAATATCTGATTTGCTTAATTTAAAAATTCCCAAACAGTATTTTACTGAACTTTCAAACACAAATTGAATATGAGTGAATTGTTCCAAGTTTTCTTTCCACTTTAGGAAATAATGATCTCATCCTTAATTGTACTGCCACAGCCCCAAAGCTGTAAATAATAATGTCTCAATCAAACTAATTAATTAAATAAATCAGGCAAAGTGACCCCAAGGAGAAATATTTAATAAAATATTTGTATTTTTTTGTGAGGAAGTGATTAGGAGGATTTTGTTTGCTATAAGCCTCTATGAGGAAAATGAATGACTGAAAACCAAACTGAGAGATTTAATTTTTTTAATCACCTTAAAAATCTGTCCTGGGTCAATGCAAATTTAGACTCATCTCTTAAAAACCCTTTATATCTCCACTTATGGTCCAATCCAAATTGATGTTCACAATGTTATTCCTTAGCCATTGTGAGAGCCTTAGTCACCTAAGAAAAAAATCAAGTATATTCAGTATATTCTACTCACTAGGGTATAACAGCAGCAATAAACTTCTGGAAAATTCTTAACAATAGTTAAACCATAATTGTCTTCTGATTAACTGTGACTTGACCATACAGTTTGCTTATCCAGAATTGCCTCTTTACCAAATTAAGATTAGTCAAGCTTTTGCCATATGCTTCTTTCTTCTTTAAAATACTTCATATGGTTCTCAAATGTCAAAATCTATTATATTGCTACTTTCTGAAATGTATTTTTGTGTAACCTACCTCGTACAAGAAAAAATTTGATTGTTTAAAAAATTCAAGCAATACAACCAGATAGAATTAGTTTAAAATAGGTTAGAAATCTGAGACATAGATTAATAGGTGTAGGAAAGTTAAGCTGAGACCTGGAGTGAGGTTAACACAAGGCATGATATAGAATTCTTTACTTTTGCTAGTATAAACTATTATTTTTGTCTTTAATCCTTTTAGCTGCCAAGCATTTACTCTGTAATTCTTCATTTCACAGAAAACCAAAAGAGCCATTGTGCTCAAGGGAGTAAGAGCCTACTAATATTAGTTAAAACCAGCTTTCAAAATCCCAACAGGAAAACTGAACAATTTTCCAACAACCTTTACAGATCATAAAATGCCAGAGGCAGAGTGAAGTGGGCAGTGTCTCCAGAAGCCATTCTGTGCAGATCCACAAAGCTACTAGTCTTGGCCCACTAGAGTGCAAGGGGAAGAGGCATAATCACATTACTTTGTCCCCAGATACCATTGACCCTTAGTCTGTGTCTTAGTCTGTTTTCACACTGCTGATAAAGACAAACCCTAGACTGGGCAATTTACAAAAGAAAGATGTTTAATGGATTCACAGTTCCACATGGCTGGGGAGGCCTCACAATCATAGTGGAAGGTGAAAGTCACGTCTCACATGGTGGCGGGCAAGAGAAGAGAGCTTGTCCAGGGAAACTCCCCTTTATAAAACCATCAGATTGACTGGGCATGGTGGCTCATGCCTGTAATCCCAGCACTTTGGGAGGCCAAGGCAGGTGGATCACCTGAGGTCAGGAGTTCAAGACGAGCCTGGTCAATATGGTGAAACCCCATCTCTACTAAAAATACAAATTTAGCTGGGTATGGTGGCACATGCTTGTAATCCCAGCTACTTGGGAGGCTGAGGCAAGAGAATCACTTGAACCTGAGAGGCGGAGGTTGCAGTGAGCCGAGATCATGCCACTGCACTCCAGCCTGGGCAACAAGAGAGAAACTCCATCTCAAAAAATAAAATAAAATAAAACGATCAGATCTCAGGAGACTTATTCACTATCACAAGAATAAGATGGGAAAGACCCACCCCCATGATTTAATTACCTCCCACCAGGTCCCTCCCACGACACATGGGAGTTGTGGGAGCTACAATTCAAGAAGAGATTTGGGTGGGGACACACCCAAACCATATCAGTCTGTCACTGTAAAATATCCTCATTGTAGATTATATTTTATCTATTTTCCATATAGTCTAAAAAGATGACCCTCCCCCCACAAAAAAAACCTAGCCAGCAGAATTCTAGCTAGCACAAAGTGAAAATAATTTTAAAAAATTATATCCATGTAAGTAAACCAGCTTCCTTAATTTTTAGTTTTACTAAGAATATCATAAATATTTAGATTTCCTTACCTGATAAAAAGGATCAGGGGCTCTGGAGGCCAGGGCAAGGCCCTGGTATGGATACCAGAAGGGGCTTCCTAAGAAAGCAACAGGTTAGATCCTGGCAGACAGTCTAAAATCCACCTGCGAACCTGAATGGTGCAACGCAATAGGAGGGAGGCAATTTATGTAGTCAAAGAAGCCAGAGAACAAGGGGAATAGAACTGGAATCATTGAAAGCAGAAGTGCAGTCTTTGGACAACACTTTCTTTATTCATTCCCTAAGGTCATCACTGCTGTGGGCCAGATGACAGCATTTAAAGATAACAAACAAATATGACAGTTATAAGGCTTAAAATGCAACCTAAATGCTGTCTGTCATATAATGGCTTTGGAATATATACCAGGTATCTTGTAAATCATAACTGAAGACATTCAGAACTGAAGAGAGTACTTCACCTAGTCTAAACTTGCTACTGCAGGGTTTCTGCATTTGCCCTCAAATTGTGATCATCTATATCCAAAAAGAGAGTGTTGATGGCTGAATAATGGATATTGGTCTTCCATAAGATGCAGGTGTTGTGATCCTCGCTTAGAATAGAGGAAAAAGATCTTAGGCTCAGTCTGTGTGTGTGTGTGTCGTGTTGAGACAAAGTCTCAAGGCAAGTGCAAGTAAAACTCAAAAAGAGCTTATTACTTTTTGATATGGTTTAGCTCCATGTCCCCACCCAAATCTCATGTTGAATTGTAATCTCCAGTGTTGGGGGAGGGGCCAGCTGGGAGGTGATTGGATCATGGGGGCGGATTTCCCCCTTGCTGTTCTTGTGATAATGAGGAAGTTCTCACTAGTTCCAGTTGTTTAAAAGTGTGGGGCACTTCCCCCTTGGCTCTCTCTCGTGCTCCTCCATGTGAAGAAATGCTTGCTTCCTCTTTGCCTTCCGCCATGGTTATAAGTTTCCTGAGGTGTCCCAGCCATGCTTCCTATATACCCTGCAGAACTGTGAGTCACTTAAAATGCTTTTCTTCATAAATTACCCGGTCTCAGGTAGTTCTTTATAGCAGTGTGAAAATGGACTAATACACTTATACATTTTACCATGTCTGAAACATGGAGATTTTGGAAACCTTTCACATCTAAGAAAATGAAAACACATGTTATACTATCTTTGAATTAGGCATTTAAGGAGAATGGAATAAATAGAATAAGACACTAAAGAAACCACATGAATCGACATACAGCAGAAATCTTTGTGAAAAGCCAGTGATCAAATTTGTACTCAAACTTCAGTTTGGATCATTTATACTTCAGAAATAAAAGGTAGATTCTAGATTCAATGGAATGAGAATTACTATAGAAGGTAGGAGAGTTGAGTTCTACTACAACCTCTGCCATTAATGAGCAGGGTGACCTTGAACAATCCTCTAAATCTCCCTAGGCCTCAGTTTACTCCTCTGAACAGTTAGGAAATTAAGATATAATATCTAAGTTCTGCTGGACCACAAATTGTGTGAGTCTAGTTCAGGTTTGAGAATTTTTGTGGTTGACATAATGGTGAAATGGCTTCCATTATAAGTTTTCTTTTCAGTTGAAGTAAAATCCATGGTAATTTGTTTAGAAAATTGAAGAAGAATATGAATTATGTTAGATGGGAGAATATTGTGAAGTATTTATTCTCTCTAGGTTGAAGTGTGCCTGTCAAACATATCTGGTTATACTGAGTCAATTTTTGCTTTTCTCCATATTGTAAGGGAGGGGAGAGGAATTGCTATTGAGATATGAGATATTACACTATAATGGAGCCAATTCAGTTCAATATGACGGAAGAAAGAAAAACATTTACAAATTAGAGCCAACATCACATACACATATCCAGCAAGTCAGAGTGGTCCCACAGAATATAATAATTATCATCTCATAATGGTCTGGGTTACATATTAAGTCAGCTTCATACTCACACTTGGTTTATATAATTCAATTCAGTTAACGTTTTTTAGCACCTTCTATGTGCATATCCCTATCCTAGGCACTGTGGGGAAGGCAAAAATGCACAAGATATGGCACTTCTAACAAAGATTCTTTGTTTGACCAAGCTTTAGCCAGGTTTCTGAACCTTCTCCTAGGCCCATCTGTGCACTTCCTTATAAAATTTAGTTCTGGCAAAGAACCCTCCTAAGTCAGTTTATCAAAAACCCTCCATGCTAAATATCTGATCATCTTTGATATTTGATTGGATTCTTCATCCTCCATCATTCCCTGGGTGATATCTGATTACCCTGGTCTGTCTTCATCAAGAATCCTGTTAGGTCAGTTTAGCCAGAATCCCTTCTACCCCTGATATATCCTTTTATTAATTTTCCATCAATTGACCCCCACCCTGCTCCTTGACTATAAATTCTCACTTGCCCATGCTGTATTCAGAATTCAGTCCAACCTTTCTCTCCCACTGCAAGACCCCATTGCAGTGGTCCCTATACCTGGTGGTATAGGGATCACTAAATAAAGTGAATAAAATCTGCCACTTGAATAAAGTCAGCCTCAACATCTTTAACGAGTGGTATGAATATTTTTTTTCTCTAACTCTTCCCACCAAGACCTCATAGAATAGGAGAAATTTGGAAGTAGGTTGTAGGAAAATGAGAAATACATATAAAATGCTAAGGCAAGATATGCTAATGAATACTATCAGCAAAGTGCAAAGTTAAGGAGAGATTCCACCTTGGAGAAAGTAGAAAGGATTTTGCAATTGTTGGTGTCAGTTCTCGATGTTGAAATTTGGGTAGGACTCCAACAGTGGGGCCAGGGTGGAGATGGAGGAAGCCATTTCAAGGCAGCAGAAGCAAACTCTTAACAAGGGAGGAAAATGAAAGGTGTGTGTCTTAGTCTATTTGTGCTGCTATAATAATTCTGAGACTAAGTAATTTATAAAGAACAAAAATGTATTTCTCACAGTTCTGGAGGCTAGGAAGTCCAAGAGCAAGGCACAGGCAGATTTGGAGTCTGGTGAGGACTGCTCTCTGCTTCCAAGATGGCAGCTTTTTGCTGCATCCTCACATGGAGGAAGAAGGCAAAAAGGGATGAACTCTGCGTCCTCACATGGCAGAAAAGATGGAGGAGCCAGATGTTCTCTTAAGCCTCTTTTATCAGGTCTTTGATCCAATTCATGAGATTGGAGCTCTCTTGACTTAACCACTTCCCAAAAGTCCCCACATCTGAATATCACCACAATGGGGATTATTAAGTTTCAACATGAATTTTGGAGGTACACAAACATTCAAATTGTAGCAGTTTGTCAAGAGAACAGTGACGTAATACATCATGATGTTTATTAGATAATCATGTGATTGCCATTCTAACTAACTTTGTTTGTAAAAGACTTAACCAATGGTCTTAAAACTTACCCAAAAATATCAGTAAAGTCTTAAATAATTAATTGTAAGTCTTATAGTAAGGCCACGAAAGACTCAGTGTTTCACATATATATGTTCATCGTTTTAAAGAACATTAACTTATCAATTGCAGAATTTTGTTTCTGTGAATTTTTAGTTACCTCGGTGAATGTCCCTCAGAAAAAAATCACAAAGCTGTTAAATTAATCCCTTTTACAGAACAATGACATTTTAGCTCCTTCATTTACGTGTGGTTAAATTGGCAATTGCAGTGTGTATTATTTGCACTTAATAGTTATAGTAGCTAGTTTTTCATGAAATAATCAATTTATATACAGAGGACTAAATTGGTTTTGCAGTCCAGAAGTACTGCAGTAAACAAATAAAGCAAAATGAAATTTGATTATAATAAATCTGATAAGGTAGATGGCATATATAATAAAACTCATGGCTCTTCATAGATAAGGAATCCCTAATATAGATGTGTCAAATAAAATGTTAATTATTCCATCAAAGAATTATATAATATCTCATCTTTAGTGAAAAAGACTGGAAGACTACAAAATTGTTTCACTGAAAAATTAAATAATATTATCTTTTTTGTAAAAAGTTAAGCCAAGAATCTTAATAAATTCTTGCCTATTTCTTCAGAAAAAAGGTATATTATTTTTAAATGGCCCAATACAGAACATTTTACATAGATGAAATAAGTATAGTGGAAATATTTGAGATTCATTCATATTTCCAAATTACATAATTATGAAGTGAATTAACTTATGTAATATATTTTCCAGTATGATAGATCAAAACTATGTCATTGTAGGGATCAAAAAATTGACTTGAAAAGATGAATTACTCTTCTGGTTTCCATTCTAAATGAACATAAATTTGGACAAGATTAAGATTTGAATATCGGAGAGTATTTGTAGAGATTTCATTCCTGAATGTCATGTTTTGTTCTTGTTGTTGAAATTAATTTGGTACGCAGAAAATTTTTTTCTGTGGTTCCATTTTTGTTCGTTTATATCTGAATTTTTCCTGAAAATTATTTATAGTGATTTTGAAAGATGCATAAAATATTGCAAGATAAAGTAAAAATTGATGAGGAAAATGAAGCAGAGAAAATAAAGAAAGGAAAGCAATATGAAGCCTGAGTGAGGTTTGTGTACGCAATACATGGCATGAAGTCTCATACTGTCACTTGAGCATGCCATACATTTGTCTGTAGTGCTTCCAAGTAGTTAGTATACAGAGTGGATGATGTGTCAGAGAGTCCTGTGGCCAATCATATTTCCCAAAAATGGACACACCAATATTTTCAGTCCCTCATGCTTCTCCAGAATCTTGCTACTCCCATTCAAGAGGTAGAATCTATTTCCCTTCCTCTTGAACCTAGGAAATGACTTGGGCTGCCTCGACAAGTAGAAAGCAATAGAAGTGATGCTATGTGATATCCACAGCCAGGCCATAAAAGATGATACAGCTTCTAATTAGTTCCCCTCCTCTCCCTTCCCCTCCCCTCCCCTCCCCTCCCCTCCCCTCCTCTCCTCTCCTCTCCTCCACAGCCAGGCCATAAAAGATGATACAGCTTCTAATTCCCTCCCCTCCCCTCCCCTCCCCTCCGCTCCCCTCCCCTCCCCTCCTCTCCTCTCCTCTCCTCCACAGCCAGGCCATAAAAGATGATACAGCTTCTAATTCCCTCCCCTCCCCTCCCCTCCCCTCCCCTCCGCTACCCTCCTCTCCTCTCTGGAGGTGCTCATGCTTGGAATCCAGCCACCACGTATGAAGATCCCAGAACACATGGAGAAGCCACATGTGAGTGTTCCAGCTGACAGCTCCAGATAAGGGCTCAGCCAAAGCCAGCATCAGACACATGAGGGAATTAACATATTGAAGATTCCTTCCTCCAGCCTTTGAATCTTCCAGTAGAGACACCAGATATTGTGGAGCTGGGACAGGCCACCCCACAGTTTCCTGTTGGAATTCCTGGCCCGCACAAGTAATGAGCAAAATAAATAATCATTTTATGCACTAAGTTTTAAGATAATTTATTATATTATGTAACCATAGCAACTGCGATAGTCCCTAAGAGAAAAACAAATCTGCAGATGCTCAGCCATTCCCAGTTCTGAGAGACTACAGACAAATTTCTCTTATAGGTTTTCATTGAGAAAACACCGTGAAATAATGAACAAGGTTCTCAACAATATTTGTACAACAACATGGTCTTGGTTTCCTGGGTCTCACCTTATAATGACTCTATGAGGAGGCTGATTGCATCAGGGCAAAGGGCAGGGTGGCCAGAACAAATATCGGAAGAGTGCATAAATGCAGTTCACATTTATGGTTCTTTGCTGCTCTGACCTGCTGCAAAGATAGGTTGTAGTAGGCGGAAGATGCATTCTTAGACACAGTTCAAAGACACCATTAATAGTGATTATTATAGAGGGGTGGTACTGCGGGCTAGGGGAGGTAGAATAAGAGTAAGACAACAGGAAACTTTTACTTCCTACTCTTTATTGGTAGTTGAAAAATTTACCCTAATCACATCCTTATTATTTTTTAAATTATACTGTAAGTTCTAGGGTACATGTGGACAGCGTGCAGGTTTGTTACACAGGTATACATGTACCATGTTGGTTTGCTGCAGCCATCAACTCGTCGTTTACATTAGGTATTTCTCTTAATGCTATCCCTCCCCCAGCCTCCACCCCTTGACAGGACCTGGTGTGTGATGTTTCCCACCCTGTGCCCAAGTGTTCTCATTGTTCAAATCCCACCTATGAGTGAGAACATATGATGTTTGGCTGTCTGTTCTTGTGCTATTTTGCTGAGAATTATGGTTTCCAGCTTCATCCATGTCCCTGCAAAGGACATGAACTCATCCTTTTTTATGGCTGCATAGTATTCCATGGTGTATATGTGTCACATTTTCTTAATCCAGTCTATCATTGATGGACATTTTGGTTGATTCCAAGTCTTTGCTATTGTGAATATTGCCACAGTAAACATACGTGTGCTTGTGTCTTTATAGTAAAATTATTTATAATCCTTTGTGTATATGCCCAGTAATGGGATTGCTGGGTCAAATGGTATTTCTGGTTCTAGAACCTTGAGGAATTGCCACACTGTCTTCTTCAATGGTTGAACTAATTTATACTCCCACCAATGGTGTAAAAGCGTTCCTATTTCTCCACATCCTCTCCAGCATCTGTTGTTTCCTGACTTTTTAATGATCGCCATTCTAACCGCCATGAGATGGTATCTCATTGTGGTTTTGATTTGCATTTCTCTGATGACCAGTAATCATGAGCATTTTTTCATGTGTCTGTAGGCTGCATGAATGTCTTCTTCTGAGTAGTGTCTGTTCATATCCTTTACCCACTTTTTGATGAGGTTATTTGTTTTTTTCTTGTAAATTTGTTTGAGTTCTTTGTAGATTCTGGATATTAGCCCTTTGTCAGATGGATAGATTGCAAGAATTTTCTCCCATTCTGTAGGTTGCCTGTTCACGCTGATAGTAGTTTCTTTTGCCATGCAGAAGCTTTTTAGTTTAATTAGATCCCATTTGTCAATTTTGACTATTGTTGCCATTGCTTTTGGTGTTTTAATCATGAAGTCCTTGCCCATGCCCATGTCCTGAATGGTATTTCCTAGGTTTTCTTCTAGGGTTTTTGCGGTCTAACATTGAAATCTTTAATCCATCTTGAATTAATTTTTGTTTAAGGTGTAAGGAAGGGATCCAGTTCAGCTTTCTACATATGGCTAGCCAGTTTTCCCAGCACCATTTATTAAGTAGGGAATCCTTTCCCCATTTCTTGTTTTTGTCAGGTTTGTCAAAGATCAGATGGTTGTAGATATGTGGTGTTATTTCTGAGGCCTCGGTTCTGTTCCATTGGTCTATACACCTGTTTGGGTACCAGTACCATGCTGTTTTGGTTACTGTAGCCATATATTACAGTTTGAAGTCAGGTAGTGTGAGGCCTCCAGCTTTGTTATTTTGGCTTAGGATTGTCATGGCTATGTGGGCTCTTTTTTGGTTCCATATGAACTTTAAAGTAGTTTTTTCCAATTCTGTGAAGAAAGTCAGTGGTAGCTTGATGGGGATGCAATGACTCTATAAATTACCTTGGGCAGTATGGCCATTTTCATGATATTGATTCTTCCTGCCCATGAGCATGGAATGTTCTTCCATTTGTGTCCTCTTTTATTTTGTTGAGCAGTGGTTTGTAGTTCTCCTTGAAGTGATCCTTCACATCCTTTGTAAGTTGGATTTGTAGGTATTTTATTCTCTTGGTAGTAATTGTGAAGGGGAGTTCACTCATGATTTGGCTCTCTGTTTGTCTGTTCTTGATGTATAGGAATGCTTGTGATTTTTGCACATTGATTTTGTATCCTGAGACTTTGCTGAAGTTGCCTATCAGCTTAAGGAGATTTGGGGCTGAGACGATGGGGTTTTCTAAATATACAATCATGTCATCTGCAAACAGGGACAATTTGACTTCTTCTGTTCCTAGTTGAATACTCTTTATTTCTTTCTCTTGCCTGATTGCCCTGGCCAGAACTTCCAACACTATGTTGAATAGGAGTGATGAGAGAGGGCATTCTTGTCTTGTTCCAGTTTTCAAAGGGAATGCTTCCAGGTTTTGCCCATTCAGTATGATATTGGCTGTGGGTCTGTCATAAATAGCTCTTATTATTTTGAAATACATTCCATCAATACCTAGTTTATTGAGAGTTTTTAGCATGAAGGGCTGTTGAATTTTGTCAAAGGCCTTTTCTGCATCTGTTCAGATAATCATGTGGTTTTTGTCGTTGGTTCTCTTTATGTGCTGGATTACATTTATTGATTTCCGTATATTGAACCAGCCTTGCATCCCAGGGATGAGGCCGACTTGATCGTCGTGGATAAGCTTTTTGATGGACTGCTGGATTTGGTTTTCCAGTATTTTATTGAGGATTTTTGCATCGATATTCATCAGGGATATTGGTCTAAAATTCTCTTTTTTTGTTGTGTCTCTGCCAGACTTTGATATCAGGATGATGCTGGCCTCATAAAATGAGTTAGGGAGTATTCCCTCTTTTTCTATTCATTGCAATAGTTTCAGAAGGAATGGTACCAGCTCCTCTTTGTACCTCTGGTAGAATTCTGCTGTGAATCCATCTGGTCCTGGAATTTTTTTGATTGGTATGCTATTAATTATTGCCTCAATTTTAGAGCCTGTTATTAGTCTATTCAGAGATTCAACTTCTTCCTGGTTTAGTCTTGGGAGGGTGTATGTGTCCAGGAATTTATCCATTTCTTCTAGATTTTCTAGTTTATTTGCGTAGAGGTGTTTATAGTATTCTCTGATTGTAGTTTGTATTTCTGTGGGATTGGAGGTGATATCCCCTTTATCATTTTTTATTGCATCTATTTGATTCTTCTCTCTTTTCTTCTTTATTAGTCTTGCTAGTGGTCTATCAATTTTGTTGATCTTTTCAAAAAACCGGCTCCTGGATTCATTGATTTTTGAAGGGTTTTTTGTGTCTCTTATCTCCTTCAGTTCTGCTCTGATCTTAGTTATTTCTTGCCTTCTGCCAGCTTTTGAATGTGTTTGCTCTTGCTTCTCTAGTTCTTTTAATTGTGATGTTAGGGTGTCGATTTTAGATCTTTCTTGCTTTCTCTTGTGGGCATTTAGTGCTATAAATTTCACTCTACACACTGCTTTAAATGTGTTCCTGAGATTCTGGTACATTGTGTCTTTGTTCTCGTTGGTTTCAAAGAATATCTTTATTTCTGCCTTCATTTGGTTATTTGCCCAGTAGTTATTCAGGAGCAGGTTGTTCAGGTTCCATGTAGTTGTGCAGCTTTGAATGAGTTTCTTAATCCTGAGTTCTAATTTGATTGGATTTGGTCTGAGAGATAGTTTGTTGTGATTTCTGTTCTTTTACATTTGCTGAGGAGTGCTTTACTTCCAATTATGTGGTCAATTTTAGAATATGTGTGATGTGGTGCTGAGAAGAATGTATATCCTGTTGATTTGGGGTGGAGAGTTCTGTAGATGTCTATTAGGTCTGCTTGGTGCAGAGCTGAGTTCAAGTCCTGGATATCCTTATTAACCTTCTGTCTCATTGATCTGTCTAATATTGACAATGGGGTGTTAAACTCTCCCATTATTATTGTGTGGGAGTCTAAGTCTCTTTGTAGGTCTCCAAGTACTTGCTTTATTAATCTGGGTGCTTCTGTATTGGGTGCATATATATTTATGATAGTTAGCTCTTCTTGTTGAATTGATCCCTTTACCATTATGTAATGGCCTTATTTGTCTCTTTTGATCTTTGTTGGTTTAAAGTCTGTTTTATCAGAGACTAGGATTACAACCCCTACTTTTTTGCTTTCCATTTGCTTGGTAGATCTTCCTCCATCCTTTTATTTTGAGCCTATGTGTGTCTCTGCATGTGAGATGGGTCTCCCAAATACAGCACACTGATGGGTCTTGACTCTATCCAATTTGTCGGTCTGTGTCTTTTAATTGGGGCATTTAGCCCATTTACATTGAAGGTTAATATTGTTATGTGTGAATTTAATCCTGTCATTATGATGTTAGCTGGTTATTTTGTCCATTAATTGATGCAGTTTCTTCATAGCTTTGATGGTCTTTATGATTTGGCATGTTTTCGCAGTGGCTGGTACCGGTTGTTCCTTTCCATGTTTATTTCTTCCTTCAGGAGCTCTTGTAAGGCAGGCCTGGTGGTGACAAAATCTCTCAGCATTTGCTTGTCTGTAAAGGATTTTATTTCTCCTTCACTTATGAAGCTTAGTTTGGCTGGATATGAGATTCTGGGTTGAAAATTCTTTTCTTTAAGATTGTTGAATATTGGCCCCCACTCTCTTCTGGCTTGTAAGGTTTCTGCTGAGAGATCCATTGTTAGTCTGATGGGCTTCCCTTTGTGGGTAACCCAATCTTTCTCTCTGGCTGCCCTTAACATTTTTTCCTTCATTTCAACCTTGGTGAATCTGACAATTATGTGTCTTGGGGTTGCTCTTCTCAAGGCGTATCTTTGTGATGTTCTCTGTATTTCCTGAATTTGAATGCTGGCCTGCCTTACTAGATTGGGGAAGTTCTCCTGGATAATATCCTGAAGAGTGTTTTCCAACTTGGTTCCATTCTCCCCATCACTTTCAGGTACACCAATCAAATGTTGATTTGGTCTTTTCACATAGTCCCATATTTCTTAGAAGTTTTGTTTGTTTCTTTTTCCTCTTTTTTCTCTAAACTTGTCTTCTTGCTTTATTTCATTAATTTGATCTTCAATCACTGATATCCTTCCTTCCACTTGATCAAATCAGCTATTGAAGCCTGTGCTTGCATCACAAATTTCTCACACCATGGTTTTCAGCTCCATCAGGTCATTTAAGGTCTTCTGTACACTGTTTATTCTAGTTAGCCATTCATCTACCCTCTTTTCAAGGTTTTTAACTTCCTTGTGATGGCTTAGAACATGTTCCTTTAGCACGGAGAAGTTTGTTATTACTGACCTTTTAAAGCCTATTTCAGTCAACTCGTCAAAGTCATTCTCCATCCAGCTTTGTTCTGTTGCTGGCGAGGAGCTGTGATCCTTTGGAAGAGAAGAGGCACTCTGGTTTTTAGAATTTTCAGCTTTTCTGCTCTGGTTCCTTCCCATCTTTGTGGTTTTATCTACCTTTGGTCTTTGATATTGGTGACCTACAGATGGGGTTTTGGTGTGGATGTCCTTTTTGTTGATGTTGATGCTATTCCTTTCTGTTTGTTGGTTTTCCTTCTAACAGTCAGGTCCCTCCACTACAGGTCTGTTGGAGTTTCCTGGAGGTCCACTCCAGACCGTGTTTGCCTGAGTATCACCAGTGAAGACTGCAGAACAGCAAATATTGCAGAACAGCAAATATTGCTGCCTGATCCTTCCTCTGGAAGCCTTGTCCCAGAGGGGCACCTGCCTGTATGAGGTGTTGGTCAGTCCCTACTGGGAGGTGTCTCCCAGTTAGGCTACACGGGGGTCAGGGACCCACTTGAGGAGGCAATCTTTACATTATCAGAGCTCAAACGCCATGCTGGGAGAACCACTGCTCTCTTCAGAGCTGTTGGTCTGCAGAAGTTTCTGCTGCCTTTTGTTCAGCTATGCCCTGCCCACAGAGGTGGACTCTATAGAGGCAGTAGGCCTTGCTGAGCTGTGGTGGGCTCCACCTAGTTCAAGCTTCCCGACTGCTTTACCTATTCTAGCCTCAGCAATGGTGGACACCCCTCCCCTGCCAGGCTGCTACCTTGCAGGTTGATCTCAGACTGCTGTGCTAGCAGTGAGCAAGGCTCCGTGGGCGTGGGACCCACTGATCCAGGCATGGGAGAGAATCTCCTGGTCTGCCGGTTGCTAGGACTGTGGGAAAAGTGCAGTATTTGGGCAGAAGTGTCCCATTTTTCCAGGTGCAGTCACTCACGGCTTTCCTTGGCTAGGAAAGGGAAATCCCCATACCCCTTGCGCTTCCTGGGTAAGGTGACGACCCACCCTGCTTCAGTTTGCCCTCTGTGTGCTGCACCCACTGTCCAACCAGTCCCATTGAGATGAACCAGGTACCTCAGTTGGAAATGCAGAAATTACCCATCTTCTGCGTTGATCATGCTGGGAGCTGCAGACCAAAGCTATTCCCATTCATCCATCTTAGAACATATCCCATATCCTTATTTTTTAAAAAATGTTTTACAAGTCAGTGAGGCTTTGAGCCTTATGTGAGGAATTTTCAGTCTTCCAAATGTGGGTTTTTTTTTTAAACCTAATATATTTTGCCCTTATCATGTTCTCTCCCAGGTATAGGTTTTAGGGATGGATATAAACTTTTTTTCCCTTAGTTGTCATAACCACCAGCAATTCATCTTTTTAGTTGACCCTTATTGCTTATGTAGTGCTAAATTAATTACCACTATCCTTTAGTTACTGAATTCTGAGAGCTGGCATATGTGTGATGACCAGGGAGTAAATGGAGCATGTGGAGTTCCAATTGGTTGAATTCCCTGATGTTCCAATTAGTCAGAATCTCAGTCGGTGATGCATCTTCCCAAGTGAGCAGGTTGCGGTAACAACACTTCCGGTGACATGATGATGAGTTCATTTTCTATTTTACATAACACATAAGAGTGTTCATTTTTTCTAAGTAGCTGACAATGTCTAGTTGCACAGATCCTGAAGATTAATAACAAACTAGTAGGGACTATCTCTTCACATATATTTTATAATATATATACTTATGTGACTGAGACAGATGCATGCCTTTATCAGACCCTGGCCCAGGCAATGCCTTCAGAGGTGGCCTAACTTGCCTTATGGCACATGTGAACTCCACGTCTATCTGGCTATACTTCATAAACATCCCTTCTCTCAGCAGAACTTTTGACTCATAGGAAGTTTGAAATTATACTCCTTGAAAAGTTACATGAAGTGCAGTACTTTATGTTGCTGGTTAAGTTCAGAGCCTAGATTAAGGCAGGCTTGGCTTCTTAGGGAAACTGGGATGGGATGAATCGGAATTCCAACCATGTGACTTGCCACTCCAAATGCCTGTTGCTTTTAGTGGCATACCATGACCCAGGTTAAATCATGGTAACTATGTAGTAAAGAATTTTTGCCTTGTCCAAAGAGAGGTCTAGCTTTGCCCTTGGCCCCTACAAGTAATCTCTAAAGCCCTGGAATGTCCTACCCGATTTTTAAAAAGTGTTTTTGTTTATATGGGGGATTTGAGTCACTACAACAATGTGATGTAGGCGGGGGCTTTGGATGGTATCAGCTTGAACTCTCAAGGGGCTGGAGACATGTTTGGAACTTTTCTGAACTCTGTTCTATGAGCTTCTTGTTTTGGTTGATTTTGTTCTGTAACCATTAGTTCTAATAATGAACAGCAAATATAACAGCTATATTATTCCATTCTCATGCTGCTGATAAAGACATACCCAAATGTGGCAATTTACAAAAGAGAGAGGTTTAATGGACTTAGAGTTCCACATGGCTGGGGAGGCCTCACAATCATGGCAGAAGGCAAGGAGGAGCAAGTCACATCTTACATGGATGGCAGCAGGCAAAAAATGAGGTTATGCAGGGGAACTCTTCTTTTTAAAACCATCAGATCTTGTTTGACTGATTCACAATCGTGACAACAGTACATGAAAGACCGGCCACCATGATTCAATTATCTCCTACTGGGTCCCTCCCACAACAAGTGGGAATTCAAGATGAGATTTGGGTGGGGACACAGCCAAGCCATATCAACAGCTTTCAGTGAGTTCTATGAGTACTTCTACCAAATTATTGAACCCAGGGACAATTTTGGACCCCCAAATTTGCAATTGGTGTCACAGTGAGGACAGTTTTGTGGTCTGTGCTCCTTCTAATATCACAATAACAGGGAAGTCTGTGAGCTATTGAATAATATTGCTGGCTCTGGCATGAGCTAGGCAAATAATAAGGATTATTGAGAATTACAGGGAAAATAAAATTGGGGTAGGACAATGGACCCATGTGAGTAGTTCCTCAATCAGAATTGATGGGACTTTCTGAAACTGAGTGGGAGGTTTAAACAATCAGGTTAAACAGCAGGCAGCCAGACAGAACCCATGATAGGGAGGGAGGGTCTTGTGAAGGGACCCACCTACCTGCTGGAAGAAAAATGTCTACATTAGAGATTTGGTCTCAGGTCTTGAGGAGATTTTAGGTGCTCTAATCGCCTTCCATAGGCTGACAAATGATTGAAGAAGACCAGTTCCCAATGTTTCAATGATTTTCCTGGGAAAGGCCCAGGCACAAGTGTTAGACTTGCCTTTCTTTTGCTTTATACCCTACTGTTCTAAGAAGGTCTGAGGGACCAAGTCTAAGTTCTGGTTAGTTTAGAAAACCTCCCAGCCAGGTAGAACTGAGCCACTTATGCAGATTTAACACTCATTCAAGGCAATTTCTCCTTGACCTTCATAAGGAGAAGAAACCGAGGAAGCCACATACTAAGATCATCTATTATAACCCTGTCACTGAAGGACATGAGCAATCTGGAATCAGGCCACTGTGAAAATGATGCTAAGAGTCAGGAACACCTCTGTAGTACCTGAACTGGCCATCCAAACCCATCTTCCAAATCTATCCAGACTAAAAAATCACATGATTAGTTACCAAGTACGGACTAGAGGCTGTGCATGGAGGAATGACCTCTCACTTGGCCATGTGACCTTGCATTCTGGCTCATGACATTATTAACACAATTTGCCCAAACTTCAGTGACTAGGTATCAGGGACTGGGGTTTTAAAATATGGAATCCAGGTGACTGAGAACAGAAACCCATCTAGATAGAGATTTACACCTGTGGGTCTCCTGAGAGTTAGTGGAGGCATTTTGGAGAACCTACTTTGAATGTGGTAGGAACTCCATAGAACAATGCTTCTGGAACTGTGGTCCCTGACTAGCAGCATCAGCATCAGTGGAAACTGGTTAGAAATCCAAACTCCCAGGCCCTACCCAGACCGGCTGAATGAGAAACTCTGGGGGTAGGGCCCAGTTTCTGCATTTTAGCAAGCCCTCCCTCCAGGTGATTCTGATGTGTGCTCAAGTTTGCGAACCACTGCCATTAGGAGAATGAGAGAGCTACTGCCAGAATTAAGGGAAGAGGGTGGAACGACTGTACCACCGTCACCACATTTGTATTTATATCACTGACCATTAAAGGCTACTTAAAAACTGAAGTGTAGGCCAGGCGTGGTGGCTCACGCCTGTAATCCCAGCACTTTGGGAGGCCGAGGTGGGCGGATCACGATGTCAGGAGATCGAGACCATCCTGGCTAACATGGTGAAACCCTGTCTCTACTAAAAATACAAAAAAAAAAAAAAAAAATTAGCCAGGCATGGTGGCAGGCACCTGTAGTCCCAGCTACTTGGGAGGCTGAGGCAGGACAATGGCGTGAATATGGGAGGCAGAGCTTGCAGTGAGCCAAGATTGTGCCACTGCACTCCAGCCTGGGTGACACAGCGAGACTCCATCTCAGAAAACAACAACAACAACAACAACAACAAAACAAAAAACACACACACACACACAAAACTGAAGTGTAAGAGAATAGGAAGGAAAATTTTTAAATAAGATAATAAAGGGAGGAGATAAATTTAACAGAAGAATAAAACAAGGTATTGAGGACAAAGAAAAGGAAAGGGAAAGAAAAAAGTAAACTTTAAAAAAAATAAATAAAAGACAGTACTGTGGTTTGGACTGGTTCGTTTGTCTCCACCAAATCATGTTGAAATTTAATCTCCATTGTGGTGGTATTGGGAGGTAGGGCCTAGTGGGAGGTGTTTGGGTCATGGAGGGCAGATACCTCATAAAGGGCTTGTTGTGAGTGGGTTCTGGCTCTTGAGAGACTGGATCAGTTCTTGGAGATATGAATTGGTTCCAGAGAGAATAGGTTGTTATAAAGCCAGGACACCCCTTGGATTTGGTACCTCTTGACACATGCCTGCTTCCCATCTGATCTTCTCTGCCATGATGTGATGCAGCACAGAAGCCATCCTCAGAAGCTGAGAAGATGCCGGCACACTGCTTCTTATACAGCCGACAGAACCACCAACTAAATAAACCTCTTTTCCTTATGAATTACCCAGCCTCAGGTATTCCTTTATAGCAACACAAAACAAACTAAGATTGGAAGCAGGAAACTTAAACTGGAGAGATACAGGCACGTTAAGTGAGGCTGTACAGCTAGATCTTAAAAATGTGTGCAAGATTTAGGTAGGCCTATGCTTATATTGTAGCTCCAGCACTCATTAGTTAAATGATCTCTCTAGCCTTAGTTTCCTAATCTGTAAAATGAAGTGACTACCTGGCCATATTGTTGTGAGGATTCAATGATATAATACGTTTGAAGGGCTTAGCACATTAAAAGACTGACACATAGTAACTATGGAATAAATAATAGCTGTTTTTTATTAGAAATACAAAAAAATTGTAAATAATCAGCCTCCATTATGAAGCTATGACAGATTCTGATGTATATCAGAGTACATTTGCAATGAAACAAGTAAAAAGAAGTGGAGATCAGGGCAAAAGGAAAGACAAGAAGAAAGGGAACTAGAGGAAAAAAAAAAAGAAACCCATCTGAGATGAGTGATTAGGTAACATGGGACCCTAATAAAGTCTTGAGTGGAGTTGTCTTTCAGAGTCCTGGCTCCTAACACCCAGGCCTTGATCCAGACCCTTTTACTGAGTGCATCGGGGGAGACATACAACATCTCTTTCGCTGTGTTTTGCCTCAGGCCCATCCAAAAACACAGGGACATTTCAGACAATTCGTCTATACCCACTCCACTCTGGGCCTTCCCTTCTTAGTTCTGCCTACTCTGGAGGAGCGGTTGCTGGTCTGATTGGTCAGAGACCAGTACATCGTTGGGACTACGATTACCAGTCCCACAGAGACTCTGCCTCCTCTGCTCTTTTCATCCTGCTTCCAGCTTTCAGAGGGGCATCTGACCTGGTGGGAGCTGGCTTCTGATCCAGCAAGCCAGCTCCTCACTCTCCCTTCAGGGTCCAGGCAGCCACATGGGTAAGTGGGCATAGGACTTTCTTGGAATGCAGCCGGCTTAGTCTCCCTTACTCCCTGCCTCTCTCTTAAGCTACACTTCTCCTCAAGGTCCCTGCTTTACATGATTCAAGTGAGGGCCCCTTCTCAAAAATGTTAATCTAGCTGTTTGCTAGAGCCCAGCTCTGGAATATCAGCGGTTACCCAGGTATTAATACATATGTGTTTTGTCCTGCTTTTGTTTCCTGTGTGTGTGTCCTTCCCTTGGGAATATGAAAAGAAGGCAGGAGTCAGGCTTTTATGGGTACCTGGCTTAATACTGGCAAAACTTCACCCTGGCAACAGAGATTGGCCTCTGTTGTGTGCTTGGGTCTGTCAAGGAAGGTCCTATCCACTTCAATAAATAGATCTCCACTTTTGTGAAGCCTGGGAACCAAGGAAGCAGCAATCTGTCAGCCCGTGCCTGTGAACTTGGGTCATTCATGGGCTTAGCCTTTAGACTTTTATTTTTAATACTTACAGAATGTTCTATATGGTAGTTAATTATTTGAATGTTTCCAATTATTTGAATGTTTCATTCATTCACAAGACATTTATGTAGTGCCTACTAAAGGCACGTAGGTGGGCACACTAATGTGCCATCACTGTACTGGGTTGGGGACAGGAAAACAGAATCATAGAGGGTCCTTATGTGAAAGTGTCTATTTTGAGTAGGTATAATTCATTCATAGTGTCCTTTAAGTGGCATGGGGAGCGGGAGAAGTTTAACAAGGCAATTAATTTCTAATTGTGAATCTGGAATTACTAGGAAGTTGTGACCTATGGGCCAGGTGTGACAATATCATTTCATTTCATCTGGCTCCCAGCAGGCTGAGCAAATGCCATGATAGCATTTTTATTTATGCCTTTACTCTGGGTATAAAAGGAACCACAGTCATGCAGTCCTCAAGGCAAAGTTCTGTGTGACGTCCTGTGGATCCATTTACATACATGAGTGTCTGTGACTATATTCTCTCTCCCCAACATCCCTTCATACTCCATTTCTACTTCTTTATTTCTCTATCCCAGTGCTGTCCAATAGCAGTTGATATGGTTTGGCTGCATCCCCAAAATCTCATCTTGAATTGTAATCCCCATAATCCCCATGTGTCAAAGGAGAGACCAGGTGGAGGTAATTGAATCATGGGGGCCATTTCCCCACACCGTTCTCGTGATAGTGAGTGAGTTCTCACAAGATCTGATGGTTCTGTAAGTGTTTGGTAGTTCCTTCTGCATTCATTCTTCTTCCTGCTGCCTTGTGAAAAAGGTGCCTTGCTTACTCTTTGCCTTCCGCCATAATTGTAAGTTTCCTGAGGCCTCCCTAGTCATGCTGAAATGTGCGTCAATTAAACCTCTTTCCTTTATAAATTTCCCAGTCTGGGGCAGTTCTTTATAGCAGTGTGAAAATGGACTAATACAGCACTACAATGCAAGCCATTTGTGAATTTTACATTTTCTAGTAGTCAGATTGAAAAGTAATGACACAGGTAAAATTAATTTTAATAATAGATTTTATTTACTCCAATACATCCAAAATATTATTTCAATATATCAATACAAAAATTAACAATGAGGTATTTTACAGTCTTTATATAAGACTTTAAAATCCTATCTGCATTTCACACTTCCAGCACATAGCAGTTTAAACTAGCTACAGCATTGCAAGTGATCAACAGCCACATATGGCTGACTACTGGCTACCCTACTGGACAGCAAAGCTTTAGCTCCTTGTATGAGGCGGGGTTCTCCAGAGACAAAGAACCATTAGGATGGATGGATGGAGAGAGAGAGAGAGACAGAGACAGAGAGGTAAGAGATTATGGGAATTGGCTTATATGATTATGGAGGCCATGAACTCCCAAGATATGCCATCTGCAAGCTGGAGAACCAGGAAAGCAGGTGGTATAATTCTTTCTGAGTCTGAAGGCCTGAGAACTAGGGGAGCTGATGGCGTAACACCCAGTCTGAGGTCAAAGACCTGGTTGGGGGAATTGGGGGGTGGGAAGCGTTGCATAAATCCTAGAGTCCAAAGGTCCTAGAACCAGGATGTCCAAGGGCAGGGGGAAATGGATGTCCTAGCTCAAACAGAGAAAGTAAGAGAGAGAATTTACCCTTTCTCTATGTTTTTGCTCTGTTTGGGCCCTCAGTGGATTGGATAATCTCTGCCCATATTGGTGAGGGCAGATCTACTTTCCTCGCTGTACTGATTCAAATCTAATCTTTTCCAGAAACACTGTTGAAGACACATCCAGAAATAATGTTTTACTAGTTACCTGGGCATCCCTTAACCCAGTCAACTTAACACATAAAATTAAGCATCTCATTCCTTCTCTCTTAAGCTTTTTGCCCTATTGCCATCCCCAATTATATCTCTGCCATTCAGCCTCCTCTCATATAACTCATATATCTTTGTCTATAACTGTGAAAACTGTAAAAAAGGTATAGTTTGTATCACTTTTGTCAAAAATGTAAGGTTGCATGCTGTCAAAAAGAACTAGAGTTGGACAATAGTTAAAATTGTAAAAACAGATATTATTTAGAAACTATTGCAATAGGAGAAAAGAGACATCAGTAAAGAACTGGGCTCAATGCCAAATACAGCATGGATAAGTGAGGATTTTCAGCTATGGAACAGGGCGGGAAGTCAGTGGATGAAAAATTATGAAGAGGAAACATCAGGGGTAGAAGGATTCTTACTAAACCGACCTAAGATTATTGCAAAAGGCAAGCCAAGGCCATCAGATATCTAGGGTGCGGAATGAGGAATTTGATGAGATATTGAGAGTGATCAGATATGAGAGAAATTCTCTCTCAACCGATTTAGCAAGATTCTTGCTAAATTGGGTGAGGAATACTTGAGAACAGAGTCCAAGGATGAGGCCTAGTTGAAAAGAGGGCTCAAAGGAGCCTGTCTAAAGTTTGGTCAAGGAGAGAGCCTTTGTCTGTACATTAACAAGTATGAGCCTCATAACAACCCTTTCAAGTAGGCACAGCTGGCTAGCACAGTTTGCCACTCCTAGTCAATTTCTCTAAAAATACCAGTAATAATACCAGATAACACAAGTAGCCCTCAGCAAGTGCAAGCACTATTTGAAGAACTCCATATATATCAAATAATACACTAAATTAATTTTCTAAAAATTTATATTATTAGAGACTTTTTTCCCCCTCTTGATAGTCAATTGCCCTCGTTAAAAAGAAAGAAAAAGAAAGTCATTCCTTTGAACCCACAGTTTGTATCCCACGGTACATCAATTACAGATGATCCAGTAAATACCCCCTTCTTCCTCCAGTTATAGCAAGTCTGATGCTGGCAGCAACAAAGAGGAAGCATGGAGTGCCAATAAATCCTTAGTCTCAAAAAATATTACCTTCTCTAAATACTGACTAAAATTTTTATAGAGCTATCCCTATTACAGATAGAATTTCACTCAAACACTATAGAAATTAATTCTATGAACTACCACCACAAGTTCTTATTGTTATGAGAGACAAAATAGGAGGGGCCAGAAATGGGACTTTGATCTTCTTACCCCAAATTCAGGCCTCTTTACTACCAATTTGTGCTTTTACATTACAATGACCACTTGATTACTAATTTTTAAAAATGCAAGCAATCAGTCCTATTCTGATTGTCACTGATTCACTGCATATTCAGAGGCCAAAAGTGGATCCTACACAATAATAATAATAATAATACCAGCAGCAAAAGCTTACTGAATACTTACTATATTATTTGATATAGTTTGGCTCTGTCCCCACCCAAAATCTCATCTTGAATTGTAATCCGAATTGTAATCCCCATGAGTTGGGGGTGGGACCTCATGGGAGATGATTAGATCATGGCGGCAGTTTCCCCATGCTGTTCTCATGATAGTGAGTGAATTCTCACAAGATCTGATGGTTTTATAAGGCACTTTCCCTGCTTCACTCTGCACTTCTCTCTCCTGCAACCATGTGAAGAAGAACATGTTTGCTTCCTGTTCTGTCATGATTGTTAAGTTTCCTGAGGCCTCCCCGGCCATGCATAAATGTGAGTCAATTAAACCTCTCTCCTTTATAAATTACCAGGTCTCATGTATTTCTTCATAGCAGCATGAGAATGCACTAATAGATTATTGTTCTAAGGATTTTACATGTATCAACTCATTTAATTACAACAACTTTAAATGCCGAAGTCACTTATGTTTAGAGATCTATTATCTATTCAACTCTTTCACATTTGTGGAAGACAGTTATAGTGGCAAGAATGTTGGCTTTGGAATAAAAAAATAGGATTGGATTCAAATTCTGTCTCTGACATTTAACTGGCTGTGTGACCTTAGAAAAGTTTCTTACTCTACCTACTTTTCAGGGTTATTGTATTTTAAAGTATGTTCAGTGCATTGAACAGACCCTGGTTCATGATCATTCATATACAGTGTCTCTTAGTTATAGGAGCATTATATTTATTTGACAGGTGAGGAAACAAGTTTAGATAGGTAACCAGTGAGTGGATACCTAGGATATGGACTCAGGTCTCCTGATTCCAATGCAACTCTTTTTCCCAGGTACCATGTTGCCACTCTCTTGACAAGACTGACCTGGATCTCAAGTAACTTCTAAAGACTGTAATAACTATGTCAGGTGGACAGCGTTTGCACACTTAGGTTTCTATGTTTTATTACCACCACTTTCTAAGTAATCAAGGCCTACCAGACCATATAGAGTGACACCCTGAGGCCTAGCTGCTGGACGTTATATTAGAATATGAATTTCATCTGGAATTTGAGGGCTTTTGTTTTTGGTTAGCTATAATGTGACTGTTAGAAATCATACTATAGTTTGGGAATGATGATTTTGCTAGCTTAATTGCATTTTATTTGAGTAGAATTCCAAGCACTTTTCTTTAAAAATAATGGACTCAATTTTTCAGACCTCGTGCTATTTCTGCTTCAGAACCAAACTTTCTTAATGGGCTCCTTTTCTGGGCATCCCTTAACCCAGTCAAGCTGACACATAAAATTAAGCATCCCACCCTTCTCTTTGTGTGGTTAAATTCCTAGGCTGGGGCTATAAATTGATAGAGGAATAAAGGAACAACCCCCCTTTTAACTTTAAGAGATTTATATTTCACATAGAACACCAAATATGTGCCTAAGCCAAGTCATACTTAACTTGGCACTCAAGAAGCAGAAATTAATAAATGTAGTCATTTCAATGGTCCACCTGCAGGCTCATAAATGCACCTGTTATAAAAATAATAAAAAAATTAATTCAAGCCACTGAACTACCACATTTAGACAAAAATGGAACTTAAAACATTGACAATGTTCCATTATTTTAATTATTATATTTTGGAGGTAGGTTGCTCATATAACATGTGTTTACCTACAGGAACTAGATTTACTTTTGAGAGAGTGGACAGGAGATACTTTCTTGTTTATGAAGATACACAAACCTTCTTTAATTATGTCTGCAGCTACTAGATAATATGCAACTGGTTATAAGATTTGGTAACACAATATGATATTAATAGTGTAATGCAAACCCATCAACAGAACTGGAAAAATATTCAAAGTACATTTCCTATGGAGTTTACCAAGAAACCACCTACACTCATTCATTCTACATACAAGAAAACTGAAGACCAGAGATCTGAGACTTGTCCAAGAGCTAGTCAGTAACTGGAACTTTCTATGGCCTTTATCTTATACCCACTCCCCATATTCATATTGTTTGCTCCCAATATTTGTACTCAACATATCCAAGAAAAGGCATCCAACTAAACCAACAGCCATTTGGAAAGAACATCTTTATTTAAGTAAACATAGATGGTTTGGATGCAGACCCTGCTTTCGCTAAAGTTTATTTTTAAAATTTGTACCCTCACCAATCTTCATACAGAAAAACTGTCTTGAGACAGGGTCTCTGTCACCCAGGCTGGAGTGCAGTGATGCCATCATATTTCACATATTTCATTATAGCCTCAAACTCCTGGGCTCAAGCGATCCTCCTGTCTCAGCCCCCCAAATAGCTGGGACTACAGCCATGCCCCAACACACCCAGCTAGTTTTGTTTTGTTTTGTTTTGTTTTGTTTTGTTTTGTAGATAGAGGGTCTTCCTATTTACCTAGGCTGGTGTCAAACTCCTGGCCTCAATTACAGGTGTGAGCCACTATACCCTGCCCAGGGGTTGTATCCTTGATCAAGATGTATCCTTGAGTGAATTACAGATAGATGTGATGAAAAGCTACATTAATTTTTAAATTTCATCTAAAATAGTAAAATGGCTTCATGATAAAATGACTGTAAATGCTTCTACTATCTTCTTGTGGAGGAAAGGCATGGTGACAGCAGTTTCTGATCTGGCTGCAGAGATGCCTGAGCCCACGGCCACCAATATGGCTTACGGTGGCCAGTACCAATCTGTTGGGGGTGACACATCTGGGCAAAACCCCAACTGGCACTACACTGGCCTTAAAAGCCATAGAGTGGGGTTAGATGATTCAACTAGTATTTACTGGGAAAGGAGGTTTTCCCGTGGCAGAAAGTTATGTCAGTTACGGAAGACAGTATTCACTTAGTAAGCCTTCTCTTTAGTCTCCTCCGTCAAGCCTGTTGCCTGCTTAGGCCTCTCGAGTACTGCTTAGGCCTCTCGAGTACCGTCAATCATACCATAGAGTCTGGATTTGAAATCCCACCCATCAATGTTTCACTTTGAAGCTTTGAGGAAGCTGATGAGTTCTGTACTCAGTGTTCTTCACCTATTCCTTTGTTCCCATGCATGCGTGTGCACACAAACACCTGTTGGTTTCATCCTATCATTATGCACAAGTTCCTATCAGATTATAATTGCACTACCACCATCACTTCCTATCTGTATTAGTTTGCTACAGCTGCTGTAACAAAGTTCCACAAACTGGGTGGCTTAAACAGCAAAAATTTATGTCTCACTGTTCTGGAGGCCAAAGGTTCAAAATTAAGGTGTCCACAGGGCCGCACTCACTTCAAATGCACCAGGGAAGTATCTGTTCCATGTGCCTCCCCTAGCTTTTGGTGGTTTTTTTGGAAAGCTTTGGCATTCCTTGACTGGTGGCAGTATAGCTCCAATCTCCACGTGGTGTTCTCCCTGTGTTCGAGCCCCTGTGCCCAAACATCCCCTTTTAATAAGAACACCATTCACATTGGATTAGGGATCTACCCTACTCCAGTATTAACTCACCTTAACTGCTTACATCTGCAATGACCCTGTTTCCAAATACGGTCACATTCTGAGGTACTGGGGGTTAGGACTTTGATGTATGAATTTTGAGGGGATACATTCAACCCATAATATTTTGCACAAATCAGGCACTTGATGTAGTTCTTAAAACAAGAGCAGTTGGAAGCAGTATTATCTTGGCAAACAAGTGGTAGAACATAACCTGTTTTACATATTTTAATTTTTTATCATGGGAATGTTGACACATACGCAAAAATAGGCCCAATAATATAAGGAACCCCAGGTCTTCATTTCCTAGTTTCAACAATTACAACCCATGGCCAATGTTGTTGCATGCCCCTCCTGTAAGATAGAGGGAGATTCTCTTACAGGTATGAACTACAGTGTCTAAAATTACATTCATCTACATTATCTTCTTTGATTTTCATAACAACCAGAAAGGTAGGTTATGTAGTTTTACAATAAAATTCATGTCTAACAAATTACTATTTTAATGTAAATGCCAATTTTTAAGATAGTGAGGGGAAAAAGAAAGAATGCCAGTATGTCTTTATGCATGTTTTATTGGTTTTTTTGTGCATTCTAATCCGTTAATAAAAGGAAAGGAAGGAACACTGGTATGCTATATCGTCAGCTCTTATTCACACTGAATGGAATTAGTTTTCAATGGAATTGTTAAGGTAAATTGCCAATTTCTACTTTTCTAGAAAATCACTTTTACTGAAAAACCTTGTTCCTAACCCATCCTATAAAAATGGGATTTTACTGAACTACCTCTAATGTCACATTTTGTACATAATGGCTGCAAATGTCTAAAATGTTAAGGAAACATTATAATTTAGAACAATTCTAGGCAAAAAGAGATATTTGTAGAGGATCCGGATGCATAAAAGAACAAATGAGCCATTTAATTTGTAGTTTAGATGTCATTTTTCTGACAGTTATCAATGAAACTGTCATGTATCCCTGGAATTTGGGGCTGTTAGAATTATTTATTTTGATATCATTCTTTCACATAATTGTGTCTGATATTTTAACAGAAGGTATTTATGTTCGCATGCATGTGGACATTATCAATACTTTCACGTTACATTATTACTCATACATGCATTAGTTCTGATTCTCTTCAAAACCTAATTTGCATAACTACAATATTATATATTTATAAATACTTAATTTTGTACAATCCTTTTCCTACTTGACTAAGAATATCAAAGATGTCCCCAAATGCTTACTTGAAGGTTGATTTAGTCACACTAGCAGAACCCCAGGCTCAAATGTCAAATGGGATCATTTCTGTACAGTGCAGTAACCATATTGCAGTCTTTCTGCTGCTGAAGTTACAGTTGCATATTACTCATCAAGGCAAAATGTAAATGTTTAGTGATTATATGATATGGTTTTTGTTAATTCCCCAAATGGGATTTTTTTTACCTTTGTTTATTTGAGAACAACAACTGAATGCTGAAATGCAGTGGCTGATGCCAGCAATCTAAGGCTTCATTAGTACAGACGAAGCAATGCTCACTTTGCTACATAAATAATTAGAGAGATTAAATGAAAATAAACACTGAGAGGATGTGCAGACGCTCCGAAGTTAGGTAATTATTTTAATTACTCTAGTGACTTCCAGCAACCTTCATTATCAGCCACAGATCAAGCTTAAATTGTTTTATGTAAGAATATCATAAGCTATATGGAAAAGTACCATAGCTTACTTAGTGATTATGCTTCATAAAAATGACATTTTCTCCAAGCTCCCATTTAAAGGAGTTGTTTCCATTCCAGCCCCTGATAGACTCGTGACATATTTTTAAAGTATAAGTTTTTGCACTTAAAAATGTTTTGCCCTGGTTTTGTACTTCTAATGGACATCCTTAATGATAATTTTCGTATCTTTATATCTTTGCTCAGATTTGATCATAAGAGATTCGGGGCCACATATTGAGTGGCTTAATGTAAAACAATATGGCATATTCAGCCATCTGAAATAAATGTCACTTGGAATCATGTCATCCTTATTGCATGACAAGCTATACCTTGCATTTGGGGTAAATTTATTTCTTCTTTCTTCCACTCCCTAGACCAACTTGGGAAGACTCTAACATACACTCTAGGAATTATCTTCATTACAAGCAGAGGTACTATTTAGAAGCATTATCAGTCCTGTTTAGATTTCATTTTATATTCATTTGATAACGATGATCCATCAAGATCTCTTGTGTTAAGGTGTTCTTTTGAGGAAGGGTTATCTGTATTGAAATATCATTTATTGACTGCCTGTGTAATAATGGCTCTTCTTCAAACTACCCAACATACACCATTTAATCCTTGCAAGATTCCCATGGAGTATGTATTATTAACCCCATTTTCCAGATGAGGAAACAGGCCTTGGGAGGTTCACTGATTTTCTAAAGTTGCACAGTAGAAAGTATCCCAGAGGGGACTCAAACCCAGGTCTGCCTGACTCCAAGAACCATGAAGCTCCCCAACAGATGACTGAATGAAATAAACCTGGGTACAAATGCTAAGGGTAATAGAAAAAAATGAAGTGACAGTCTGTGATGTGCTAATTAAGTGTTGTGTTTTATGACACCCATGAATTCTGGGCATGAGCTAAAGTCTCAAACTGCAAATTCAATTGATTTTGAAAGTGCTTTGGGCTAGGCACAATGGCTTACATCTGTAATCCCAGCACTTTGGGAGGCCAAGGCATAAGGACTGCTTGAGCCCAGGAGTTCAAGACCATCTTGGGTAATAGGAGACCCCAGTCTACAAAAACTAAAATGAAAAAATTAGCAGGGTGTAGCAGCTTATATCTGTAGTTCCTGCTACTCAAAAAGCTGAGGCAGGAGGATTGCTTGAGCCCAGGACATCGAGACTGAAGTGAGCTGTGTTCAAGTCACTGCACCCCAGCCTTGGCATTGAAGAGAGACCCTGTCTGTCTGTCTTTCTCTCTCTCTCTCTCTCTCACACACACAGACACACACACACACACACACACACACACACACACACAGTGTTTCATCTCTGAATAGCCCTGGTTCCTGGAGAGGATGTAATAGCAAATAGGTTTTATGGCATAGTTGGACCAACCAAAAGTTCCCCACTAACAAAGGTTAGTGATGTTTTTAGTACAATTCAGTAACAACATGAATTTTATTCCAGCAAACACAAGGCATTTTAACCAAATTTAAAATTTCCAACAGGATGAACCAGACTTCAGTAACTTAGGGGAGAGGGGTGCACTGCTTCCTAAGAAAAACCTTTTCTTAAAGGGAGGCCTTGACTTCTTTCCTCTTCCCCATCCTGGCATGATGCTGGTGCAGAATACATTTCCAAGGTTGTGTTATATTCAGAGGCACATTAGGCTATTCGAGAGAATGGGAAGAGGTCTAATGGCTTCGTTGTTTTCTATGTTTAGGATGCACTAATCTGCAGAGTTTAATGTATGAGTTGTGGATGGCACAGGGAAGTTGGGACAGAAGGCTAGCTCTAGGGAGTTGTTGGGGTGGCTGGGTGTTAGTCTGAAATTTCACTCTCACGTTTCAGAATCTGAAGAGGAAGTTAGGGAAATTCACAGATGAGCCAATGCCTTTTAACAGGTGGGGGGTTCAGGGGTAGGACTGGGAGAAGAGGAGCTGTCAGAAAAGCTGGAGAGCCATTCGCCCCAGAGCTCTCAGTTGCACCAGAACGCACAGTCGGAGAGAGATTTATTTGTGAACAAGCCCGAGAAAGGCAGACAACCCAGACAAGATGGGCTCAGAAATTATTTATCATAGGCTAGGGCAGAACAGTCTGGAGCTTTCCTTCTGCTTTGCAAGCACTTCCCTGGGACCTGCCTGGGAAGCACAGCCCTTCTTCCTGGTAAGTTACAGAAGGTCAGGCACTCAGCTAGTAGGCCAGCTAGACAGCAAAAAGTGTCTAAACTAAGTGCCAACTGTTTACTTGGGGTCTTCCAGACCCTATCATGGTTCTATTCGTCATGGTACACTCTGTTTGATTTCAATCGCACCATCTTTATATGTAGGAAGGCCAAACCGGCCCGGCTGTGTTGGGTGGGATTTCTGCAGGCCATGCAGTGAGGACGCCACTAGCTATAGACACACGCAGGAGACCCACGTTCTATTTCCATATGCCACTTGCCACTGACCTCAGAGAAATCATTTTAAACCCTGAACCTCAGCTTCCTTATCCTGAAAATGAAGGCCATTCTACTTCTTAGGCCTTCTTGACAGGAGCCTTGGGAGAGCCAAACGGAGTAATTCCGGTGACAGCGAAGAACTGGGAGGGACCGTGACTCCAAATTACTGAAGAAAAATAAGTTAAACATGCTCGGCTGGAGTTTTAGGAATTCCACCCGCCCCCACCCGCCATGATCAAACTGCAGTCAGGCAGCAGCCCTCCGAATTGATTCTTTCTTATGGACTGTCTCACATGCCAAACACCTATGTGCAGCACCCCTCCATCTCCGTGGGCTCCTATTGATGTCTGCCTTGCAGTGAAAGCGCTTTTTGTTGCCGCTGTTCGATACACCCCAGCACATCAACGCAGCAGCTGGGAGCAGGAGGAGGAATCCCTTCGCTTTCTCCCCTCCTTTCACTCCGAACCCTAGGCATCAGCAGCAACGCGCGTAGCCCGGCAAATTTCCGCACGTGAATGGATTTTCCTGGCTCATCTCCAAAGACCTTGCGGTATTTCACAAAGCTGAAGAGAGGTGAACGAGCATCACCCCCTCCAGGAGGTCGTGCAGCCCCGCGGGGACGCTCCTCCCGCTCCTCCACCCGCGGTGCAGCGGCCGCCTCCCGAGCTTGCTCGCGGGGCCGTTAGCGCCAGACCCGGCGGAGAGCCAAGGGGTCCCTCCGCGCCTCCCTCTCGCAGCCCCTCTCCACCAGTAGCAGCGCTGCTGTCTTCCCACAGGAGGACTTGGGAGGACGCTGGATTCTGCAGCGCCCCCGCCCCCTCGCTTTTTCTTTCTTTCCTTGCTTTGGGATCTTGCTGCTGGATCCGGAGAGGTTCTGAGAAGACAAGAGCAAGGGACTGAGAGCAGGCTTCCGCTGCGGCGCGCGAACACAGCCGGGACACAACCCCCAGCGTCTCCACCCGCTCCTCGCCACCCCGGCGGGAATGTGAGGAAGGAAAGCCCCCAGCGCCGCCGCCCGCCCTCGAAGGCGTCCCAGAGAGCGTCCTGGGGGCCCGCGGCTGGAGCCCTTGTGCCCGCAGCACCGCCGGACTGGAGCGGCGAGGCGCACCGGGTGCCGCTTCTCGGCTTCCACTCTTCAGAAAGAGCGCGGTGGGGATCAGCGCCTTTCCCGCACTCGGCACAACTCCGGGACCGGCGGCGCGCGGCTGGACCGAGTCCCGCTTCCCGCCAGCTCACCTGGAGTCGGGGGCAGCCCCTGCCCGCCCGCCTGCACCCCTTGTCGCTCTAGCTTGCGCGAACCTGCCGCTCCTCCACGCCCAGGTAGTGAGCCCCGCGGCTCCAGGTCTCTGCAGCGCCCTCGGCCCCATGGACAGCGCACCCATCACCACTCCCTAAGTGCTGGCGCCGCCGCTGTCCAAGCTGCGCACTGGGGTCCCTCGGCTCGCCCCTCTCTGGGGTGTCCGAGAGGCCAGGGAGCGTGCACCATGAAGTCCGCGCTTTTCACCCGCTTCTTTATCCTCCTGCCCTGGATCCTAATTGTCATCATCATGCTCGACGTGGACACGCGCAGGCCAGTGCCCCCGCTCACCCCGCGCCCCTACTTCTCTCCCTACGCGGTGGGCCGCGGGGGCGCCCGACTCCCGCTCCGCAGGGGCGGCCCGGCTCACGGGACCCAAAAGCGCAACCAGTCTCGGCCGCAGCCACAGCCGGAGCCGCAGCTGCCCACCATCTATGCCATCACGCCCACCTACAGCCGCCCGGTGCAGAAAGCGGAGCTGACCCGCCTGGCCAACACGTTCCGCCAGGTGGCGCAGCTGCACTGGATCCTGGTGGAGGACGCGGCGGCGCGCAGCGAGCTGGTGAGCCGCTTCCTGGCGCGGGCCGGGCTGCCCAGCACTCACCTGCACGTGCCCACGCCGCGGCGCTACAAGCGGCCCGGGCTGCCGCGCGCCACTGAGCAGCGCAACGCGGGCCTCGCCTGGCTGCGCCAGAGGCACCAGCACCAGCGCGCGCAGCCCGGCGTGCTCTTCTTCGCTGACGACGACAACACCTATAGTCTGGAGCTCTTCCAGGAGGTAAAGGCCAGCCTGCCCCGCTGGGTGGGCGAGGGCGGGAGTGGGCCTCCGGGCCGGCCGGGCTGCAGTCACACGCCCCTTGCACTCCGGGTGCACTTTTGAGTTCTCAGTTCTCCGTGCGCGCATTCGGGGCACCGAGTGGAGCCGCTCCTTGCTGGCACTCCGCAGCCTCCGCTGGCCGTGGGGGTGGAGGGGCTGTGTGTGAGAGGATCACTGTGGCTTAAGGGGCGGGAGTCTGCCCTGGGGCTTTTCTGTGTGGAGATTGTGTCAAGAGAATAGCACAGGTGTGAGGCGCGGGAATGATTTCCAGGGGCCAGGCTCCTGACGACCTGAGGATGGAGCTTAGACCTGCAGGCGCTGGCTGCGATAGGAGATCAGGGAGGGACCTGCACCGTAGCGGGTGGCGGTGGAGGGGTGGGGGTGGTGGGGACGGGTAGGCTAGGTGTTACTCGAGGCTTTTCAGTGCCTACAGGTGTGATTCTCAGTCTAGGACCATATAGGGAGAAAGGTGGAGATAGCCTAGAGAGAAATTTGACTATTGCGGCCCACTGGCACGGAAATGGTTGTTAGAAGAAACACTGACTTCTATGGAGGTCCTTCCTCTCTTTCCCACACCTCACAAAAGTCTTTTCTGACCCTCAAGATTACTTTTTTTTTTTTTTTGCAAGAAAACCCTTTCTGGAAAATAAACTGTTCTGCCCTGTGGTTACGTCTTTTTTGCAGCCCAAGGTAAACATCTGGGCTGCCTGATCCCTTTTCACAACCTTTCTCTAAGGCCTCTTTTTGGCGAGTTAGCCAGGACACATTTGGCGGGGCCTTTTGCGTCTTTCTGGTGCAGCCAGGTCCTGAGTGCATCCGGGCTCCCTGCTGTTGAGATGGCCCATGAGTTCCCTGGGATGGCCACGCGCGCACCGCCCCCCCCCGCCGCCCCCGGCAGGCACAGGGTTAGAACAGGTGTTCTTCCTTGAGGCTGGTATCTTGCGGTGTGTGTGTGTGTAGCCTGCAAATGAGACTGAGTGGCATGGGTTTTCTCAGTTTTCTTCTGTCTACGCAATTACAGCCAAAGAAAATCTTCTTGATTGATTTGACGCCCTGTGAGACTGTTGCCTTCCTCCACCTGAAATTTCTTGACGTCCTGCTTCAGAGACTCCCCCTCAATTCCCCTTCTCCCAAGTAAACTGGACATTGGGAAAATACTATGTGTGAGTTGGACACTGAACTGCTAAAATAATCTGTGTGTCTGGTCATCAGATACCCTAACTGCTTCCCACACTTTCATCCTCATCTCTGGGTTGCTTTCTTAACCCCAGGGCAGAGCTATTCTGTACTCTTCCAGTTTAATTTTTCTGTGTGGCTTTAAAAAAATTTTCTTAAAGGTAATTGCCGCCTTCATTTCTATTCATCCTCTCTTTCATGAATAAAAGGCACAGTAATTGTCCTTCATCTTTTCTTTTCCATCCTTTCACTGTAGAGGGCTTTCTTTCCACGTTTCTCCAAATGAATAAATAAGCTTGGCATTGTATAGTATGGTCCTTACTCAACCCAAGATTAGAGATACCATCTGACGTTTTTAACTGGGCTTTTAATCCTGCATCAGTGCTCCCCCCTCCAAAAGAAAAAAGTGGCTTGCATCTGAAGCAAAGACTGTACATTTCAATGCACCACAATTTTTAAACCGCAAGGTCTTTTTATTTTCTTCTACAACTTCGAAGTTGCCTCGTCTGTGACAATATGTGGTCTTGTTGAAGTAAAATAGTGCACATTACTGTTAATGAACACTGTAGGAGGCTAGATTGTGAAGGAGGAATGATTTAGTTTATTCCGAGCTTCTAGCCTCTTGGTGTGAGGTGTTAGAAGAATTGGCACACGCAGGCAGTGAAATGATTCAGGACACAGCCTTCCTTTGATGCTTCCCAAACTGAAAGGAGGGTTTGTTGGTGGGGGATATTAAGCATCAGGAGAAAATTCCAGTAGGTTTTTCATTAGTCCATATGGGGGAAAATATAAAATGAGGAGAGGGTAAGGAGAAAAAAATAGTGTTGTCAGAGAGGACATTATAAAGGAAAAACGCAAAACTTTCAAGACACTAAACTTTTGTACAATTGGAAGTAATGCAATAAAATAAAATAAGAGCATATGCAACATTTTTTAATGGTGAGGTGCCACATATACAAAAAATACAACAGGTTTATTGTTTCTGTTGTCATTTTAAGCATAATAGGCATGACATACTTAGAATTTAAGTTTTCTATCTCCTGGAGGTCACTCCCAGACAGTAATTTTATGACTAGTACCTTTCTCTACCACTCCCCCACCAGCATTGTTTTTGGACAGATTAGGCCTTTGTTTGACATATATGTATGCTGATACATTCAGTTTTCTTTATTATAACATTTTCCATGCATGGCAAACATTATTGAATTCCATCATTAGGCTAGTGGAATTTATGAATTCTTAGTCTTGTGCATTTTCCAGAATTTGGAAATCCGTAGGTTTATTTGTGAGACAGCCTACCATACACCCGTTCTCAG
The DNA here is from genome assembly GCF_000001405.40 of Homo sapiens. Lineage (NCBI taxonomy): Eukaryota > Metazoa > Chordata > Mammalia > Primates > Hominidae > Homo > Homo sapiens. The sequence continues at coordinate 70,953,307 of NC_000006.12, read as the reverse complement.
ATTAATGATTCCGTGTAAATTATAGTTTAGACATTGTTCTCTGGAGAAAACGTAGGACCAGATAAAACATTGAAAATCTACAGCTCCTTGGGGGAAAGCAAAGATGCTGATTAGGAATGCTATAGGGCTGAGGCATATATCTCAGCCCTTTATATTGTGCATGCACACCAATTAGTTTTTCAGTAATTCACAGTACTTAAGGAAAGAATACCCCAAGTCAGGTTTCATCTTTTATTCATGGTGCTTCTAATTTCCATGGTTGATGTTAAAGTGGATAAGATAAAAGGAGGAAAATGAACCACGTACAAATTAGCTCCGTAAGTATTGGCTGCAAATGAAGGAAAGCAAAGGATGAAAGGTCTCCAAATTAAATTAAAGACGCAACAGGCAATCTGTGTTCAATTATTCCTCCCTGGTAACTGGAATGGTGCTTTGTCATCTCATACAGCTAACTAATTTTCAGCCTTTCCTTTCAACTGATCTGCATTGCCAGGAAAGAAATATTTGCATTGAATACTCTTATGTTAACAGCCAAATCCATTTGCAAATGAAGTTTAGTGTGAATCTTAGCTACAGAAATGGGCCTGTTCATTGGAGAAGGAGGTGGTGGGGTTTTTCAGGTTTCAAAAATCTCAACAGCTACTCCTCTTCTTCCTGTGGCATTGATGGGGTTTTGCACTGTGGATCACAGGTAATCCTGCCTCCCTGTGCATCCTATCCATCTCCCTCTCTGGAAAAGCTTACTTGCAAAGGATTTAAGCTGCTTTAATAAAAGCCACAACTACAGATAAATGTGACTTTATTTTTAGTCATGTTTTCAATAACACTATTGATCAGATTTCTGTTTTTCACCAGAAAACCTTCAAAGCTTTCTTAAATTTAAAACAGATGCTTTTCAGGTGAAGTTGGTTTCACCTCTGGAAATCAATTGAATTGAAATACTAAAAAAAAATAGCACTTTCCAAGCAAGAAAAAAAAAAACTTTAGAAATTTTGAAGTTAATGAAATAAGACTGGAAGACAGGCTGGCTCTCAGACACTTAAGGGGTTATCAAAGGAGTCAGTGACTGAGATTGCATCTAGAAGATGTTTCTGGAAAGCAATGAACTAAAGAAGCCCCTTGCTTGAATCTTTTGTTGGGTGCTATTCAGCTATTTGTGTACTAGGCAGATAAAGGAGTTTTGAGGATTAATTCTGTCTTGCTTTTTTTTCAGAAGTATTTGTGTGCTTTCCCTCTTTACCTGCTGCTTATTGGAGTCATAATCTGAAGGATATACGAGTTTACAATGTTTGGCCCTTTCCCCCCTAAATAGTACTTCTATTTATGTTTCCTGAAAGGAAACATGAGATTTACCTTTTACCCTTGGTACATTTACTTTATTTAGGGTAATTCTTTTTAAAGTGAAGGAACCTAGAAGATTTTCTTGGGTGGAACATTAAAAGACCATTTTACCTGAAATGTGCCCCTTGTATTTTATTTCTTTCCCTCTGAAAGCTATTAAGAGTCATGCCATAGGTCTGATAAAATGTGAGAATTTTATAGAAATGTATATATGAAACTACAGCCAATTTTCTTAGGCTATAAATGTTAGGTTTTCTTTATTCTCCCTGGGTGTACAGTATTTGAATTATGGTTCGTTTTTGATAAGAGTTTTCTTTGGAGACCAGTAGTTTTCATTTGGATGTTGATATTTTAATGGACCAGAAATAACAATTTGGGCCTAAAGATGTTCTCCCTTCTGCCTCTTCCTATTGTCTTTTTCCATCATTCTTCCTCTCTCAACCTACTTTTCACTGATGATTCTGTCTCGTGAATAGACATGAAAACATGTTCGGATTATTGCTTGGTGCAATGAATGTTGTATCTTTTAAACATTTAGGCTGTTGCTGCTTCTTGGAAACCATTGTGGGTGGCTCCCTTTTTTCTGTCTACTCTGCTTGCCTCTAAATTACAAGCTGGTAAATTTTCTCTTGTGTGAACAGTAATGGAATAGTAATTGCTTTTAAGGCATGCTGCAAAAGCAAAATAGAAAATCCAAAGTCAATGGTCTTATTTATTAACTATTTCAGGTGGTATTCAAGTAGTGGTAGGTTTTTTGTTGTCGTCATTGTTTTTTGCACAGAATTCAATATTGTACAGATATGTCTATTTAAATGTTTTGGACTCTGGAATATTCAGCCTGTGTAAGTTAACACATATATATTTGATTCACAGTGCTTGTGAAGCATGAAATTTAAGTTTTGCATGGAGCTCAAATTCTCCCACCAAAATACAAATAAAATTGTTATACCAGTACATAGATAGATGCATAGGTAGGTTTAGAATACATCTCCAAAGCACAGAAATAAAACTAAGATAATTTGTTGTTCATGCCTGGTAATTTTTGCATACAATTTTAAATAAATGTTAATACCCTATATCATGGATACAAGCAAAATATAGTTGACATAAATTGAGCATTTACTATAGGCAAAGAAGTACCCTTAGGGTTTTACGTGTATTATTTAATCTTCATAACACCCTGAGGTAGGTAATAGTACTGTCTCTGTTTGTTTGCTGTTTTAATACTAATGCTAATATTTAGTTATGGACGCAGTCCCTTGGTGAGTACAGAGGACTTAAACAAATGCAACCTGACGGTAATATAGTTGTTTACCTCTGATCTATATAATCAGTATCCCCGTTTTTAACAGAAGCACTAGGAAGTAACTTGAAAATGTCATGTAGCTGTTATGTGGCAGAGATAGAATTTTGAACCCAGGTGCCCTGGTTCTAGCGCCTGCATTGTTGACTGTCCTGAAACTCATGTCATTTAACACATGAAAATATGTCATCATTATAATAAGTAAAGCACCTGATTAGCAGGAGCCTTGTGATATTATTACTGTCTTCTGCCATTTTTGAATTCAGGTCTTTCTTCTTGGTTATGTCAACTCTTAGCTTTCTCCTTTGACCTTTTGTTACTTTTTTCCTTTTTGTTGTTAATGTATTACATTGAAAAATAAAATTTTTTTTTTTTGCAAGAAAATGTACTTTATTAGCTTTCTTTGTTCTGTGGGTTGATCTTCCTGGATATTTCTTTATTTTATTTTATTTTATTATTATTATACTTTAAGTTTTAGGGTACATGTGCACAATGTGCAGGTTAGTTACATATGTATACATGTGCCATGCTGGTGTGCTGCACCCATTAACTCGTCTTTTAGCATTAGGTATATCTCCTAATGCTCTCCCTCCCCCCAACCCCCACCCCACAACAGTCCCCAGAGTGTGATGTTCCCCTTCCTGTGTCCATGTGTTCTCATTGTTCAATTCCCATCTATGAGTGAGAACATGTGGTGTTTGGTTTTTTGTCCTTGTGATAGTTTACTGAGAATGATGATTTCCAATTTCATCCATGTCCCTGCAAAGGACATGAACTCATCATTTTTTATGGCTGCATAGTATTCCATGGTGTATATATGCCACATTTTCTTAATCCAGTCTATCATTGTTGGACATTTGGGTTGGTTCCAAGTCTTTGCTATTGTGAATAGTGCCGCAATAAACATACATGTGCATGTGTCTTTATAGCAGCATGATTTATAGTCCTTTGGGTATATACCCAGTAATGGGATGGCTGGATCAAATGATATTTCTAGTTCTAGATCCCTGAGGAATCACCACACTGACTTCCACAATGGTTGAACTAGTTTACAGTCCCACCAACAGTGTAAAAGTGTTCCTATTTCTCCACATCCTCTCCAGCACCTGTTGTTTCCTGACTTTTTAATGATTGCCATTCTAACTGGTGTGAGATGGTATCTCATTGTGGTTTTGATTTGCATTTCTCTGATGGCCAGTGATGCTGAGCATTTTTTCATGTGTCTTTTGGCTGCATAAATGTTTCTTTTGAGAAGTGTCTGTTCATGTCCTTCACCCACTTGTTGATGGGGTTGTTTGTTTTTTCTTGTAAATTTGTTTGAGTTCATTGTAGATTCTGGATATTAGCCCTTTGTCAGATGAGTAGGTTGCGAAAATATTCTCCCATTTTGTAGGTTGCCTGTTCACTCTGATGGTAGTTTCTTTTGCTGTGCAGAAGCTCTTTAGTTTAATTAGATCCCATTTGTCAATTTTGGCTTTTGTTGCCAATGCTTTTGGTGTTTTAGACATGAAGTCCTTGCCCATGCCTATGTCCTGAATGGTAATGCCTAGGTTTTCTTCTAGGGTTTTTATGGTTTTAGGTCTAACGTTTAAGTTTCCATCTTGAATTAATTTTTGTATAAGGTGTAAGGAAGGGATCCAGTTTCAGCTTTCTACATATGGCTAGCCAGTTTTCCCAACACCATTTATTAAATAGGGAATCCTTTCCCCATTGCTTGTTTTTCTCAGGTTTGTCAAAGATCAGATAGTTGTAGATATGCAGCGTTATTTCTGAGGGCTCTGTTCTGTTCCATTGATCTATATCTCTGTTTTGGTAACTGTAGCCTTGTAGTATAGTTTGAAGTCAGGTAGTGTGATGCCTCCAGCTTTGTTCTTTTGGCTTAGGATTGACTTGACGATGTGGGTTCTTTTTTGGTTCCATATGAACTTTAAAGTAGTTTTTTCCAATTCTGTGAAGAAAGTCATTGGTAGCTTGATGGGGATGGCATTGAATCTATAAATTACCTTGGGCAGTATGGCCATTTTCACGATATTGATTCTTCCTACCCATGAGCATGGAATGTTCTTCCATTTGTTTGTATCCTCTTTTATTTCATTGAGCAGTGGTTTGTAGTTCTCCTTGAAGAGGTCCTTCACGTCCCTTGTAAGTTGGATTCCTAAGTATTTTATTATCTTTGAAGCAATTGTGCATGGGAGTTCACTCATGATTTGGCTCTCTGTTTGTCTGTTATTGGTGTATAAGAATGCTTGTGATTTTTGTACATTGATTTTGTATCCTGAGACTTTGCTGAAGTTGCTTATCAGCTTAAGGAGATTTTTGGCTGAGACAATGGGGTTTTCTAGATATACAACCATGTCATCTGCAAACAGGGACAATTTGACTTCCTCTTTTCCTAATTGAATACCCTTTATCTCCTTCTCCTGCCTAATTACCCTGGCCAGAACTTCCAACACTATGTTGAATAGGGGTGGTGAGAGAGGGCATCCCTGTCTTGTGCCCGTTTTCAAAGGGAATGCCTCCAGTTTTTGCCCATTCAGTATGATATTGGCTGTGGGCTTGTCATAGATAGCTCTTATTATTTTGAGATACGTCCCATCAATACCTAATTTATTGAGAATTTTTAGCATGAAGGGTTGTTGAATTTTGTCAAAGGCCTTTTCTGCATCTATTAAGATAATCATGTGGTTTTTGTCTTTGGTTCTGTTTATATGCTGGATTACATTTATTGATTTGCGTATATTGAACCAGCCTTGCATCCCAGGGATGAAGTCCACTTGATCATGGTGAGTAAGGTTTTGATGTGCTGCTGGATTCGGTTTGCTAGTATTTTATTGAGGATTTTTGCATCAATGTTCATCAAGGATATTGGTCTAAAATTCTCTTTTTTGGCTGTGTCTCTGCCCGGCTTTGGTATCAGGATGATGCTGGCCTCATAAAATGAGTTAGGGAGGATTCCCTCTTTTTCTATTGATTGGAATAGTTTCAGAAGGAATGGTACCAGTTCCTCCTTGTACCTCTGGTAGAATTCGGCTGTGAATCCATCTGGTCCTGGACTCTTTTTGGTTGGTAAGCTATTGATTATTCCCACAATTTCAGAGCCTGTTATTGGTCTATTCAGAGATTCAACTTCTTCCTGGTTTAGTCTTCGGAGGGTGTATGTGTCGAGGAATTTATCCATTTCTTCTAGATTTTCTAGTTTATTTGCGTAGAGGTGTTTGTAGTATTCTCTGATGGTAGTTTCTATTTCTGTGGGATCGGTGGTGATATCCCCTTTATCATTTTTTTTGTGTCTATTTGATTTTTCTCTCTTTTCTTCTTTATTAGTCTTGCTAGTGGTCTATCAATTTTGTTGATCCTTTCAAATAACCAGCTCCTGGATTCATTAATTTTTTGAAGGGTTTTTTGTGTCTCTATTTCCTTCAGTTCTGCTCTGATTTTAGTTATTTCTTGCCTTCTGCTAGCTTTTGAATGTGTTTGCTCTTGCTTTTCTAGTTCTTTTAATTGTGATGTTAGGGTGTCAATTTTGAATCTTTCCTGCTTTCTCTTGTGGGCATTTAGTGCTATAAATTTCCCTCTACACACTGCTTTGAATGTGTCCCAGAGATTCTGGTATGTTGTGTCTTTGTTCTCGTTGGTTTCAAAGAACATCTTTTTTTCTGCCTTCATTTCGTTATGTACCCAGTAGTCATTCAGGAGCAGGTTGTTCAGTTTCCATGCAGTTGTGCAGTTTTGAGTAAGTTTCTTAATCCTGAGTTCTAGTTTGATTGCACTGTGGTCTGAGAGACAGTTTGTTATAATTTCTGTTCTTTTGCATTTGCTGAGGAGAGCTTTACTTCCAACTATGTGGTCAATTTTGGAATAGGTGTGGTGTGGTGCTGAAAAAAATGTATATTCTGTTGATTTGGGGTGGAGAGTTCTTTAGATGTGTATTAGGTCCGCTTGGTGCAGAGCTGAGTTCAATTCCTGTGTATCCTTGTTAACTTTCTGTCTCGTTGATCTGTCTAATGTTGACAGTGGGGTGTTAAAGTCTCCCATTATTATTGTTTGGGAGTCCAAGTCTCTTTGTAGGTCACTCAGGACTTGCTTTATGAATCTGGGTGCTCCTGTATTGGGTGCATTTATATTTAGGATAGTTAGCTCTTCTTGTTGAATTGATCCCTTTACCGTTATGTAACGGCCTTCTTTGTCTCTTTTGATCTTTGTTGGTTTAAAGTCTGTTTTATCAGAGACTAGGATTGCAACCCCTGCCTTTTTTTGTTTTCCATTTGCTTGGTAGATCTTCTTCCATCCTTTTATTTTGAGCCTATGTGTGTCTCTGCACGTGAGATGGGTTTCCTGAATACAGCACACTGATGGGTCTTGACTCTTTATCCCCAGTCAAGACCCATCAGTCTGTGTCTTTTAATTGGAGCATTTAGTCCATTTACATTTAAAGTTAATATTGTTATGTGTGAATTTGATCCTGTCATTATGATGTTAGCTGGTTATTTTGCTCGTTAGTTGATGCAGTTTCTTCCTAGCCTCGATGGTCTTTACGTTTTGGCATGATTTTGCAGTGGCTGGTACCGGTTGTGCCTTTCCATGTTTAGTGCTTCCTTCAGGAGCTCTTTTAGGGCAGGCCTGGTGGTGGCAAAATCTCTCAGCATTTGCTTGTCTGTAAAGTATTTTATTTCTCCTTCACTTATGAAGCTTAGTTTGGCTGGATATGAGATTCTGGGTTGAAAATTCTTTTCTTTAAGATTGTTGAATATTGGCCCCCACTCTCTTCTGGCTTGTAGAGTTTCTGCCGAGAGATCGGCTGTTAGTCTGATGGGCTTCCCTTTGTGGGTAACCCGACCTTTCTCTCTGGCTGCCCTTACCATTTTTTCCTTCATTTCAACTTTGGTGAATCTGACAATTATGTGTCTTGGAGTTGCTCTTCTCGAGGAGTATCTTTGTGGCATTCTCTGTATTTACTGAATCTGAATGTTGGCCTGCCATACTAGATTGGGGAAATTCTCCTGGATAATATCGTGCCGAGTGTTTTCCAACTCGGTTCCATCCTCCCCGTCACTTTCAGGTACACAATCAGACGTAGATTTTGTCTTTTCACATAGTCCCATATTTCTTGGAGGCTTTGTTCATTTCTTTTTATTCTTTTTTCTCTAAACTTCCCTTCTTGTTTCATTTCATTCATTTCATCTTCCATCACTGATACCCTTTCTTCCAGTTGATCGCATCAGCTCCTGAGGCTTCTGCATTCTTCATGTAGTTCTTGAGCCTTGGCTTTCAGCTCCATCAGCTCCTTTAAGCACTTCTCTGTATTGGTTATTCTAGTTATACATTCGTCTAAATTTTTTTCAAAGTTTTTAACTTCTTTGCCTTTGGCTTGAATTTCCTCCTGTAGCTCGGAGTAGTTTGAACGTCTGAAGCCTTCTTCTCTCAACTCGTCAAAGTCATTCTCTGTCCAGCTTTGTTCCGTTGCTGGTGAGGAACTGTGTTCCTTTGGGGGAGGAGAGGTGCTCTGCTTTTTAGAGTTTCCAGTTTTTCTGCTCTGTTTTTTCCCCATCTTTGTGGTTTTATCTACTTTTGGTCTTTGATGATGGTGATGTACAGATGGGTTTTTGGTGTAGATGTCCTTTCTGTTTGTTAGTTTTCCTTCTAACAGACAGGACCCTCAGCTGCAGGTCTGTTGGAGTTTGCTAGAGATCCACTCCAGACCCTGTTTGCCTGGTTATCAGCAGCGGTGGCTGCAGAACAGCGTATTTTCGTGAACCGCGAATGCTGCTTTCTGATCGTTCCTCTGGAAGTTTTGTCTCAGAGGAGTACCTGGCCGTGTGAGGTGTCAGTCTGCCCCTACTGGGGGGTGCCTCCCAGTTAGGCTGCTCGGGGGTCAGGGGTCAGGGACCCACTTGAGGAGGCAGTCTGCCTGTTCTCAGATCTCCAGCTGCGTGCTGGGAGAACCACTGCTCTTTTCAAAGCTGTCAGACAGGGACATTTAAGTCTGCAGAGGTTACTGCCATCTTTTTGTTTGTCTGTGCCCTGTCCTCAGAGGTGGAGCCTACAGAGGCAGGCAGGCCTCCTTGAGCTGTGGTGGCCTCCACCCAGTTGGAGCTTCCCAGCTGCTTTGTTTACCTAAGCAAGCCTGGGCAATTGCGGGCACCCCTCCCCCAGCCTCGCTGCCGCCTTGCAGTCGCCTTGCAGTTTGATCTCAGACCTGTGCTAGCAATCAGCGAGACTCCGTGGGCGCCATGTGTGGGATATAATCTCCTGGTGCGCCGTTTTTTAAGCCTGTCAGAAAAGTGCAGTATTAGGGTGGGAGTGACCCGATTTTCCAGGTGCCCTCTGTCACCCCTTTCTTTGACTAGGAAAGGGAACTCCCTGACCCCTTGCGCTTCCCGAGTGAGGCAATGCCTCGCCCTGCTTTCGCTTGGGCACGGTGTGCTGCACCCACTGTCCTGCGCCCACTGTCTGGCACTCCCTAGTGAGATGAACCCGGTACCTCAGATGGAAATGCAGAAATCACCCATCTTCTGCGTCGCTCACGCTGGGAGCTGTAGACCGGAGCTGTTCCTATTTGGCCATCGTGGCTGCCAGCTCAAAATTATATGTTAATATATTTGTTGTGTAGACTATAATGTTTTGATATAGGGATACATTGTGGAATTACTAAAGCTAATTAATATATTCATTACCTTACAATTTTATCATTTTTTGTGTGTGTGGTGAAAACATTTAAAATCTCCTCAGCAGTTTGCAGGTGTACAATACATTGTTAATAACTATAGTCACCAATTTGTGTTGCAGTTGATCTTCTAAATGTATTCTTTCTAACTGAAATTTTGTATCCTTTGACCAAACATTTCCCCAATTCCTACCCCTACCTTTTTTCTCCTGATAATATTTGGTCTTGTGAAAATTTTATCTCATCTCTCACTATCTCTGATTTATAGACCATTTGATATTTATTTTTACAAGCTAGATAAAAACTGCCAAGTTAGTATATAAACTGTAGTCTTTTATTTTTTAAACTACGTATTCTTGTGAATAAGAATTGATAACTTCTATAGATATTAAAATTAAGTTTTTCCTCATTTGCTATGTATACATCAACAACTCTGTCTCCTAGGCGTGTATCATGTCAGGGCAGGCAGAACTGAACGGAAGAATAATTTTCAGGGTAGAATGGGAGAAAATACAGAATTATGTGAAGCAGGCTCAGGGGTTTATTATTGAAACAGAGGAGAGGAGCTGGGGGCCTGAGCCAATTTGCGCTGAAGCCAATGTGGCTGAGATGGCTCCTTCTGGGAACAGAGATGTGCTTGGAGGAGCCTTGGTTCTCCTCACCAATATACCCCTTATGTTGGCTGCTGCAGGCAGCACTACCAGGTTCATTTGACTGCTCACTTGTTGGTAGAAGGTTTGTTAATTTTCTTGTCCGATTTCTTCTGAGATTAGGAATTTCCTTGGATTAAAAACAAAATAAATCATTGGTTGAGTCTTTTTGCAGGTTAAAAAAAACAAGAAAACTTGGAGGTGGATTTGCTGAGGAGGACAGCCATGTTCTCTACCAGAAGTCAGATTGGGTCTTTTTCCTAAAACAACTAAAAACGCAGTAGTTTGTTTACTTTTTAAAATCCGTCTCCTCCACCTGTGGAAAGAGAACTTTAAACACTATTTATGTTACATGCTGAATCTAAGACTGTTGTTCCTTCAGCTTGAACTGCAGATATTCCTAAATTGTACCTGCATCTCTAGTGAAAGCTGAGTGTGCTAAATGCTGACCATTCTCCATTAACTGAGATTTCAGTTATCTAAGAGATTTGCATCTTAGCAGTACTACTGTATTACTCTGTAAGATTCCTTCTACCTACCTGAGCTCAAACTTCATCCTATTCAGAAGATGTTTTAATATAACAAGTCAGTAGGCCTTCTCTACCACTTAACAAATATTAATTGAGCACCTACTGTGTACAAGGCACTGTGCTTAATTAAGTCAGGGAGTATTTCAGCTCCCTGAAACAGAGAGCATCTCAGCCCTCCCAGATTGATTCTCTGGACTAAATATGCATGGTAGCTTCAGTGCCTGTTGAGAGAAATGAATGTGTCTGGGAGTGTAAAGCAGAGGTCCCTAATGGAGTTGTTGATTGTAGGAGTAATTGTGGAGGAAGTGACATTTGAGCTGAGAAGTAAAGAACAACAGGGCCTAGTGGGTGATGGGACAGGGATGAAGGAGCCCTCCAGAGAGAGAAAACCATATTTGTGGACCTGAATACTCAGAGACCTGAAGGATGTTCTTGATGGCAAGAGGCTGGGTGGTGAGAAGATGAGGTGGAGAAATAGGCAGCCACTTTTCCATCTTCTGCATGTCAAAGTGCTGTTCTCATCTTTGAGAGAAGCTGTCCTGTAAAGAACTCTTCAGGTTCTGTGTATTTGGAAGTGGCATCTAAATCATGCCCATTGGAATCTTCTTCCTGGATACTATCATGTCTTTATGTAAACTTGTGAATTTAAAAGTATACATAGCAGTGTCGGAGCAGGCTTTCCTTTTTATTTTTTTGCATCTGGTTTTCAGAATGCCCATTAGGCAAATTTTTGACCTTTAACTTTTTCAATAGGCCTTGGATAAGGTGGGTGGTAAATTGATAGGAAAACTATAGATAAGTATTTGTCCATCTAGTTGTACCAAAGAAGTGGTAATATAGACTTTTGTGGATCCTTTAGAGCACCTGATATCACATTAAATAATATGATACCTGAATATGTATTTCAGTTGTTTCTCCCACTAGAATACCAGGGTAGGAATTTTCTTTTGTTTACTGTTGTATCTGTAGTGTCCAGAGCAGTGCCTAGCATGCAGTGAATGCTTATTAAATATTTTTTGAATGAATGAATTATAAGACACTTGGAAGCTGAGGGAATTTATTATAAACAGAGTTTAATCCCTGAAAGGAGTCCTGCACAGAGATTGTCAATCAAATCATAGTTTTGAAGTCTGTGTTGTATGTCTAAGATTGTATTGAGCCCTTTAAATAGAAACTGGAAGATAAACGTGGTCCCTACTCTGATTCTAAGAGCTTTTATACTAAAAGGAAAGAGAATGTCATGAGCATTTATGTATATAGCAAGGCATTACCATCAACAGCCATTAAAAGGGGAGGTTTGTCAAGGTGGTCGTGAGTCAGTTGAGTATTTGGCCTCTTCACACGTGTGAGAGGCTGGAGGCTGGTGGGGAGCTCACATAGGCGTAACAGCCCATGTTCAAATCCAGCTTCACTGCTTAGTGTTTGCATTACATTGGCAAGGGTTGACTGCCTCGAGTGATTGTTTTAAGTGCTCTAGGCAAGTAATAAATATTAGTTCTTTTTGCCTTGTTCTTTCCACTATGGGTGACTGCCCTAATTGAGGGTATACCAGATAATTGCACTGTCTTGATTTGTTAAGTGCCTCTAAATGTTCTTCTCCTGACATCTGGACTATGTTTCTAGAGGCCTAGGGGGAGGAGGAGGTAAAGGCACTTGACTTTCCCAAATTAGTCTGTACCCAAGTGGAACTGCATAAATTGGGTACCTTAATTACACCATTGGGTATTACTAGGGTGATTACAGGGACAAGAGTTAAATAGGGCTTGTCTACAAAGAGTCCTGGGAGGAAGTGAGATGTGAGAGAACTAAAAGCATCTAAAGGACATTTTAGATGGAGAGGAGGTGAAGGGTGTTCTCCTGTGGGTTCTGACTTCTGATGCTAACTCCTAACGGTGAAAGCTAGGAAGTTGACTTACATGTAGCTCAGAGGAGGATGCTAACCTGGCTCACTGCAACTTCCACCTCCTGGATTGAAGCGATTCCCCTGCTTCAGCCTCCTGAGTAGCTAGGATTACAGGTGCAAGCCATCATGCCTGGCTAATTTTTGTATTTTTAGTAAAGGTGGGGTTTCAACATGTTGGCCAGGTTGGTCTCAAACTCCTGACCTCAGGTGATGCACCCACCTCGGTTTCCCAAAGTGCTGGGATTACAGGTGTGAGCCACGGTGCCTGGCCCTAGGTGTGGTTTTTAATTACTATGTAATCCCAGGGCCCAGTGTGGACCTAGGACATAGTTACTACATGATACAGTGATTATCGTTGGCACAAATGAATGAATCAAAGAGATAGTATGTTACAAAGGAGAGGGCACGAAATAGATTTTTTTTTTGAGCACATGATTAGAAGCAGTATTTTAAGGTCATTTCCTGGGCTGGGAAGGTTAGGAATATTCTTCTGACCAGCACCTGTTGGAGGAGGTGGAAAGGATCCCAGATGCCAGCCTTCTCTGTGTCCACCCTTCTCCCAGCCTTGCCTGGGGACACTGAGCCCCTTGCTGGGCTTCAAGTGCCTGATGCTTTTTTGGGAAGCCCCATAAGCTTGCTTCTCTTTTTGCAAACATTGCTTAAGTTTTCATTAATAAAAACATTCTAAAGCTTATTTAGTCCAGAATGAGGAAAATGTAGGAGAGAGAGAGGGTGTGGGTGTGTGTGTGGGGCGAGGGGGTGTCTGTGTGTGGTTTTACCTACCTATGTGGTTGCCCCTTCTTACCTGTGAATGCAGTGGCTGCTTTCCTTGTTCCTTCTCCACAGACCCTGTACCCTCCATTTCAGTTTCTGGCAAGAATTGTGGCCAGACCCAGGGATCTGATGCAGTGGTCCCCAACATTTTCTGGTCACATAATTTCTAAAAGAATTTTGTAACATTAACCCTCTGGGATATTTTTTAATTGACATCTACATTTTATTTTTTTTATTATTTTATTATTATTATACTTTAAGTTTTAGGGTACATGTGCACAATGTGCAGGTTAGTTACATATGTATACATGTGCCATGCTGGTGTGCTGCACCCATTAACTAGTCTTTTAGCATTAGGTATATCTCCTAATGCTATCCCTCCCCCCAACCCCCACCCCACAACAGTCCCCAGAGTGTGATGTTCCCCTTCCTGTGTCTGTGTTCTCATTGTTCAATTCCCATCTATGAGTGAGAACATGCGGTGTTGGTTTTTTGTCCTTGCAATAGTTTACTGAGAATGATGATTTCCAATTTCATCCATGTCCCTGCAAAGGACATGAACTCATCATTTTTTATGGCTGCATAGTATTCCATGGTGTATATATGCCACATTTTCTTAATCCAGTCTATCATTGTTGGACATTTGGGTTGGTTCCAAGTCTTTGCTATTGTGAATAGTGCTGCAATAAACATACATGTGCATGTGTCTTTATAGCAGCATGATTTATAGTCCTTTGGGTATATACCCAGTAATGGGATGGCTGGATCAAATGGTATTTCTAGTTCTAGATCCCTGAGGAATCGCCGCACTGACTTCCACAATGGTTTTACTAGTTTACAGTCCCACCAACAGTGTAAAAGTGTTCCTATTTCTCCACATCCTCTCCAGCACCTGTTGTTTCCTGACTTTTTAATGATCACCATTCTAACTGGTGTGAGATGGTATCTCATTGTGGTTTTGATTTGCATTTCTCTGATGGCCAGTGATGAGCGTTTTTTCATATGTCTTTTGGCTGCATAAATGTCTTCTTTTGAGAAGTGTCTATTCATGTCCTTCGCCCACTTGTTGATGGGGTTGGTTGGTTTTTTCTTGTAAATTTGTTTGAGTTCATTGTAGATTCTGGATATTAGCCCTTTGTCAGATGAGTAGGTTGCGAATATTTTCTCCCATTTTGTAGGTTGCCTGTTCACTCTGATGGTAGTTTCTTTTGCTGTGCAGAAGCTCTTTAGTTTAATTAGATCCCATTTGTCAATTTTGGCTTTTGTTGCCAATGCTTTTGGTGTTTTAGACATGAAGTCCTTGCCCATGCCTATGTCCTGAATGGTAATGCCTAGGTTTTCTTCTAGGGTTTTTATGGTTTTAGGTCTAACGTTTAAGTTTCCATCTTGAATTAATTTTTGTATAAGGTGTAAGGAAGGGATCCAGTTTCAGCTTTCTACATATGGCTAGCCAGTTTTCCCAGCACTATTTATTAAATAGGGAATCCTTTCCCCATTGCTTGTTTTTCTCAGGTTTGTCAAAGATCAGATAGTTGTAGATATGCAGCGTTATTTCTGAGGGCTCTGTTCTGTTCCATTGATCTATATCTCTGTTTTGGTACCAGTACCATGCTGTTTTGGTTACTGTAGCCTTGTAGTATAGTTTGAAGTCAGGTAGTGTGATGCCTCCAGCTTTGTTCTTTTGGCTTAGGATTGACTTGACGATGTGGGCTCTTTTATGGTTCCATATAAACTTTAAAGTAGTTTTTTCCAATTCTGTGAAGAAAGTCATTGGTAGCTTGATGGGGATGGCATTGAATCTATAAATTACCTTGGGCAGTATGGCCATTTTCACAATATTGATTCTTCCTACCCATGAGCATGGAATGTTCTTCCATTTGTTTGTATCCTCTTTTATTTCATTGAGCAGTGGTTTGTAGTTCTCCTTGAAGAGGTCCTTCACGTCCCTTGTAAGTTGGATTCCTAAGTATTTTATTATCTTTGAAGCAATTGTGCATGGGAGTTCACTCATGATTTGGCTCTCTGTTTGTCTGTTATTGGTGTATAAGAATGCTTGTGATTTTTGTACATTGATTTTGTATCCTGAGACTTTGCTGAAGTTGCTTATCAGCTTAAGGAGATTTTTGGCTGAGACAATGGGGTTTTGTAGATATACAATCATGTCGTCTGCAAACAGGGACAATTTGACTCCCTCTTTTCCTAATTGAATACCCTTTATGTCCTTCTTCTGCCTAATTGCCCTGGCCAGAACTTCCAACACTATGTTGAATAGGAGTGGTGAGAGAGGGCATCCCTGTCTTGTGCCCGTTTTCAAAGGGAATGCCTCCAGTTTTTGCCCATTCAGTATGATATTGGCTGTGGGCTTGTCATAGATAGCTCTTATTATTTTGAGATACGTCCCATCAATACCTAATTTATTGAGAGTTTTTAGCATGAAGCGTTGTTGAATTTTGTCAAAGGCCTTTTCTGCATCTATTGAGATAATCATGTGGTTTTTGTCTTTGGTTCTGTTTATATGCTGGATTACATTTATTGATTTGCATATATTGAACCAGCCTTGCATCCCAGGGATGAAGCCCACTTGATCATGGTGAATAAGCTTTTTGATGTGCTGCTGGATTCGGTTTGCCAGTATTTTATTGAGGATTTTTGCATCCATGTTCATCAAGGATATTGGTCTAAAATTCTCTTTTTTGGCTGTGTCTCTGCCCGGCTTTGGTATCAGGATGATGCTGGCCTCATAAAATGAGTTAGGGAGGATTCCCTCTTTTTCTATTGATTGGAATAGTTTCAGAAGGAATGGTACCAGTTCCTCCTTGTACCTCTGGTAGAATTCGGCTGTGAATCCATCTGGTCCTGGACTCTTTTTGGTTGGTAAGCTATTGATTATTGCCACAATTTCAGAGCCTGTTATTGGTCTATTCAGAGATTCAACTTCTTCCTGGTTTAGTCTTGGGAGGGTGTATGTGCCGAGGAATTTATCCATTTCTTCTAGATTTTCCAGTTTATTTGCGTAGAGGTGTTTATAGTATTCTCTGATGGTAGTTTCTATTTCTGTGGGATCGGTGGTGATATCCCCTTTATCATTTTTTTGTGTCTATTTGATTTTTCTCTCTTTTCTTCTTTATTAGTCTTGCTAGTGGTCTATCAATTTTGTTGATCCTTTCAAATAACCAGCTCCTGGATTCATTAATTTTTTGAAGGGTTTTTTGTGTCTCTATTTCCTTCAGTTCTGCTCTGATTTTAGTTATTTCTTGCCTTCTGCTAGCTTTTGAATGTGTTTGCTCTTGCTTCTTTAGTTCTTTTAATTGTGATGTTAGGGTGTCAATTTTGGATCTTTCCTGCTTTCTCTTGTGGGCATTTAGTGCTATAAATTTCCCTCTACACACTGCTTTGAATGTATCCCAGAGATTCTGGTATGTTGTGTCTTTGTTCTCGTTGGTTTCAAAGAACATCTTTATTTCTGCCTTCATTTCGTTATGTACCCAGTAGTCATTCAGGAGCAGGTTGTTCAGTTTCCATGTAGCTGAGCGGTTTTGAGTGAGTTTCTTAATCTTGAGTTCTAGTTTGATTGCACTGTGGTCTGAGAGACAGTTTGTTATAATTTCTGTTCTTTTACATTTGCTGAGGAGAGCTTTACTTCCAACTATGTGGTCAATTTTGGAATAGGTGTGGTGTGGTGCTGAAAAAAATGTATTTTCTGTTGATTTGGGGTGGAGAGTTCTTTAGATGTGTATTAGGTCCGCTTGGTGCAGAGCTGAGTTCAATTCCTGTGTATCCTTGTTAACTTTCTGTCTCGTTGATCTGTCTAATGTTCACAGTGGGGTGTTAAAGTCTCCCATTATTATTGTTTGGGAGTCTAAGTCTCTTTGTAGGTCACTCAGGACTTGCTTTATGAATCTGGGTGCTCCTGTATTGGGTGCATTTATATTTAGGATAGTTAGCTCTTCTTGTTGAATTGATCCCTTTACCGTTATGTAACGGCCTTCTTTGTCTCTTTTGATCTTTGTTGGTTTAAAGTCTGTTTTATCAGAGACTAGGATTGCAACCCCTGCCTTTTTTTGTTTTCCATTTGCTTGGTAGATCTTCCTCCATCCTTTTATTTTGAGCCTATGTGTGTCTCTGCACGTGAGATGGGTTTCCTGAATACAGCACACTGATGGGTCTTGACTCTTTATCCAATTTGCCAGTCTGTGTCTTTTAATTGGAGCATTTAGTCCATTTACATTTAAAGTTAATATTGTTATGTGTGAATTTGATCCTGTCATTATGATGTTAGCTGGTTATTTTGCTCGTTAGTTGATGCAGTTTCTTCCTAGCCTTGATGGTCTTTACGTTTTGGCATGATTTTGCAGTGGCTGGTACCGGTTGTGCCTTTCCATGTTTAGTGCTTCCTTCAGGAGCTCTTGTAAGGCAGGCCTGGTGGTGACAAATTCTCTCAGCATTTGCTTGTCTGTAGAGTATTTTATTTCTCCTTCACTTACATTTTAAAAATCATTTTAAACTGTTGCAAAACTTTTGATTTCCAGTGCATTATAAATGTTGACATTTGTAATGAAATTTAAATATATCCAGTAGATCTATAAATATTGTTAACAGTTTGATACCCACCACCATTCATTTAATAAACATACTTTTCAATGACATTTGGATGGAGATATATATATACACATATATATATTTTTAAGTGAGACAGGGTCTCTCTCTGTTGCCCAGACTGGAGTGTAGTGGTGCGATCACAGCTTACTGCAGCCTCCACCTCCCTGGGTCAAGCAATTCTCCTGCCTCACCCTCCTGAGTAGCTGGGACTACAGGCACATGCCACCATACCTGGCTAATTTTTATTTTTATTTTTTTTTGGTAGAGACAGGGTCCTCCTATGTTTCCCTGGCTGGTCTCAAGCTCCTGGCTTCAAGCAGTCCTACCGCCTCATCTTTCCAAAGTACTGGTATTACTGGTGTGAGCCACCACACCTGGCCACGTTTGGATATTTTATATTGCTCTTTTTTTTTTCTATCTTCATTCCTCCTCAGAATTTTATCTTAGCATAATATTTTGAGGTTCAAAGTCATCTCCCTATTACACATATCTACAATGACAAAAAGAATATAGATAGAATTTAAAGTTTTATAATCCTGTGGCTATCAGCCTCTGTCTTAGAAAAGCTTCAGGACTGACTTACCATTACAATTAGTATTGGTAAACAATTAATCAAAACAACAATAAATGTTACAGGGTTGGGTAATTAACTATTAAACATAAAAGCTACATTTATTAGATTTCTTAGTGACATGGATGGAGCATTTTGTTGTTGATTATATATTCTGTATTGACAAATATTACAGATTGCTAGAGATAGAATTTAGTATAAATTTCATTCCTATTAGGTCAACTTTTTTTTACGTAAAGAAGTAATTAAGGTGGGAATCATTTTCTTACAGCAGTGTTTCTCAGTTTTTTGAACTCTCAAGCTTTAAGCCAAAAATTACATGGTGATCTGACAGCAAAAACTATTTTAATGATTTATTAATGATATTAGGTCACCTCCAGTTTTGTTGAATGCAAATAGTTAGAAACCTCTGGTTGCCCCAAAGGATTTATTACCCATTCATTAGAGACATTGGCTTTCTTAATAAAGATAGCAATATTTCTGATTACCTTTGTTTGGTGCCCTGGAGGTTATATTAGGTGGGACAGTGCATTTAATAACAATACAGGATGGGTGAGCAGTCAGGCCCTTTGTGAAGTGGGAGAAGGGTGATGTGAAGTGGGGTGGGGCGGGGGTGGGGGGCAGAGCGAGAGAGAAGCATGGAGAACCTGCCCCTATCCAAGTGGATCAGTTTTAGGAAAGCTTATGCCGTATGTAGGGATGCCAAGGGTCTGGGAATTTATTCCCTAACTTAAAGTTATCTGCATTCACATATTCCATGGAGAGTTGTATGCATTCAGGTATCATGCACTCCCAGTCTGAAAAACTGCTCTTTTGGTTGAAAGAGTATAAGGACTTGGAAGATGGGGCCTCTAGGCCTGACTGAGCCAAAGGCTCCCATGACCTCAAGGGAACTGACTAGTGCTTTTTTCATTTTTTACTGCGTTCTGGGTCCCACCCTTGGCATTCAGATGTGTGCATGAGCTGCTGTTTAATTTTCATCATCTGCTTTACAAATGAGGAAAAGCCCTGATATCCAGCTCCCTCATAGGACCTGATAATAATACATATGGTTCTGAGAATTAAACGAGGTAATAGGTACGTAAAGTGGGTAAACAGAGTAACTTCACTCTCTATTTGTACGTCTCTCAGAAGTCTGGGGCAACAGGAGCTGTGGAAGGCTCCAGAAGACAAGATGTCACAAAGCCACCTAGCTACTGTGGCTGTACCAATCCTGACAGTCATAGCGGCCCCAAGGTGCTGCTCTGTTGGCTGATGGGAATGCAGATTTACGTATGGTCCATATATGGACGTGTTGTTTTACATCTAAATAAACTTGGCATTGCAAGATGAAAATGCCAGTATCATTTTTAAAGGTCAAGTGACAGTTTGGGAAGATTTTTATAACTTTGATAAGTTCCTCAGCTACATCTGTTCACACTGGCAAGAGTGCTAGAGACATTCTTGGGAAGTCTTTTCTATCAGAGGAGCTGCAGCCTTGCTCTGCAGAAAAGTTCTGATGACAGTCATCAGAGTATTTGGGGCTCATGCACTAACTGTTAATTATTTTCATTTTTCATTAATGAAAATTTATTTTAATTTTTTTCATTCTTCTTTAATGAATTTAACTATTTGCCTCTACCTTTGCTTCCTGCTTTGTATACTGATAAGACAGGTTTTGGGGTTTTTATGTTTTCTGGTCTTGCTTTTCCCCTTTGTTTTAGGATTTAAAAAACAAAAAGGTTAAGAGGGTAGGTTGACAGTGCTTGCAGTTTCTGTTTTACAGCAATCCCAGCTGTTCCTCTGAAAATTGGTTGATTGTCCTATAGTTTAAAATATATAGATGTTCATTTGATTGGCTCTTGTAAATCTAGTGACATTTAAAAGTACATGGCAGCTAGTCATGGTGGCTCACACTTATAATCCCAGCACTTTGGGAGGCTCAGGCAGGAGGATGGCTTAGCCCAGGAGTTCGAGACCAGCTTGGGTAACATCATGAGACCCCAACTCTACAAAAATTTTTAAATAGTTGTGAGTGGTGGCATGTGCCTGTACCCTCAGCTACTTGAGAGGCTGAGGTGGGAGGATTGTTTGAGACCTGGAGTTTGAGGTTGTGGTGCTCTATGATTGCACCACTACACTCCAGCCTGGATGATAGACTGAGACCCTGTCTCAAAAAAGAAAAAGAAAAAAGTTCATGTCTATTCTGTTTTTTGTTATGTTACTTTCCTCTAAACATGAAGAAAAGCAGTGAGGAGAAACAAAAATTGAGTATTCCTGTGTTTTTTATCATAGTAAAATATACATTTGCCATTTTATATTTATCCTGATAACCTTCAGTGTTGTAAAATACACATTCACAATTATTCATTTAACCTGATAACCTCTAATCTCTTTTCCATGAATCGGACTAGGTACCTCATATAAGTGGAATCATACCATATTTATACTTTTGTGTCTGGTTTATTTCACTTAATGTCCTTAAGGTTCATCCACATTGTAGCATGTCTCAGAATTTAATTCCTTTTTGGGGCTGAATAACATTCTATTATATGTATATTCCACATTTTGCTTATCCATTCATCTCTTGATAGGAAGTTGTGTTGCTTTCACATTTTACCTATTGTGAATAATACTGGTACCAATATTAGTGTACACATAATCTGAGTCCCTGCTTTCCGTTCTTTTGGGTATATACACAGAAGTAAAATTGCTAGACACAATGGTACTTCTATGTCAGTTTTTTGAAGAACTACCCTACTGTTTTCCATAGCAGTTACACCATTTTACATTTCTATCACCAGACCACGAGGGTAACAATTTCTCCACACCTTAGCCACCACTTGTTATTTTTTGTTTTTTGGGTAATAGCCATGCAAAAAAATATGAAGTAAAGTGAAATATCATTATGAAAGGTGTGAAGTGATATGTCTTTGTGATTTTGATTTGCATCTCTCCTATAATTAGTGATGTTGAACATCTTTTCATGTGCTTATTGGCCATTTGTCTGTCTTCTTTGGGGAAATATCTCTTCAAGCCTATTCTGCCCATTTTTGAATTGGGTTTTGTTGTTTTTAGGAATTCTTTAGATATTTTGGATATTAGTCACTTATCAGATATGTGATTTGCAAATGAGGATGGCCTTTTTATTTTGTTGATTGTGTTCTTTGCACAATAGTTTTTATTTTTGATGAAATATAATTTTCTATTTTGTGCTTTTGGTGTTATATATCTAAGAAATCATGCCAAATTCAATGTCATGAAGGCTTTCTCCTGTTTTCTTCTAATAGTGTGTAGTTTTAGCTCTTTTGTACGTGGTGTTGGGTAAGGGTTCAACTTCATCCTTTTGCATGGGAATATCCAGTTTTTTTCCCAGCTGCATTTGTCAAAAAGACTCTTCTTTCTTCCGTTGAATGATCTCAGTGGAAGTCACTGATCTCATCAAAAATCACTGACCATATGTGGGAGCATAACCACCTGATGGGTTCTTCTTGCCTGCTGCCCAAATATAGCTGGTTTATCAAGATGGGAATTGCAATAGAGAAAGAGCTTTACACATGTACAGCTGGCTAAATGGGAGACTGGAGCTTTATTATTAAATAAATAAGCCTCCCCCAAAATTTGGATGCTAGGGTTTTCTCTTTTTTTTTCTTTTTTTATTATTATACTTTAAGTTCTAGGGTACATGTGCACAACGTGCAGGTTTGTTACATATGTATATATGTGCCACGTTGGTGTGCTGCACCCATTAACTCATCATTTACATTAGGTATTCTCCTAATGCTATCCCTTCCCCCTCCCCCCAACCCACTACAGGCCCCAGTGTGTGATGTTCCCCACCATGTGTCCAAGTGTTCTCATTGTTCAGTTCCCACCTATGAGTGAGAACATGTGGTGTTTGGTTTTCTGTGCTTGAGATAGTTTGCTCAGAATGATGGTTTCCAGCTTCATCCATGTCCCTACAAAGGACATGAACTCACTCTTTTTTATGGCTGCATAGTATTCCATGGTGCATATGTGCCACATTTTCTTAATCCAATCTGTCATTGATGGACATTTGGGTTGGTTCCAAGTCTTTGCTATTGTGAATAGTGCCGCAATAAACATACGTGTGCATGTGTCTTTATAATAGCATGATTTATAATCCTTTGGGTATATAACCAGTAATGGGATGGCTGGGTCAAATGGTATTTCTAGTTCTAGATCCTTGAGGAATCACCACACTGTCTTCCACATGGTTGAACGAGTTTACACTCCCACCAACAGTGTAAAAGTGTTCCTATTTCTCCCATCCTCTCCAGCACCTGTTGTTTCCTGACTTTTTAATGATCGCCATTCTAACTGGTGTGAGATGGTATCTCATTGTGGTTTTGATTTGTATTTCTCTGATGGCCGGTGATGATGAGCATTTTTTCGTGTGTCTGTTGGCTGCATGTCTTTTGAGAAGTGTCTGTTCATATCCTTCGCCCACTTTTTGATGGGGTTGTTTGATTTTTTCTTGTAAATTTGTTTAAGTTCTTTGTAGATTCTGGATATTAGCCCTTTGTCAGATGGGTAGATTGCAAAAATATTCTCCCATTCTGTGGGTTGCCTATTCACTCTGATGGTAGTTTCTTTTGCTGTGCAGAAGCTCTTTAGTTTAATTAGATGCCATTTGTCAATTTTGACTTTTGTTGCCATTGCTTTTGGTGTTTTAGTCATGAAGTCCTTGCCTATGCCTATGACCTGAATGGTATAGCCTACGTTTTCTTCTAGGGTTCTTATGGTTTTAGGTCTTACATTTAAGTCTTTAATCCATCTTGAATTAATTTTTGTATAAGGTGTAAGGAAGGGATCCAGTTTCATCTTTCTACATATGGTTAGCCAGTTTTCCCAGCACCATTTATTAAGTAGGGAATCTTTTCCCCATTTCTTGTTTTTGTCAGGTTTGTCAAAGATCAGATGGTTGTAGATGTGTGGTATTATTTCTGAGGGCTCTGTTCTGTGCCATTGGTCTATATCTCTGTTTTAGTATCAGTACCATGCTATTTGGTTACTGTAGCCTTATAATATAATTTGAAGTCAGGTAGCAAGATGCCTCCAGCTTTGATCTTTTTGCTTAGGATTGTCTTGGCAATGTGGGCTCTTTTTTGGTTCCATATGAACTTTAAAGTAGTTTTTTCCAATTATGTGAAGAAAGTCATTGGTAGCTCAATGGGGATGGCAGTTAATCTATAAATTACCTTGGGCAGTATGGCCATTTTCACAATACTGATTCTTCCTATCCATAAGCATGGAATGTTCTTCCATTTGTTTGTCCTCTTTTATTTCATTGAGCAGTGGTTTGTAGTTCTCCTTGAAGAGGTCCTTCACATCCCTTGTAAGTTGGATTCCTGGGTGTTTTATTCTCTTTGAAGCAATTGTGAATGGGAGTTCACTCATGATTTGTCTCTCTGTCTGTTTTTGGTGTATAGGAAAGCTTGTGATTTTGCACATTGATTTTGTATCCTGAGACTTTGCTGAAGTTGCTTATCAGCTTAAGGAGATTTTGGGCTGAGACGATGGGGTTTTCTAAATATACAGTCATGTCATCTGCAAACAGAGACAATTTGACTTCCTGTTTTCGTGATTGAATAGCTTTTATTTCTTTTTTTAAATATATATTTTTATTATACTTTAAGTTCTAGGGTACATGTGCACAATGTGCAGGTTTTTACATATGTATACATGTGCCATGTTGGTGTGCTGCACCCATTAACTCGTCATTTACATTAGGTATATCTCCTAATGCTATCCCTCCCCCCTCTCCCTACCCTGGTGTGTGAAGTTCCCCTTCCTGTGTCCAAGTGTTCTCATTGTTCAATTCCCACCTATGAGTGAGAACATGCGGTGTTTGGTTTTTTGTCCTTGCGATAGTTTGCTGAGAATGATGGTTTCCAGCTTCATCCATGTCCCTACAAAGGACATGAACTCATCCTTTTTTATGGCTGCATAGTATTCCATGGTGTATATGTGCCATGTTTTCTTAATCCAGTCTATCATTGTTGGACATTTGGTTTGGTTCCAAGTCTTTGCTATTGTGAATAGTGCCTCAATAAACATACATGTGCATGTGTCTTTATAACAGCATGATTTATAATCCTTTGGGTATATACCCAGTAATGGGATGGCTGGGTCAAATGGTATTTCTAGTTCTAGATCCCTGAGGAATCACCACACTGTTTTATTTCTTTCTCCTGCCTGCCAGCTCCTCCTGGTACCTCTGATAGAATTCAGCTGTGAATATGTCTGGTCTGTGGCTTTTCTTGCTTGGTACACTATTAATTATTGCCTCAATTTCAGAGCCTGTTATTGGTCTATTCAGGGATTCAACTTCTTCCTGGTTTAGTCTTGGGAGGTTGTATGTGTCCAGGAATTTTTCTATTTCTTCTAGATTTTCTAATTTATTTGTGTAGAAGTGTTTATAGTATTCTCTGATGGTAGTTTGTATTTCCGTGGGATTGGTGGTGATACCCCCTTTATCATTCTTATTACATCTATTTGATTCTTCTCTCTTTTCTTCCTTATTAGTCTGCTAGTGGTCTATCAATTTTGTTGATCTTTTCAAAAAACCAATTCCTAGATTCATTGATTTTTTGAAGTTTTTTTTTTTGTGTCTCTGTCGCCTTCAGTTCTGGTCTGATCTTAGTTATTTCTTGCGTTCTGCTAGCTTTTGAATGTGTTTGCTCTGGCTTCTCCAGTTCTTTTAATTGTGATGTTAGGGTGTCGATTTTCAGTCTTTCCTGCTTTCTCTTGTGGGCATTTAGTGCTATAAATTTCCCTCTACACACTGCTTTGAATGTGTCCCAGAGATTCTGGTATGTTGTGTCTTTGTTCTCGTTGGTTTCAAAGAACATCTTTATTTCTGCCTTCATTTCATTATGTACCCAGTAGTCATTCAGGAGCAGGTTGTTCAGTTTCCATGTAGTTGTGCAGTTTTGAATGAGTTTCTTAATTCTGAGTTCCAATTTGATTGCACTATGGTCTGAGAGAGTTTGTTGTGATTTCTGTTCTTTTACATTTGCTGAGGAGTGCCTTACTTCCAACTAAGTGGTTAATTTTGGAGTAAGTGCAATGTGGTGCTGAGAAGAAAGTATATTCTGTTAATTTTGGGTGGAGAGTTCTGTATGTGTCTATTAAGTCCACTTGGTGCAGAGCTGAGTTCAAGTCCTGGATATCCTTGTTAACCTTCTGTCTCATTGATCTAATATTGACAGTGGAGTGTTAAGGTCTCCCATTATTGTCTCCCATTATTATTGTTTGGGAGTCTAAGTCTCTTTGTAGGTTTCTAAGGACTCGCTTTATGGATCTGGGTGCTCCTGTATTGGGTGCATATATATTTAGGATAGTTAGCTCTTGTTGTTGAATTGATCCCTTTACCATTATGTTAACGGCCTTCTTTGTCTCTTTTGATCTTTGTTGGTTTAAAGTCTGTTTTAGCAGAGACTAGGATAGCAACCCCCGGTTTTTTTGCTTTCCATTTGCTTGGTAGATCTTCCTCCATCCCTTTATTTTGAGCCTATGTGTGTCTCTGCATGTGAGATGGGTCTCCTGAATACAGCACACTGATGGGTCTTGACTCTTTATCCAATTTGCCAGTCTGTGTCTTTTAATTGGGGCTTTTAGCCCATTTACATTGAAGGTTAATATTGTTATGTGTGAATTTGATCCTGTCATCATGATGTTAGCTGGTTATTTTGCTCATTAGTTGATGCAGTTTCTTCATAGCATCGATGGTCTTTACAATTTGGCCTATTTTTGCAGTGGCTGGTACTGGTTGTTCCTTTCCATGTTTAGTTCTTCCTTCAGGAGCTCTTGTAAGGCAGGCCTGGTGGTGACAAAATCTCTCAGCATTTGCTTGTCTGTAAAGGATTTTATTTCTCCTTCACTTATGAAGCTTAGTTTGGCTGGATATGAAATTCTGGGTTAAAAATTCTTTTCTTTAAGCATGTTGAATATCGGCCCCCTCTCTCTTCTGGCTTGTAGTGTTTCTGCTGAGAGATCTGCTGTTAGTCTGATGGGCTTCCCTTTGTGGGTAACCCGACCTTTCTCTCTGGCTGCCCTTACCATTTTTTCCTTCATTTCAACCTTGGTGAATCTGACAATTATGTGTCTTGGGATTCCCCTTCTGGAGGAGTATCTTTGTGGCGTTCTGTGTATTTCCTGAATTTGAATGTTGGCCTGCCTTGCTAGGTTGGGGAAGTTCTCCTGCATAATATCCTGAAGAGTGTTTTCCAACTTGGTTCCATTCTCCCCGTCACTTTCAGGTACACCAATGAAACGTAGATTTGGTCTTTTCACATAGTCCCATATTTCTTGGAGACTTTGTTCATTTCTTTTTACTCTTTTGTCTCTAAACTTCTCTTCTCACTTCATTTCATTCATTTGATCTTCAATCTCTGATACCCTTTCTTCCAGTTGATCGAGTCAGCTACTGAAGCTTGTGCATTCGTCACGTATTTCTCATGCCATGGTTTTCAGCTCCATCAGGTCATTTAAGATCTTCTCTATGCTGTTTATTGTAATTAGCCATTTGTCTAATCGTTTTTCCAGGTTTTTAGCTTCTTTGAGATGGGTTCGAACACCCTCCTTTAGCTCGGAGAAGTTTGTTATTACCAATCTTCTGAAGCCTACTTCTGTCAACTCATTAAAGTCATTCTCCATCCAGCTTTCTTCCTTTGCTGGCGAGGAGCTGCGATCCTTTGGAGAAGAGTCGCTCTGATTTTTAAAATTTTTGGCTTTTCTACTCTGTTTTCTCCGCATCTTTGTGGTTTTATCAAACTTTGGTCTTTGATGATGGTGACCTACAGATGGGGTTTTGGTGTGGATGTCCTTTTTGTTGATGTTGATGCTAGTTTTGTTGATGCTTTGTTAGTTTTCCTTCTAACATTCAGGACCCTCAGCTGCAGGTCTTTTGGAGTTTGCTGGAGGTCTACTCCAGACGCTGTTTGCCTGGGTGTCACCAGCAGAGGCTGCAGAACAACAAATATTGCAGAACGGCAAATGTTGCTGCCTGATCCTTCCTCTGGAACCTTCATCTCAGAGGGGCACCTGGCTGTATGACGTGTCAGTCGGCCCCTACTGGGAGGTGTCTCCCACTGGGCTACTCAGGGGTCAGGGACCCACTTGAGGAGGCAGTCTGTCCATTCCCAGATCTCAGACTCTGTGCTGGGAGGACCACTGCTCTCTTCAAAGCTGTCAGACAGGGACGTTTAAGTCTGCAGGTTTCTGCTGCCTTTTGTTAAGTTATGCCCTGCCCCCAGAAGTGGAGTCTACAGAGGCAGGCAGGCCTGGTTGAGCTCTGGTGGGCTCCACCCAGTTTGAGCTTTCTGGCCGCTTCGTTTACCTAGTCAAGCCTCAGCAATGGCAGACGCCCCTCCCCCAGTCTTGGGGCCGTCTTGCAGTTTGATCTCGGACTGCTGTGCTAGCAGTAAGCAAGGCTCCATAGGTGTGGGAACCGCCGAGCCAGGCACGGGTTATAATCTCCTGGTGTGCCGTTTGCTAAGACCATTGGAAAAGCGCAGTATTAGGGCGGGAGTGTCCCGAGTTTCCAGGTACCATCTGTCACGGCTTCCCTTGGCTAGGAAAGGGAATTCCCTGACCCCTTGTGCTTCCAGGGTGAGGTGATGCCCCGCCCTACTTTGGCTCACACTCCATGGCCTGCACCCACTGTCCAACAAGTCCCAGTAAGATGAACCCAGTACCTTAGTTGGAAATGCAGAAATCTCCTGTCTTCTGCGTCACTCACGCAGATGCATGAGCTGTAGACTAGAGCTGTTCCTCTTCGGCCATCTTGTAACGATCCTGCTAGGGTTTTTTCAAGGATAGTTTGGCAGGGAGAGAGATGACAAAGGAATGAGTGCTGCTGATTGGTTGGCGGTGCAATCACAGAGGTGTGGGAAATGATCCTTATGCTGAGTCCACTTCTGGGCGAAGGCCGCAGGACTGGTTGGCAGGTCAGGTGGTGCCATCTGGTTGTCAGAATTGCAAAAGCCTGAAAAGACATCTCAAAAGGCCAACCTCAGGATCTATAATAGTGATATTACCTGCAGGAGTAATTGAGGAAGTTGCGAATCTTGTGATTTGCAGAATAATGACTGGTAATTGTTCACATCTATGTCTTAGTAGAATTGAGGCTCCTCTCATTCTCCCATTCTGGTGGTCTTTCATTAGTTTTACGAAAGTAGTTTAGTTTGGGGGAAGGGCTATTATCATTTAAACTACAAACTAAATTTCTTCCAAAGTTAGCTTGACCCAATCCCAGGAATGACTAAGGGCATTTGGAGGGTAAAGGCAAGATGCAGGCTGGTTGGATCAGATCTCCTTCACTGTCATAATTTTCTCACTGTTTTAAGTTTTGCAAGGGTGGTTGCATAGGGTTTATTTCTGGGCTCTCTATTCTAGTCCATTGGTCTATATTTCTGTCTTTATGCCAGTACCACATTGCTTTGATTAATGTAGCTTTGTTATAAGTTTTGAAATTGGAAAGTGTGACTTACTTATTCTTTTCAAGATTCTTTTGGCTATTCAGGGTGCCTTGAGATTCCATGTGAATTTTAAGATGTATTATTATTCTGTTACTGCAAAAAACATCATTGGGATTTTGATAGAGATTGCATTGACTCTGTAGATCTTCTTTAGTAGTTTTGACATTTAGCAATATTAACTCTTCCAATCCATAAATATGGAATTTTGTTCCATTTATCTTTGTGGTCTTTAATTTCTTTCACCAGTGTTTCATAGTTTTTAGTGTATATGGTTTTTGCCTCCTTGGTTAAGTTTATTTATGATTTTTTATGCTGGTAGGTTTTATTTTTTAAATTTTGGGGGAAGTGTTTTATTAATACAAATGTATGGGTTACAAGTGCAATTTTGTTACATGTATAGATTGTATAGTGGTGATGTCAGGACTTTTATGGTATCCATCACTCAAATAACTTCCATTGTACCCATTAAGTACACCCCACTCCCACCTGTTAAGTTTTAATAAGTTGGTTTAGTCTCTGTTCTGTCTCTGAAAAATGTCAGATACTACTAACAGAACTAAAAAATCCAGGACTGAGAGAAACTTTAAGTACATACAACAATATAAACAGATCTTAAAAATATGATACAGCATAGAAAAATGGAAACCAAAACATATTCCACAATGTCATTCAGTACTTTTAAATTACTACACAGAAAGTGTTATACATTTCACAAAAATGTATAAGAATAGCACACACAAATTATCAACAAAATAATACAGGGTTTTCTGAATTGTCTACCTGTGAGATGTTTCTAAGCAGGGTTTTATTATTGATTGATTGATTGAGACAGGGTCTGACTCTGTCGCCCAGATTGGAGTACAGTGGTGCAATCCTGGCTTGACCTCCTGGCTCAAGTAATCCTTCCACCTCAGCATCCCAAGCAGCTGGGACTATAGGTTCACACAACCATGCCTGGCTACTTCTTTAAAAAAATTTTTGTAGAGAGTCTCACTACACTGCTCAGGTGGTCTCAAGCTCTTGGGCTCAAGCAATTCTGACACCTCAGCCTCCCAAAGTGCAGGGATTACGGGTGTGAGCCGTTGCACCTGGACTAAGCAGGGTTTTAAGTGACTTGGTTCTTGTTTATGTTGACACTAAACATGCATCAAAGATTAACCTTCTAAATTCTGGAACACAGAAAGAAGGGCAGCCCTTATTTCAGGGCTGGGCTGATGATAGAATTTACTTGATGCAGTTTTTCATAGAAAGATATGTGTCTTTTTGTTTTAAACATATAAGAAAAGAGTTTCCACTGTTTACCTGGTACTAGGTCCCAATGTCTAAACCAAGTTTGGAGAATCACATCCTCTGAGCAGCCTATGTTGATGATGATGCTGATGACAATGATGACAGAAGACACTTATATGGTACTTATTTATGTAGCAGAACCATAGTCCTTTATATGTTTTAACTCATTTAATATTCAAAACAACCCTATGACATGGTACATTGATGTTGTTATACCCATTTATATGTGTGGAAATGGTCATACAGTGTCTTATTAATTTGCCTGAGGCCACACAGCTAATTAGTGGTGGATCTGAGGTTGGATTTCTAGGAGCCAGATTCACAAATCCAACACTGCACTTTGCTTTTTCTCTATTGTCTATCGCTCATTGATTTTTTTATTCTCAATTTTATTTCCTTCCTTTATTTTTGGTTTAATTTTCTCTTCTTTTTTTAGTTTCTTGAGATGAAAACTTAGATCTTTGATTTTTCTACCTCTCTTCTTTTCAATATTTATTATGCTTAAAGCTTTACACTTCACCCTAGGCATTGTTTTTGTTGCATCCCACATATTTTGATGCTGTATTTTTATATTCAGAATATTTTCTAATTTATATTTATTTGTTCATTTTAAAAATAATTTTACTAAATAATATAAAATGCTAATTTTGAAATACTTAGGATTTTCTTACATTTGGTTTTGATTTCTAATTTAATTCTATGTGGTTTTAAAATATAGTTTCACTCAATTGAAATTTATTGATTTACTTTATATTCCTGCATATGGTTGATACTGGTGCATGTTGCATGTACACTTAAATAACATTTATTCTGCGATTGTTGGATACAGTGTTCTATATTTGTCAATTAGATTGAGTGCTGCTCAGATGTTCTATATTCCTACAGATATTTCATGTGCTTATTCTATAAAATACAAATTGTTAATGTTTCTGATTAGGACTAGAAGACTTTTCTTTTACCTTTTAAATATATTTTTTATTTTATGTATTTTGAAACTATGTTATTTGGTGCCTATACACTTAGATTTTTTTCTTGAGGAATTGATCCTTTATCATTATGAAATATCCTTCAGGCACCCCGCTCCCACAGATGTATGCATCTTGCTGTACCCCTGCTTCTGCTGGCACAAATGCACAGGCATGGATCCTGCTGCCACCACCTTGATGAAGTGTGTGGCCAGCACCCCCATCAGAGTACTGTTACCAGCATACTGGGAATACCTTGCCCCCAGAGTGCAGCAGCTTTCTAACCTCTATGGGGCAGAGAACAAAGTTGGGGGGCCCAGTACCAGCCCATCAGCGTTACATCACATAGCCCATGAGTGATGAGCTGAGCCTTGGTGCCCTGAAAGCATTCAGAATGAAGCCAGTCAACTGAACCGACATTATACCACAATCAAACCCTCAAGAATATCAAAGAATATAAAAGTAAAAAGCCCTATCCAAAGGATAGCAACTTCAAAGATTAAAGGAATGTCAGCCCACACAGATGAGAAAGAATCAATGCAAGAACTCTGGCAATTCAAAAAACTAGAGTGCCTTCTTACCTCCAGACAACCCCACTGGTTCCCTAGCAATGGTTCTTAACAAAACTGAAATGACAGAGATAGAATTGAGAATCTGGATAGAAAAAAGATCATTGAGATTCAGGAGAAAGTTGAAACCCAATCCAAGGAATCTAAGGAATCCAATAAAACAATACAAGAGATGAAACGAAATAGCCATTTTAAGAAAGAACCAAACTGAACTGATAGAGCTGAAAAACTCACTACAAGAATTTCATAATGCAATCACAAGCATTGTTAACATCAGAATAGACTACTAACATCAGAATAGACCAAGCTGAGGAAAGAATCTCAGAGCTTGAAGACTGGTTCCTCAAATCAACTCAGACAAAAATAATGAACAAATAATTAAAAAGAGTGAACAAAACCACTGAGAAATATGAGATTAGGTAGAGACCAAATCTGTGACTCATTGACATCCCTGAAAGAGAGAGAGAAAAAGCAATTTTTCCAGCCTTGCTAGAGAGGCCAAAATTCAAATTCAGGAAATGCAGAAAACCCCTGTGAGATACTATACAAGACAACCATCCCCAAGACATGTAGGCATCAGATTCTCCAACGTCAACATCAAAGAAAAAATACTAAGGCAGCTAGAGAAAAGGGGCAGGTCACCTACAAAGGGATTCCGATGAGGCTAACAGAAGACCTTTCAGCAAAAGCACTACAAGCCAGGAGAGATTTGGAGACCTATGTTCAGCAAAAAAAATTCCAACCAAGTATTTCCTGTGCAGCAAGACTAAGCTTAATAAGCAAAGGAGAAACAAGATCCTTTTCAGACAAGCAAATGCTAAGAGAATTCATTACCACCAGACATGCCTTACAAGAGGTCCTTAAGTGAGTGCCAAATATGGAAACAAAAGACTGTTACTGGCCACCACAAAAATATACTTAAGGACTAGACCTCTGAACACTATAAAGCAATTACGCTATCAAGTCTGCATAATATCCAGCTGACATCATGATGACAGGATCAAATCAACACATATAAGTATTATCCTTAAAAGTAAACATGCAAAATGCCTGACTTAAAAAGTACAGAATGGCAAATTTGATAAAGAAATAAGACACATGGAGAGTTGCTCCAAATGGCAGGATAGGAACAGTTCTGGTCTACAGCTCCCAGCAAGATCAATGCAGAAGACAGGTAATTTCTGCATTTCCAACTGAGGTACCTGGTTCATCTCATTGGGATTGGTTGGACAGTGGGTGCAGCCCATGGAGGGCAAGCCGAAGCAGGGCGGGGCATCCCTCACCGAGGAAGTGCAAGGGGTCAGGGGATTTCCCTTTCCTATCCAAGGGAAGCCATGAGTGACTGTACCTAGAGGAAAAGTACACTCCTGCTCAAATACTGCACTTTTCCCACGGTATTCGCAACAGGCAGACCGGAAGATTCCCTCCCATGCCTGCTCGGTGGGTCCCACGCTCATGGTGCCTTGCTCACTGCTAGCACAGCAGTCTGAGATCGACCTGGGATGCTGGAGCTTGGTGGGTGGGGAGCGGCGTCCACCATTGCTGAGGCTTGAGTAAGCGGTTCTATGCTCACAGCGTAAACAAAGCAGCAGGGAAGCTTGAACTGGACGGAGCCCACTGCAGCTCAGCAAGGCCTACTGCCTCTGTAGATTCTACCTCGGGGGCAGGGCATATCTGAAAAAAATGCCGCAGACAGCTTCTGCAGACTTAAACATCCCTGCCTGACAGCTCTGAAGAAAGCAGTGGTTCTCCCAGCACGGGGGCGTTCAAGCTCTGATAACGGACAGACTACCTCCTCAAGTGGGTCCCTGACCCCTGTGTAGCCTGATTGGGGGATACCTCCCAGTAGGGGCCAACAGACATCTCATACAGGCGGGTGCCCCTCTAGGACGAAGCTTCCAGAGGAAGGATCAGGCAGCAATATCTGCTGTTCTGCAGCCTCCATTGGTGATACCGAGGCAAACGGTCTGGAGTGGAACTCCAGCAAACTCCAACAGACCTGCAGCTGAGGGGACTGTCTGTTAGAAGGAAAACTAACAAAGAGGAATAGCATCAACATCAGCAAAAAGGACATCCACACGAAAACCCCATCCGTAGGTCACCAACATCAAAGACCAAAGGTAGATAAAACCACAAAGATGGGGAGAAACCAGAGAAGAAAGGCTGAAAATTCCAAAACCAGAACGCCTTTCTTCTCCAAGGATCACAACTCCTCGCCAGCAAGGGAACAAAACTGGACAGAGAATGAATTTGATGAGTTGACAGAAGTAGGCTTCAGAAGGTCGGTAATAACAAACTTCTCCAAGCTAAAGGAGCATGTTCTAACCAATCGCGAGGAAGCTAAAAACCTTGAAAAAATGCTAGATGAATGGCTAACTAGAATACAATAACCAGTGTAGAGAAGAATATAAATGACATGATAGAGCTTAAAACCATAGTACAAGAACTTTATGAAACATACACAAGCTTCAATAGCTGATTCAATCAAGCGAAAGAAAGGATATCAGTGATTGAAGATCAAATTAATGAAATAAAGCAAGAAGACAAGATTAGAGAAAAAAGAGTGAAAAGAAACGAATAAAGCCTCCAAGAAATACGGGACTATGTGAAAAGACCAAATCTACGTTTGATTGGTGTACCTGAAAGTGACAGGGAGAATGGAACCAGGTTATAAAACACTCTTCAGGATATTATGCAGGAGAACTTCCCCAACCTAGCAAGGCAGGCCAACATTCAAATTCAGGAAATACAGAGAACACCACAAAGATACTCCTCGAGAAGAGCAACCCCAAGACACATAATTGTCAGATTCACCAAGGTTGAAATGAAGGAAAAAATGTTAAGGGCAGCCAGAGAGAAAGGTCGGGTTACCCACAAAGGGAAGCCCATCAGACTAACAGCAGATCTCTCAGCAGAAACACTACAAGCCAGAAGAGAGAGGGGGCCGATATTCAACATGCTTAAAGAAAAGAATTTTTAACCCAGAATTTCATATCCAGCCAAACTAAGCTTCATAAGTGAAGGAGAAATAAAATCCTTTACAGACAAGCAAATGCTGAGAGATTTTGTCACCACCAGGCCTGCCTTACAAAAGCTCCTGAAGGAAGAACTAAACATGGAAAGGAACAACCGGTACCAGCCACTACAAAAACATGACAAATTGTAAAGACCATCGATGCTATGAAGAAACTGCATCAATTGATGGGCAAAATAACCAGCTAACATCATAATGACAGGATCAAATTCACACATAACAATATTAACCTTCAATGTAAGTGGGCTAAATGCCCCAATTAAAAGACACAGACTGGCAAATTGGATAAAGAGTCAAGACCCTTGACTGTATTCAGGAGACCTATCTCACATGCAAAGACACACATAGGCTCAAATAAAGTGATGGAAGAAGATCTACCAAGCAAATGGAAAGCAAAAAAAAGGGTTTGCCATCCTGGTCTCTGATGAAACAGACTTTAAAGCAACAAAGATCAAAAGAGACAAAGAAGGCCGTTAACATAATGGTAAAGGGATCAATTCAACAAGAAGAGCTAACTATCCTAAATATATATGCACCCAATACAGGAGCACCCAGATTCATAAAGCAAGTTCTTAGAGACTAAGTCTACAAAGAGACTTAGACTCCCACACAATAATAATGGGAGACTTTAACACCCCACTGTCAATATTAGATGGATCAACGAGACAGAAAGTTAACAAGGATATCCAGGACTTGAACTCAGCTCTAGAGCAAGCAGAACTAATAGACATCTACAGAACTCTTCTTCCCAAATCAACAGAATATACATTCTCCTCAGCCCCACATCACACTTATTCTAAAATTGACCACATAATTGGAAGCAAAACACTGCTCAGCAAATATAAAAGAACAGAAATTACATCAAACTGTCTCTCAGACCGCAATGCAATCAAATTAGAACTCAGGATTAAGAAACTCACTCAAAACTGCACAACTGCATGGAAACTGAACAACCTGCTCCTGAATGACTACTGGGTAAATAACGAAATGAAGGCATAAATAACAATGTTCTGTGAAGCCAATAAGAACAAAGATACAACGTTCAAGAATCTCTGAGAAACATTTAAAGCAGTGTGTAGAGAGAAATTTACAGCACTAAGTGTCCACAGGAGAAAACAGGAAAGATCTAAAATCGACACCCTAACATTGCAATTATAAAAGAACTACAGAAGCAAGAGCAAATGAATTCAAAAGCTAGCAGAAGACAAGAAATAAATCAGAGCAGAACTAAAGGAGAGAGAGACACAAAAAACCCTTAAAAAAAATCAATGAACCCAGGAGCTGGTTTTCTGAAAAGAGCAACAAAATAATTACATGACAAGCAAGACTAATAAGGAAGAAAAGAGAGAAGAATCAAATAGACGCAATAAAAAATGATAAAGGGGATATCACCACCGATCCCACGGAAATACAAACTATCATCAGACAATACTATAAACACCTCTACGCAAATAAAATAGAAAATCTAGAAGAAATGGAAAAATTCCTTGACACATACACCCTCCCAAGACTAAACCAGGAAGAAGTTGAATCTCTAAATAGTTCAGTGACAGCTTCTGAAATTGAGGCAATAATTAATAGCCAACCAACCAAAAAAAGTCCAGGACCAGACAGACTCACAGCCAAATTCTACCAGGGGCACAAAGAGGAGCTAGTACCATTCCTTCTGAAACTATTCCAATCAATAGAAAAAGAGGGAATCTTCCCTAACTCATTTTATAAGGCCAACATCATCCTGATAACAAAGCCTCACAGAGACACAACAAAAAAAGATAATTTTAGGCCAACATCCCTGATGAACATCGATATGAAAATTTTCAAAAAAAAATACTGGCAAACCGAATCCAGCAGCCCATCAAAAAGCTTATCCACTACGATCAAGTCGACTTCATCCCTGGGATGGAAGGCTGGTTCAACATAGGCAAATCAATAAATGTAATCCATCACATAAACAGAACCAACGACAAAAACCACATGATTATCTCAATACATGCAGCAAAGGCCTTCAACAAAATTCAACAGCCTTTCATGCTAAAAACTCTCAATAAACTAGGTATTGATAGAATGTATCTCAAAACAGTAAGAGTTATTTATGACACACCCACAGCCAATATACTGAATGGGCAAAAACTGGAAGCATTCCCTTTGAAAACTGGCACAAGACAAGGATGCTCTCTCTCACCACTCCTATTCAACATCGTGTTGGAAGTTCTGGCCAGGGCAATAAGGCAAGAGAAATAAATAAATGGTATTCAATTAGGAAAAGAGGAAGTCAAATAGTCTGTTTGTAGATGACATGATTATATATGTAGAAAACCTCATCGTCTCAGCTCCAAATCTCCTTAAGCTGATAAACAACTTCAGCAAAGTATCAGGATACAAAATCAATGTACAAAAATCACAAGCATTCCTATCCACCAAGAACAGACAAACAGAGAGCCAAATCATGAGTGAACTCCCATTCCCAACTGCCTCAAAGAGAATAAAATACCTAGGAATCCAACTTACAAGGGATGTGAAGGACCTCTTCAAGGAGAACTACAAACCACTGCTCAATGAAATAAAAGAGGATACAAACAAATGGAAGAACATTCCATGCTCATGGATAGGGAGAATCACTATCATGAAAATGGCCATACTGCCCAAGGTAATTTAAAGATTCAATGCTATCCCTATCAAGCTATCACTGACTTCACAGAATTGGAAAAAAACTACTTTAAAGCTCATATGGAACCAAAAAAGAGCCCACATAGCCAAGACAATCCTGGGCAAAAAGAACAAAGCTGGAGGCATCACACTACCTGACTTCAAACTACACTACAAGGCTACAGTAACCAAAACAGCATGTTACTGGTACCAAAACAGACATGTAGACCAACGGAATAGAACAGAGGCCTCAGAAATAACACCACACATCTACAACCATCTGATATTTGACAAACCTGACAAAAACAAATCGGGAAAGGATTCCCTATTTAATAAATGGTGCTGGGAAAACAGGCTAGCCATATGTAGAAAGCTGAAACTGGATCCCTTCCTTACACCTTATACAAAAATTAACTCAAGATGGATAAAAGACTTGAATGTAATACCTAAAACCATAAAAACCCTACAAAAAAACCTAGGCAATACCCTTCAGTGCATAGGCATGGGCAAAGACTTTATGACTAAAACACCAAAAGCAGTGGCAACAAAAGCCAAAATTGACAAATGGCATCTAATTAAACTAAACAGCTTCTGCACAGCAAAATAAACTACCATCAGAGTGAATAGGCAACCTACAGAATGGGAGAAAAATTTTTCAATCTATCCATCTGACAAAGGGCTAATATTCAGAATGTACAAAGAACCTAAACAAATTTACAAGAAAAAAAAAACCACTGCATCAAAAAGTGGGCAAAGGATATGAACAGACACTTCTCAAAAGAAGACAGTTATGCAGCCAACAGACATATGAAAAAATGTCCATCATCACTGGTCATCAGAGAAATGCAAGTCAAAACCACAATGAGATACCATCTCATGCCAGTTAGAATGGCGATCATTAAAAAGCCAGGAAACCACAGATGCTGGAGAGGATGTGGAGAAATAGGAACACTTTTACACTGTTGGTGGGAGTGTAAATTAGTGCAACCATTGTGGAAGACAGTGTGGCGATTCCTCAAGGATCTACAACTATAAATACCATTTGACCCAGCAATCCCATTTGTGGGTATATACCCAAAGGATTATAAAGCATTCTACTATAAGGACACATGCACACATATGTTTATTGCAGCACTATTTACAATAGCAAAGACTTGGAACCAACCCAGATGTCCATCAATAATAGACTGGATATATAGTATTCTATGTCTGGTTAAAAAAAAAGTTATTCAATTTTATGGATTTGGATTAGGATCATTCCCATTTCTGTAAATATTTACACCTATAAGGATATCAAGAAGGAATGTCAGGCAGTTTACTAGTAACTTTTCAAAGTCTTAGAAAAGTTGCATTTTTTGCTGGCACCAAGAGGGGAAAACATCATAAAAATAGTTTCAAAATCTACAATCAATGCTTTCTCCAAAATAAATGTCTTTGTTAAAAAAAATAATAATAATAGACTGGATAAAGAAAATGTGGCACATATATACCATGGAATACTATGCAGCCATAAAAAAGGATGAGTTCATATCCTTTGTAGGTACATGGATGAAGCTGGAAATCATCGTTCTCAGCAAACTATCACAAGGACAGAAAACCAAACACCGCATGTTCTCACTCATAAGTGGGAGCTGAACTATGGGAACACGTGGACACAGAGAGGGGAACATCACACACCGGGGCCTGTCAGAGGGTGGGGGACTGGGGGAGAGGTAGTGTTAGGAGAAATACCTAATGTAAATGACGAGTTGATGGGTGCAGCATACCAGCATGGCACATGTATAACCACGTAACAAACCTGCATGTTGTGCACATGTACCCTTGAATTTAAAGTATAATTTAAAAAAAGAAGAAGAAATAAGTCACAATTGTATGCTGTCTTCAAGAGACCCATCTCATGCAGAGCTACCCATAGGCTCAAAATAAAGGTTTAAAGAAAAATCTACCAAGTAAATGGGAAAAGAAAACAGGAGTTACTATTCTAATTTTAGACAAAGCAGACTTTAAAGCAACAATGATCAAAAAAGACAAGCGCATGACATAATCATAAAGGGTTCAATTCAACAAGAAGACTTAAATATCCTAAATATATGTACCCAACACAGGAGCTTGCAGATTCATAGAACAAATTCTTAGAGACCTACAAAGAGACATGGATAACCACACGGTAATATTGGGAGACTTCAGCACCCCACTAACAGTATTCAATCATCAAGGCAGAACACTAACAAAGATACTTGGGACCTGAACTCAGTATTTGACTAAATGGACCCAACAGACATCTACAGAACTCTGCACTCCAAAACAACAGAATATACATTCTTCTCATCGCCACATGGCACATACTCTAAAGTCGACCACACAATCGGCCATAAGTCAATTCTTAGCAAATTAAAAACACAAGAATCACACTAACCACACTCTTGGACCATGGCGCAACAAAAGTAGAAATCAGCCCCAAGAAGATCATTCAAAACATACAGCTACATGCAAATCAAACAACCTGCTCCTGAATGACTTTTGGGTAAACAATGAAATTAAGGCAGAAATCAAGACATTTTTTGAAACTATTGAAAATAAAGATAAAATATACGAAAATATCTGAGACACAGCTAAAATAAAGATAAAATATACCAAAATCTCTGCGACACAGCTAAAGCAGTATTAAGAGGGAAGTTTATAGCACTA
Organism: Homo sapiens; assembly: GCF_000001405.40. Lineage (NCBI taxonomy): Eukaryota > Metazoa > Chordata > Mammalia > Primates > Hominidae > Homo > Homo sapiens. The sequence continues at coordinate 70,913,296 of NC_000006.12, read as the reverse complement.
AACACCCCTATCAAAAAGTTAGAAAGATCTCAAATTAACAGCCTAACATTGCACCTAGAGGAACTAGAAAAACAAGAGCAAACCAACTGCAAAGCTAGCAGAAGAAAAGAACCAAAACAAGAACTGAACTGAATGAAATTGAGACAGGAAAATGATATAAAAGACCAGTGAAACCAGAAGCTGGTTCTTTGAAACAATAAATAAGATGGATAGACCACTGATTATACTAATCAAAAAACAGAGCAGATCCAAATAAACTTAATCAGAAATGACAAAGAGGACATTACCATCAACCCAACAGAAATATAAAAAACCTTAAAAGACTATTACAAACACCTCTATGCAGACAAACTAAAAAACCTACAAGAAACGATAAATTCTTGGAAACATACAGTCTCCCAAGACTGAACAAGGAAGAAATTGAAACCCTGAACAGACCAATAACAAGTTCCAAAATTGAATCAGTAGTAAAAAGCCTACCAACCAAAAAAGCCCTGGACCAGATGGATCCACAACCAAATTCTGCCAGATGTATAAAGAAGAGCTGGTACCATTCCTACTGAAACTATTCCAAAAAATTAAGGAGGAGGGACCCCTCCCTAACTCATTCTATAAGGCCAGCATCATCCTGATATAAGGCCAGCATCATCCTGATATAAGGCCAGCTTCATCCTGATAACGAAAACTGGGAGAGACAACATAAAAAGAAAACCTCAAGTCAATATCCTGGACAAACATAGATGCAAAAATTCTCAATAAAATACTAGCAATCTGAATTCAGCAGCACATCAAAAAACTAATCCACCATGATCCAAGTAGGCTTTATACTTGGCATGTGAGATTGGTTCACCATATACAAATCAATAAATATGATTCATCACATGAACAGAACTAAAAAGAAAAACCAAATGATAATCTCAATAGATGCAGATACATCTATTGAATGCAAAATTCAGTACCCCTTCATGTTAGAAACCCTCAACAAACTAGGCATCAAAGGAACATACCTCAAAATAATAAGAGCTATCTGTGAAAAAATCACAGCCAGCATCATACTGAAAGAGCAAAAGCTGGAAGCATTCCCCTTGTGGAATAAGACAAGGATGCCCACTATCACCACTCATATTCAATATACTACTGGAAGTCCTAGGCAGAGCAGTCAAGCAAGACAAATAAAGAAAAGGCATCCAAATAGGAAGAGAGGAAGTCAGACAATATGATTTTATACCTAGAAAATTCCATAGTGTCTGCCCAAAAGCTCCTAGATCTGACAAACAACTTCAGCAAAGTTGCAGTGTACAAAATCACTGTGCAAAAATAAGTTGCATTCCTTTACACTAACAACATCCAAGCTGAGAGCCAATCAAGGACACAATCCCATTCATAATAGCCACACAAAAAATAAAATACCTACGCATACAGCTAACCAGAGAGGCAAAATATTTCTAGATTGAGAATTACAAAACAGTGCTGAAAGAAATCAGACAACACAAACAAACGAGAAAACATTCATTCCATGCTCGTGGATAGGAAGAATCAATGTTGTTAAAGTGGCCATACTGCCCAAAGCAATTTACAGATTCAATGCTATTCCTTTCAAACTACCAGTGATATTTTTCACAGAATTAGAAAAAACTATTCTAAAATTCAGGTGGAACCAAAAAAGAGCCTGAATAGCCAAATCAATCCTGAGCAAAAAGAACAAAACTGGAGGCATCACATTACCAAAATTCAAACTGTACTGCAAGCTTACAGTAACAAAAACAGCATGGTACTTGTACAAAAACAGACACATAAACCAATGGAATAGAGAGCCCAGAAATAAAGCTGTGTACTCAGAACCATCTGATCTTTGACAAAATTGACAAAAACAAACAATGGGGAAAGGACCTGCTAGTCAATAAGTGATTCGGGATGGATCGCTACCCATATGCAGAAGATTAAAACTAGACCACTTCCTATCACCATATATAAAATCAACTCAAGATGTATTAAAGACTTAACTGTAAAAACTATAAAACCCTAGAGGAAAACCTAGGAAATACCATTCTGGACATAGTCCCTGGCAAAGATTTCATGATGAAGATGCCAAAAGCAATTGCAACAAAAAAACGGCAAGTGGGACCTAATTAAAGATCTTCTGCACAACAAAAAGAAACTATCAAGAGAGTAAACAGACAACCTATAGAATGGGAGAAAGTATTTGTAAAGTATGCATCTGACAAAGGTCTAATATCCAGAATCTATAAGGAACTTAAACAAGTTTACAAGAAAAAAAAATTTTTAAAGTAGCTAAAGTAAATGAACAGACACTTTTCAAAAGATGACATACATGTGACCAACAAGCATATGAAAAAATGCCCAACATCACTAATCATTAGAGAAATACAAATTAAAACCACAGTGAGATACCATCTCACACCAGTCAGAATGGGTATTATTAAAAAGTTATAAAATAGCAGATGTTGACGAGGTTATGGAGAAAAGGGAATGCCTATACGCTGCTGGTGGAAATGTAAATTAGTTCAGCCATTGTGGAAAACAGGGTGGCAATTTCTCAAAGTACTTAAAACAGAACTACCATTTTACCCAGCCATCCACTTATTGGGTATATGCCCAAAGGAATAGAAATCATTCTACCATAAAGACACATGCACACACACGTTCATCGCAGCACTATTCACAGTAGGAAAGACATGGAACCAACTTAAATTTCCATCACTGGTAGATTGGATAAAGAAAATGTGGTACATATACACCATGTAATACTACGTAACCATAAAAAAAGAATAAGATGATGTCCTTTGCAGCAACATGGATAGTGCTGGAGGTCAATACTCTAAGCGAACTAATGTAGGAACAGAAAACCAAATGCTGCATGTTCTAACTTATAAGTGGAAGCTAAACATTGAGAACACATGGATACAAAGAAGGGAATAATGGACACTGGACCTACTTGAGGGTGGAGGGTAGGAGGAGGATGAGGAGAGAAAAAATGACCTAATATGCTTATTACCTGGGTGATGAAAATCTGTACACCAAACCCCCACAACATGCAATTTATTGATAACAAACCTGCACATGGACCCCTGAACCTAAAATAAAGTCTTAAAAAAAGAAGAGGGGCCGGGCACAGTGGCTCACGCCTGTAATCCCAGCACTTTGGAAGGCTGAGGCGGGTGGATCAGGAGGTCAGGAGATTGAGACCATCCTGGCCAACACGGTGAAACCCCATCTCTACTAAAAATACAAAAAATTAGCCGGGTGTGGTGGTGGGCTTTTGCAGTCCCAGCTACTCGGGAGACTGAGGCAGGAGAATGGCATGAACTCGGGAGGTGGAGCTTGCAGTGAGCTGAGATCATGCCACTGCACTCCAGCCTGGGCAACAAAGCAAGACTCCGTCTCAAAAACAAAAGAAAAACAAAAAAACAAAGAGGAGGAAGAGGAAAATAAGGCCCATGGTGCTTAAAGTCACACATGTGCCAAAGCCAGCTAGTAAACAAAGCAAAGATCTGAATTCAGATATTTGTTTAACTGCTGTGGTTCTAATTATATCACGCACCTTGGACTCAAAGCAGGATAGAGAAGGTTGGGCAGTGGATCACAAAAGATATCAGCATAAATACACATCATTTATTCTGTATTATCTGATGCCAAGCAGTGTGCTAAGCACTTTACATACATCATCTTATTTGTACATCCCAATTACCTTCTGATACAGCTGTCAATTCCCACTTTTATCAGGAAACTGAGGATCAAAGAGGGTAAGTAATACATCCAGAGTTACAAAGCTGTTAAAAATATTAGAGGGTCTGACTCCAGTGTATATATTTTTAAAAGCCCCTTATTATCTCTGGTAATCACTGTCTTGAAAACTACTTTGTCTGATATTAATAAAGCCACAGTAGCTTTCATACACCTTCTTGTTTACATATGATTTCCCATATTCTTTTATCCCATCTATGTTATTAAAATGTGTCTTGTCAATAGTATATAGTTTGTTCTTGTTTCTTTATTCATTTTGTTTTCCTGATACTCTTTTCCCAATTAAGGAGGTAATAATCTGTAAGCAAAGCCTTATTTACATAAACACTGCTGTGATCTTATACCAAATAAACAGCCCTAGCATGTGTGTGTGTGTGTGAGAGAGAGAGAGTGTGTGAATGTGTGTGTGTTTGGGCTTTCTGAATTAGATTTTCTTTCAAGATCCACCTACATCTTTACTTTTGGCCTAAGTAATGGTTGGTCATGTTAACTGTGTAAAATATTAATCTTTTTCTGAAGCTACAAAGAGTCCATGTCTACTTACTGTTCTAGGAAAAGTTTTTTCAAATTTGGGAAGTGTCTACCTTTTAAAATATTTTCTGAGAGTGTTTAATTACTTCTATGATCTTAAAAGGTTCTCTCCATTTTACTTTTATCCAGCTGTCACATATTCTGAGTATGTTTTCCACCAGGAGAACCTGAGAATTTTTTTTTCTCTTAGATTTTGAGTATAGAGATAAGATTTTATCCTGCATCCAGTTCCAACCTGTTAATATAATTCTATGCAAGTTTCCTCTCTTGTTGTGTTTATTTCCCTTTATCCTTATCCTTAGTCATCTATTCCAATGTTTATGCTGTGCATTATTATATTTTCATGTATCCTTGTGAAATGTAGAGTGCTTTATGTGCAATATTTTAAATGTACATAAATGGCATTATAGATTAAAACATTTTTTCATGTTGTACCATGTTTTTGAGGTTTATTTATATTGCTATGTATACCTCTAGTCTACTGCTTCTAACTGTGAAACATTTTTTTCAAATTCAAATTCTCATAAATGCTGTACTTATTTTGGAAATTAGAATTCAGCACAAGGTACTTCTCTGTATTCAACACCATAGCATTTTAGCGCTTTACTAATGGGTGGAAAAATTAAACTTCAGTCCTACTGTTCAAAGAGCCTATTTAGTCAAAGATGGCCAAGATGGAAAGCTTCCACTTTCCTGTGAGTCAGGTCCTAGTAAATGTGAATCTTACACAGAGATGATTAGTTATAGCTCCTAGCACTAACTCCCTGGAGGCAATGTCCTTGGTGCCCCTGACTCTCTTCCATTTAGGCACTCATCTTTGTTAGATGCCTTAGGTTTATTTACGTAAAATCATGCTGCACTTCTCCCTGATACTGTGGTTAAAGTTTTTATGGCCTTGCACCAAACCAACAGCCCAGAATAGCTACATGCCAGGGAGATATTGTCAGCAAGGTTTGGGCATTAATATGAAGAATCTTGTATATTGTTGAAACTTCTGGTCCAACAGAATGGAAAGTGTGCCAAATAGGAAGCTTTTGGGTACAGGTGACAAAAACCCCAACTCAAACTGGCTTCAACGCTAAGCACATATATTATCTCACTATATTAGCAGAATAACTAAATATTGGCAGCTGCAGAGGCAAACCCTGACTACTGAGAGGCTTGATACAGTAAAAGCTTATTGCTTGGTCTCACAAAGTTTGCCAGGGGTTGGTGACTCTCCTGGGCAGTTAGTGACTCAGATATGTCGCTTTATAAGCAACACATGACTTGTAAAGTCACCCCTGCAAGGGAAGAGGACTGGTGGATCACATAGATTGTTTTTAAGGACCAGGCTGGAAATTGACTTATATGAATTTTGCCCATGCTCCAGTGTGCATAAATCCGTCATCAGTCATATGACCCCATCCTAACTGCAAAGGATGCAGAAACATGGAGTCTTCCTGTGAACTTAGGAAGAGGAAAAGTGTTGAGCAAGAAGCCACATTCCATAACAGGAAGTCCAGATATACAGCAGGTTTTAGGGATGGATGACTTAGTGACTCAGTGGTGTCATCACCGTCCTGAAGTCTTTCCAATGCTCTCCACCCTGCCGTCCTCACAATGTCAGCTTTGTCTTCAGGCTGGTTCTCTTCCTGGTTGCAAGGTGGCTGCTGTAGTTCAGCCATCACAACCAGACATGGCAATGTGCTGGGACAGAAAGGGACCATCCTTAGGAGTGAGGGCACTTTTCCCAGAAGCAGCCCAGCACACTTCCTCTGATGGCCAGGACTGCCAGGCCCAAACTAATCACTGACAACTCAAGATTTATCCCTGGCATTGAGAGACCATCACCCTCTTGGCAGTCATGTGGGGGAAGGGCTGGTTACCATTTGAACCAAAATGAAGCTTAGCCAATAAGGAAGAGAAGAAAGTAGATGTTGAGTAGGCAACGAACAGTATCTGCTATAGCCCATCCCTGGACTCGCTGAGGTTTCATGGTAAAGTTTGTGGTTTTCATCATGTTCCTGCACCATTCTCAGTAAGTTGATGCCTAGCATTGCATATTTTCTTTTGCTATTGTAATGCTGTTTCCATGATAGTTGCTTGTGTATAGGATTGTCATTGATTTTTCACTCACCTTTGTTCAGTTTTCTTTTATCTATGTGTCTGTGTAATTGCCTTAAATTCTTTTTTCAAGCAGTATTAGATGTTAATTAGAGACTGAGAAACCCAGAGGTGGAAGGATCTTAAGTGGAGCAGGGGATCGGATTAAAGAATAAGAAAGCAAAGAATACTGTATTTCATTTCTGTGAAAAGAGAGGTTACATTTCCTTGCATGAGGAAAAAGTAGGAGTGTGTGCTTTTCTCAAAACTTGCTATAAGGCTGGGTGCAGTGGCTCATGCCTATAATCAGCACTTTAGGTGGCCAAGGCAGGAGGATTGCTTGAGCCCAGGAGTTTGAGACCAGCCTGGGAAATCTAGTAAAGCCCTGTATCTACAAAAAATAAAAAATTAGCTGAGAGTGGTGGTGCACGCCTGCAGTCCCCAGCTAGCTGGGAGGCTGAGGCAGGAGGATTGCTTGAGCCCAGGAGGAGGTCAAGCTTGCAGTGAGCTGTGATCATGCCACTGAACTCCAGTCTGGGTGACAGAGTGAGACTCTGTCTTAAAAAAAAATTGCTATGAGAGAATGCTCTAGGTATGTGTGTGGTCGTGGTAGAGTATAGGGGTGTACGATCACTGTAATGTGCTGGAATAGTACCTAATTTTGAAACTGCATGGTTAATAACATCTTTTAAGAATGTCTAAGTGCTTTAGAGACTTCTTTTCCCCCATTCTCCGTGAGAAGAATAGGAGATAGATCGTTGGTTTTCGTGTGGAAAAATTAAGAAAGAGAAATGAAGCAGTTTAAATTTCCTCACATTATCATGGTATTAAGTAAACTAGAGCAGAGGTCTTTGGGTTAGAACTCATTTGGGAAAATAGATTGAGTGTGGCCAAGGCAACCATTCCTGTAGTGAACTCAGCTCCCTTTTATGTAGTGAAGATAAATAGTTGAACAATCCAATACATGCCCCAGTCCCTCTCTCTCTACACACACTGCACACACACACACATACACACACACACACACACAGTGCCAGGAGACATTCCGGGACCATATTTTTTTAAGAAGAAAAAGTATTATTATGCTTTCAAGTCAGTTATGTTAATTTATTCCTTTTTTGAGATGTAGAGTAGCTCCTTTGTATCTGAGTTTGCCTATTACATGAAAAGACTAGTGGATAATGATACCAGCTATCCTATGTTACAAAAAGCTGCAGATCCCCATGCCAAGTGGACTATACAGCTACACAAACCTTCTGTTACCTGTTGGACACACTGCCACAGAGGCGAGCAACATGCTGTCTGCCATTAAAGAACTCGGGACCCTTGAAACCCATTTTGGGGAATATATGTAGCAAATAATCCAATTTTAAAAGGGGCAAAAACGTAGGTTATCGGAGTACATTAGACATGCTAATCTGCAGCAGTTTTGTGCAAACCTAAGTATAATTTAATTTTGTATTAAGTTTTCCTTTTGATATCCAGATAAAGATTAACATAGTCATTGGCAATTATATTTGTATTTTCAATAAACATCACATTTTACTGAAGTATACAGATCTATGCAAGGGATAGTGAAATAGACAAAGCTCATTTGACTTTTCCAGAAGGAATGCATTTTAACATTGGTGGCTCCTGTGGTTAGGGGGACTTCCAAAGCAGTAACTCTTGCGTTTCCTCAGCAGCATCATCATAATTACACCACTATACACAATAATTATACTCCTAGCTGTGGTTCTATTCTACAGCAGTTGCTGCTTTCCTGGAAACCTTGGGGAAAATAGAAATTTAAATAGCTCATAGATTTGGCTATGATAAGTTCACACAAAGACAAAATTGCATTTGGCAGTTTAGTTTCCCCAACCTTTATTTGTTTCCTGATAACTATATTTAGTCTGAACCTCTTTGTCAAGGACACCACATAGGTTATATTGTCTTCCTCTTTGCATCCAATGAAGCAGCATATATTGCCAGGTCATTTTTTTTTATGGTGATGCCAAACTTGACCACTTGGCCAAGGGAGTGACTGCCATACCTCTTATTGTGAAGGCACATTTTCCTCCTGTAATTAACAAGTAACCCCAGGGGTGATACCTTGAGACAATGAGAATATTTTGTTTTCCAATAACTTTTACCCAAGAATAGCTACACACACCCCCTGTAATTATAGACTTATGGGTCAGTTTTTCTCACCATGTGTTTTAATCCATCGATGTCATTCTTTCTGATATTTAAAATCGTTCACAGATTGGCCAGGAACCCTTCAGACCAGCTTCTGTCTTCATTGAACTTGTCCTTGTTTAGCTTTGAGCACTTCTTGGCGTTTTTGGCCCAAGATATCTTAGGCTTATCTCGTACTTTCAGTACTCTGGACGTGTGTCAGACCTGAAATCAGCCTCTTCTCCAAGGAGACCTGTTTCCCTTTAGTGGAAAATAATATTTACAAACCAAGAGTTGGGTGTTTGTGTTTTACTGCTACTGGGGTGTTAATTTTTCTAGGCTCTTTAATCGTGAGTTCATATTGAAACCACCTAATTATTTTGTTTTTATTTTGAATTACCTTTCTTGAGGTATAGTTTACCTAAACGAAAGTGTACTCATTTGAAGTGCTGAGTTTGCTTCATGTTAGCAAATTCATATACCCTGAACTGTCACCCTGTCACCTATGACCTTTTGCAGTCAGCCCTCTTTCAGCCTCTGACCTGCTTTGTGTCACTGTAGATTAGTGTACCTATTCTAGAATTTCATGTAAGTGGAATAACACTATATGAGGCCTTTTCTCTGGCTACTTTTACTCAGCATTATGTTTTGGAAATTGGTACATGGTATTATGCATACCAATTATTCATTACTGTCTCTTACTGAATAGCAGTCCATTGTATGTATGTTTTGCTTATCTATTTGTTTATCTATTTACAAGTTGATGAACATTTGGACCATTTCCAGCTTATGGATATTATGAGTGAAACTGTTTGAACATTCAGGCACAAGGTTTTGTATGGACATGAGCTTTCATTTCTCTGCAGTAAATACCTAGGAAAGGAATTGCTGTGTCATGTTTTTTAACTTTATAGGAAACTACCAATTTTTTTTCCCAAGTAGTTGTTACCATTTTTTACTACCACCAAGAATGTATATGAGACCTAATTATTCCACATTGTCATCAGCTCTTGGTATTGCCAATCTTTTCATTTTAGCCATTCTGGTGGGTCAGTAGTGGCTTTAATTTCTGTTTTTTAATTTTGTTTAATTTCTGAAATTTTAATTTTATTGTGGTTTTAATTTCCATTTCTGTAATGGGTGATGACACAGAGCATCTTTTTGTGTGATAATTGGTCATTCATATATCTTGATGAAATGTCCATTCATATCTTTCACTGACTTTTTTAATTGGGTTGTCTTTTTTCTTGAGCTATGAAGTTCTATGCATTCTGAATACTAGTGTTTTGTCAGATGTATGTATTAGGATATGTTCTCCCAGTCTACAGATTACTTTAAAAATTTTCCTAATAGTATCTTTTGGAGAGTAGAAAATTTTAATTTTGATGAAGTCCAATTTATAGATTTATTTAAGGTTCCTATTATTTATGTCGTGTTTAAGGAAGTTTTGCCTACCCTAAGACCTCAAAGATTTTCTCCTGTATTTTCTTCTAGAAGTTTGTAAACTTAAAAACTTTAGCTTTTGTGTTTGGGTTCATGGTCCCATTTTAATTTAATTTTTATGAATTTTGTGAGATATAGGTGTTGTTCTTTTTCTTTCTTTTTTAATTTTTTAGTTAATAAAAATGGTATATATTTATATTGTATAACATGATGATTTGATACATGTATACATTGTGGAATACATATTACCTCACATGGTTATCATTTTTTTGTGATAAGAACACTTAAAAATCTGTCTCAGCAATTTTTAACTATATAATATATTAACTATAGTCACCATGATATACAATAGATCTCTTGAACTTATTCCTTCTAAGTAAAAATTTGTCCTTTGACCACCAGCCCCCCTGCCACCCCTCACTCCCTGTCCAACCTCTGATACCACCATTTTACTTTCTGTTTCTATGAGTTTGACTTTTTAAGATTCCATTTATCAGTGAGACCATTGGTATTTGTGTTTCTTAGCCTGGTGAATTTTACTTAGCATAATGTCTTCCCAGTTTTTTTATGTTGTTGCAAATTACAGGATTTCCTTCTTTTCTAAGGCAGAATAGTACCCTATTGTGTTTATGTGTATATATATATATGTGTGTGTGTGTGTGTGTGTGTGTGTGTATATATATATATATATATATCCCATTTTCTTAATCCATTCATCTGTTGATAGGCACTTAGGTTGATTTTGTATCTTGGCTATTGTGAATAGTGCTGCAATAAACATGGGCATTCTCTTTGACATACTGATTTCATATCCTTTGGATATATATGTTCAATAATGGAATTGCTGCATCATTTGGTAGCTCTATTTTTAATATTTTGAAGAGCCTCCATACTGTTCTCTACAATGGCTATGCCAATTTACATTTCTACCAACCATGTACAAGGGTCCCTCTTTCTCCACATCTACTTTTTTTTTTTAGCATGGATGTCCATTCATTCCAGCCCTGATTGCTGAAGAGACTGTCCTTTTCCCCCATTGAACTGCCTTGGCATCTTAGCCAGAAATCGACTGACTATATGTAGGAGGAACTATTTCTAAATTCTCTAGTCTCTTCCATTTATCTATGTATTTATCCTTACACTAATGCCACATTGTCTTGATTTATATAGCTTTATAATAAGCAGAGCCCAGTCAGGCCCCTCCTAGACAGTCCATACCAGAATTCACAAATACATATGACCTAAAGCAAGTAACATAATTAAGTGAAGCTGTTCTTGTATAAGCAGTATTACTTTATTTATATTAAAATCTAACGGGCTAAAATTTCAACGTGGTTCATTTTCATTTATTAATGTTTTGAGTCATGTCCCTTTCTCACATGTCTCATGGTTCTTATTATGGTTTATTTCTAATGATATCTTTATACACATACTTTTCACACTAAATATTTAGGAACATTCCCTGTTTTCATACATAGAACAATACTGCCTCCATACATTTTTGAAATGCGTGGCCCATTTGATCTGTTTTTCAGTTTCCCACTTCAAAGAGAGGAATACAGTATCTCCCATGACAGCATCAGCTGGTTAATGAATGGTGATTGGCATGCAGACTCAGCATTGAGACTGCAGTGGGGAATGATGGGGACACTGTGGCAAACGGGGGAGGGCTGGCACTGCTGAGAGGGGCACAGCCACTCTACGCCACTTTCATAACATCATGTCAAATGTACACAAATTCACCATTATTTATTTTGTTGCTCAAATTATTCCAGCTTTGTCCACTAGGAGCTGTTTCAATTGGCTATGTCCCTTTGACACACACACCAATGTGGGTTTGTTCGGTTTTTTGTCTTATTTGAATGCTTCTTTCCTTTCTGGCTCCTCCAGGCTTATCTTGTGTATTTCCCATCCCAGTCCTAGAATCAGCCATTTCTCTAAGAATCCCTGGTTTCTTTTATAAGAGAATGGCATTAGAAAATGCCACAGAGGTTAAGTGTCATTCCCATCACATCATAGCAAGGGTACATACTATCAACACGATTTATGACTATCGATGTTACCCTTAATCATCTAGCCAAGATGGATGGTGAAATCATTAGGAGGGGGATGCAATAAAGAGGAAGAAAAGCAGACTTTATGTTCATTTTCAAGCTTGTTCCAAAGGAAAGTTATAGGTGTATTTGATCATATAAATATCGTTTTGTTTTGGAAAATCACGTTTAGGGACAATAAAATTGGAAAGAATCCTTGCTTCCAAATCACCTCTGTGTTCAAATCTTCATCATATTTGCACTGCCCTTTCCTTTGTGTTCTTAGTTCATGGGTCCCATTGGATTTGATGGGTTTCGTTTACTTTTTGCTACTGAAATTGTTAGTTTAAAAAAACAGGATACAGAGTGTCACATTTTTTATTGTAACTCCACTTTCTTGAAGTTGCCTATAGCATTTTAAATTTCAGAAGATCGATAACTTTATTCATTTCCCTTTGGAAAAAATAAAACAAGATTTTAACTAGTGGCATGTCTTCAAGGAAGCTAAAGACATTTAACTTTTTCTGTTTTGCTCTAAGGGCATTCTGATGATTGCCTGAATGTGATCTTCTGAGTGTTCCAGTCCCTGGAGCTGGCTGTTAGCCATCTCCCAAGGAGGGTCGAAAAGAACGTAGCAGAAAGCTGCAGAAAGAAAAGCTGGCTAAAGAAACAGGAGCTGCCAGCCAGGGCAACATAGTGAGACCCCAACTCTATAGAAAATTTAAAAAGCTGTCCTGGCATGGCATGCCTGTAATCTTAGCTACTCAGAAGGCTGAGGTGGGAGGATCACTTGATCCCAGGAGTTGGGGGCTGCAGTGAGTACTTCCAGCCTGGGTGACAGAGGAGACCCTGACTCAAAAAAAAAAAAAAGAGCCGGTTGTTGTTAAGGGCCACCAGACTGGAGTGCATGGTAGTCACCTGCCTCCCTCCTTTCCTGGAGAAGATGACAACGTGATGAACAAGCACCACTACCCTGGAATAGTTTAAATGGCATTCAGCCTGGAGGAGTGTGCACATGCACCAAATATATCTTGTGTGTCCTTTGTAGCCATTGGGTCTATGGAGATTACTCTGGCTGTGAGTTTGGTTGATTAACATTGCTATGCAAGCCCTGTCCATTTAGCTGGAGGTTATCACAGGAGGAATAAACCACAGAATATGACTTTGGCATTGAATAAATGGGAAGAGAGTGCTTTTGGGGGCCAGAACTGTTTGTAATATTATAACTCCTATAAATACATGAATTGCTGCCCCTTTATCATAATATCCATTGCTTTAATGCTCTGTTTTAGATTGGAGTTCACACCAGACACCTGAGATTGTGTTTGTTATGTAACTGCTATTTCATGTTGAGAAAGTAGCAAAGCTTTTAAATACTGAGAATATTTTAGTTACATGAAGATACTTTTAGTAGTCACTGTTGTTGTTACATTCCCCCTACCCCTCAGAAAATAACAGGGCTGTTAAGGAATCCTCAAAGAGCATAGATTGAGTGAAAATGACACAGAACAAAGGACAGATCCCAGGAGTGAAATGAAGAAGTTCTGTAAATAGCTGTGCCGTTTTCCTTTGAAATGTCTGGCACACTCTATATAGTATAGTGGTCGAGGATAGAGGGGCTAATTCTGTGATGAAGCATTCTGCATGGAATTTCAGCAGGGCATAGATGGTGAGGGCATCTGGATCTGTTTGAGTTTTTAAACTAATTATATGACAAACTTTTTAAAATGTAGCATACCTGGAAACATCATCCCGCCACGTCATCTGCATTTAAATAATCATTGCCTCACCTTTAACACCCAGCCTCTAGAAAAATAAAGCATGAACAAATGTTAGCTCTGAGCTGCTCTCAGTAATTTGGAGTGTGCTAAGCAAAACCTACATTTTCTAGCATGAAATTGGCACAGGAATGCATGCAAAGTTTTGCTTCTTTGATTCATCTGGTTACCTAGAACCTGAGGCCATTCTGTATTCTGTGGACAAAACCCTATATACCTTTCATGACCCAGCTTAAATGAAAAGTCTAATGCAAAACATGCTGAATTTCTGTGGCCATATTTAATTGTTCTAGTGGTCCCACAGGTATAGTTTATTATTCTTTTTAATTCCCTTTAATGGCAATTTCTCTTTTCCTTTTTTAAAAATGTCTTTTGCCTTCTGTTCATTTATTACCTGTCTCCCTTTTTTATTGTGAGCATGTCTCTTGCACAGCACAGACACATAGTGATTTCTTGTTACATGTGGGCCCACATTTATTTTTTATTTCTATTTGTTTTTCATTCCTATTTATTTATTTATTTATTTATTTATTTATTTTGAGCCAGGGTCTTGCTTCATTGTCCAGGCCAGAGTGCAGTGGTGCAATCACATCTCACTGCAACCTCTACTTCCCGGGCTCAAGCAATCCTCCCGCCTCAGCCTCCCAAGTAGCTGGAACTACAGGCACACACCACCAACCACACCTGGCTAATGGGCCCATATGTAAATGACTAATTAGTATTTAAACACTTGCCAAGAGTTGTTTAATACCTGCTGTGTGCAGGGCACAATCTTATACATTCTTAAGGGAGCACAGAGGTGTCAGATGGGGTCTGCCCACCAGTTTTTCACAGATTTGAATATTTAGCGTTCTGGGCAAAAGCAGTTTAGGAGCTGAAAAATCATGGCCATTTTAAGAAGATTATCTTACCCAAAAACCCACAGTACTATTGTTATTGCCTTATATATAAAGCCATTCTGTTAATTTTTTAAAAGTATGTATTAGGTTTAACCTGGTTTCTCTGTGTTTGCCATGTTTAACATCTAAGGCCAAAAATTTGAAATATTTTTACTTTCTGAGTATGTCAGGAAAGAGGAGTCTGAAGCTGGAGTGAGTTGGGGAGGTGGGGGGGACTATATTTTTATGAAAATTTTAGTAAATTTCCTGGGTTTTTGTCCCACCTATGGGGAAGATCTAGGATACAAAAGCATTAAATGTTAATATTGATTCAAGAATTAAATCATCAAAACATTGCTGGGAGAAATTAAAGACCTAAATAAATGTAGAGAGATCATGTTTATGGGCTAGAAAACTCAATATTGTTAAGATGTCACCAAATTAATATATAGATTCAATGCAATCTCTATCGGAATTTGCTGAAATTGACCAACTGACTCTGAAATTCATGTGGAAATAAAAAGGATCTATAACAGTCAAAACAACCTTGAAAATGAAGGATAAAGTTGGAGGAGTAATACTATCTGATTATAAGACTTATTATAAAGCTATGGTAAATCAGGATATTGTGGCATTGGTATTAAGATCACTGAAGAGACCAATGGACCAGATTAGAGCATCCAGAAATAAACCCATACATATATGCATAGCTGATTTTTGAAAAAGTTGTAATGGCGGCTCAGTTGTTCCAGGACAATTAGATATAGTTGGAACAATTAGTTATCCATATACAAAAAAAGAAAAGAACTTCAATCAGTTCCTCATACCATATATAAAAATTAACTGAAAATGGATCATAGTCTAAATATATTACCTAAAACTATAATACTTGTAGAAAGGAGGAGAAAACCCTTGTAACCTTGAATTAGGCAAATATATATATATATATATATTTTTTTTTTTTTCAAGCAGTTCTCATGCCTCACCCTCCTGAATAGCTGTTGTTACAGGTGTTCCCCACCACACCTGGCTAATTTTTGTATTTTTAGTAGAGACGGGGTTTCACCATGTTGGCCAGGCTGGTCTCGAACTCCTGACCTCAAGTGATCCGCCCACCTCGACCTCCCAAAGTGTGCTGGAATTACAGGCATGAGCCACCGTGCAGAGCCACAAAAATATTTTAAGTAGAACATCAAAAGCATGATCCATAAAATAACAAATAGATGAATTGGACTTCATTAAGATTAAAACTTCTGTTTTTCAAAAGACACTGTTATAAGAATGAAAAGATGAGCCACGGAGTGGGAGAAAATATTTATACATCATATAAAAGATTTGTGTGCAGAATATATAAATAACTCTCAAAAGTCAATAGTAAGAAAACCTTTTTTTTTTTGAATGTGCGAAAGATTTGAACTGACTTTTTGCCAAGGAAGAGATACAGATAGCAGTAAGCATATTAGTCATTAAAATAATGCAAATTAAAACTATAATGGGATACCACTATTAGTAGTATGTATTAGAATTACTGAAATTGAAGATCGACAATACCAAGTGTTGGTGAGGATGTGGAGGAACTAGACGTCTCTTACACTGCTGATGAGAATGTAAAATGGCAGAAGCACTTTGGAAAATAATCTGACAGTTTCTGAAAAAGTTAAATGTATACCTAGTGCATGATCCAGCCATTCCACTTCTATGTATTTATCTTAAAAAAAAGAGAAAGAAATTCGCATAAACTTGTAAACACGTATTTAGTTTGTAGCAGCTTCATCTGTAATAGCCAAAAGCTTGAAACAACCCAAATGTCCCTCAGCAGGTGAATGTGTAAACTGTGGTATGAACTACGCAATAGAATACCATCCAGTAAAATAAAGGAGGGAACTATTAATGTACATTACAAGTAGATGAATCTCTTTATAACTATGCCAAATGAAAGAAGCTATATTTACACATACACACATTCACATACACCCCACATGCTGAATTATTACATTCATACAAAATTCTAGAGGATGCAAACTAATGTATAGTTATAGAAAGGAGATTGGGGTTTCCTGGCGATGGGTGATATAAAAAGGGATTGGAGAAATGGATTAAAAGCACAAGGAAATTTTTGGGGGTGCTGGGTGTGTTAATTATATTCATTGTGGTGATGGCTTCATGGCTATATACATATGTCAAAATGTGTCTAATTTTAGACTTTAAAAAGCGCATTTTATTCTATATTAGTATTTCAGGGATCCCAAGACAACCCTGTTTGGTGGTTTACTAGGACCTGTAGCACTCAGCATATAGTCGTTCTTAGGGCTAAGACTTATTACACTGACGTAGAAGGATACACAGGTGGATCAGTAAGGGGAAATGACATCAGGCAGGGTCCAGAGGAATCCATGTGTGGGTTTTCTGTGTTCCCTCCCTCCCTCTGAGATCACACACAGCATACCACCTCTCCAGTAGTGAAAATGTAGTCACAGGCGTACAATGATTATACCCAGGGAAACCCACTTAAGACTCAAGAGTTCAGGGTTTTTGTTCAGGGCTTGTCACATAGGCACTCTTGCCCACCAATATTTCATATTCCTGAAAGGAAAGCAGTTGTTCAGTGCCCCAGACAGATAAAATAACCTTATAAGGGTAGGAAATGTTTCAAAAGCTGTGTTCCCGGACACTAGCCAAGGGCAAGCCTTGCAAGCAGACCTTTCTAAAGATAAGGCTTTAGATAAAGTCTCAGGCTTGTTAACACTTTTCTGCAGTCACTTATACCTCAGCTTGTTAAAAAAAAAAAAAGTTGTAAAAGTTAGTGTGAGTTAGCACAAGACAGTTGCAGTTCATTTATTGAAAAAATGATAAGAGATTATAAAAAATAGTAACTTTAGATTTGAGGCAGACCAATGCAGTGAGAACCTCATTACCTGGAATGCTTCATACCCTTAAATCCCCTCTTTGGAATTAGCCAGGAGTGTTGGTGGGTGGCTGTAATCGAGCTACTCAGGAGGCTGAGGCAGGAGAATTACTTGAACCCGGGAGGCAGAGATTGCAGTGAGCCAAGATCACACCACTGCACTCCAGCCTGGGCAACAGAGTGAGACTCTGACTCCAAAAAAAAAAAAAAAAAAAAAAAAAAATCCCCTTTTTGGAACAAGGTAGGATAATAATAAGTAAAACCAGGAAGCTTGGCTAATGGGAGCTTCTAATTATTTTTACTCTTTAATATTGTGACTTTCATTTCTATTGTATTTGAAAATCTTTCCAAGGTATATCATTTTTTTCCTTTCATAAAAAATTCCTTGGTTGATGTTCATTATTTAACCACTGGTTAACTGATTATGACCCAGTTCAGTTCTATAGCAAATAAAAGATAAAGCACTGCTGTTGAAATTATAATTACCTCAACAACAAGACCACCTCATGCAGTTGTGCAGGTTATACCTCGTCCAAGGCACACCCAGCTGTGAGGGTGCGTGGAGCTTAAGTCCAGCTTGTACTTTGCCAAGCTATGGGCTCCAGCATGGGGTGTGTCTGCCCGAGAAAGGGGCACCTTTTTCTAGTTTATGCTAAGATGCCTTTTGAGCTGTTCAGCATGAGCCCTGGAAAAAGGTGGTGGTAGCGATTTTCTCCTACAGTGCTGCCTAATATCAGCAAGCTTTCTTGTGGGCATCTCTTTCCCCTTAAAGAAATCCAGCTAGTAACTTTCAGTTGAGCGTCATGTTTAACCAGGATTCCACTGTGTGTAACAAGGACAAGCGATTCCAACGGTCTCTAGTTTGGCCCAATTGCCCTTAAAAGGCAGGCAAATGTTTAGGGTATGTGTTTCTTTTTATCACTCTGGAAGAAGCCAGGTTCAGGTCTGTATCTGGATCCCATTATTAATGTCCCCAGCCAAGAATTCTGTGTATGTATAGCAATAGAAAAGTCAGAGAAAGGACGCTCCTGTGACTTCTCTGAAGTTTTTGTTCTTCCTGAGTAATGAAGTTTCCTAAAGGGGAATTAAACTTTCTCACCTCGGAAGATAGAAGTATTGTTTAAAGATTCAACTTTGAAACAAATAGGAAAATATCTGATAGTTGCAACTTAGCTTCAAATCAGCGATGTCCAGATATTGACAACCATTTTATTTCTCCTAAACCTTGAGCCCTAGCCCAATTTATGACCGAGTAGAGATCATGGCACAGCAGCCAGCCTAACAGATGGGGGCCATACTCTAGCAGCAGAAGGATTCTGTTTTGAAACCTTCAGCTTTTGAAATCTTACACCACTACCAGCCCTACTTCTTCTACATAGATCACATTCATTTCCTCCCTCTTTTTCCTAAGGAAACTTAAAACACATGTCTTTTCCCTTTTTATAGATGCGAACCACCCGCAAGGTCTCCGTCTGGCCTGTGGGCCTGGTTGGTGGGCGGCGCTACGAACGTCCGCTGGTGGAAAACGGCAAAGTTGTTGGCTGGTACACCGGCTGGAGAGCAGACAGGCCTTTTGCCATCGACATGGCAGGTGAGCAGTGTGGGTGATGACATTTGTTCCTGCTGGACTGTTCTTATGCTCTTGTTTATAACGATGCACTAGATGAAGGAAGCTTTAAAAGACAAATTTGGATAAAACCCTACATCATATCATATTCAGGAGATGAAATATTTAAACCTTCAAAATAGGCTCTTTGGTTAGATCAAGTGGAAATTGATTTGGAGGGTGATTAGAAAATGCCCTTTCTGTTCCATTTTGTCCCCTGTCTGTGCCTTTATCCCACAAGCGTCTACATGGCAGCTACTGGGTTGGCCACTGGGGATTCGGTGGTGAGAGCTAGACCTGGCTCCTGCCTTCCAGGGGTCTGTTAGCTGGAACCTTTTGACTCCCTTTTCTAGAAGACTGATATATTAAAATATATCATGTTTATTGATAAATTTAACAATGATATAAAAATTGACAAGTCATTTTAATGCTTATTGATAGGTTTAGTGCTTTATTGATATATTTAATACTAAAATATAAACTTAGATTTCTGGTATTTCAAGAATTTATTGAGTATAACTGTCTTAAAGTTTTTATTCCCTGAACAACCAACTGAATTGAATTAGCCCTGCAGTAGGACCACACGTTCTAAAATGCTACTTTATCATAAAACAACTCATTTTCTATGGGTTATAGAAAATGATGCCTGTGATAACTGTGGAAGGATGGAGTTTGAAACATGAGGCTCAGAGGCAAAAAAAAAAAAAATTCGGTGACATCTATACTCTTAAAAATGAAGGCAGAAAGGCTTCAAAATTGATCTCATCAATCTTGAGCTCTGAAGCACAGCTCTGTCGGGCTGCCAGCCTGTGCTTGCCCCATCTTCTGTGCATATTTCCCAGCCGTAGTCAAGATCTCCGCGTTCAGAATTCTGATGGGATGGAGGCTGTCTTCTGAACTGGATTCATCACTTTTATTCTGACAATACTATAAATCTGAGGGAGCCAGAGGACGAAGAATACCAGGAGTCATCTGAGGGGCACAGCGCTCATGGACAGCTGTGTGGTGGGTCTTGTCACATGGCATCGTGGGAGAGGACAAATAGGAGATTTTTACTCAACATTTAACACACATCTCCACAGCACCAGCCCTCAGCCAGGCCATGTCTCAGGCCCCTGACCTCTCCATCCCTCTGTTACTCCAGCTGTTTGCTTTGGTCTTCAGTTCTTGCAGCTCCAGAACTGAGCTGGCATCTCAGTCTAGGTCTCCACCTGGAGGCAGAAGGAGAGGCAGCTGAGCCATCTTGGACGGTCCTGAGGACCCTCGAAAGAGGCCTGCCCTCGACCCGCTCAGAGTGCATGGCCCTGAAAACATGGGGCATAGTGTATCTTTTGAAAATCGGGCTTCTTGCTGACCAGAAGTGTACCTTAGAGCAGAAAATTTAGACAACATTAGGGAAAGTCCTTCTGCTTCTCTGGGATGTAGTTTTCTTGTGTAAAGTGAGGCAGCTGCCGGAGATGACCACCAGGGCCCTCCAGTGCAGCCCTCCTTTCCTGGCCTCCCACCTTGGAACTCTCAAGTAAGAGCCCAAGCTTGGGCTTCTAAGTGAGGATTGTGACTGCTCAAGCAGCCGCAGACAGACTTTTGCTTCAGATTTTCCCAGAGCCTTGTTTCAACACGGACTTCCCAGACATATCTCCTTAACACGTGGGATGTCTGCCCATTTCCTTGCATGGATCATGCAAGGTGAGGGCAACTTGGGTAACTCTTCCTGGATTTTAATCTAGGAACTTTATGTAGATGATCAGGTATCAAATAGACTTGTTGAATATTTGCATTGGTTCCCCTAGAATTTGGGTCACATTGATATTTCTAAAATTAAAGATGTATGTGTTTGTGCATTAGGGCTGGCCTATCTAGGACTGCCAAATTCTGTGGGAATTCTTTTTTCCATGACAAGACCAATGTTTGGATTTTTCTAAGCATTTCAGTATATTTTCAAAGCATATTAAAAACACCCATCATAATAAGATATGAATTATTTCCTTGCTCTGTATTCATTATCATGGTTTTAAAATAGGAATAAAGTGTCTCTAAGGAGACAACTTTTGTCACACTAAATAATTTTTTTCACTTCACACATGAACTTGCTTTGCATCTTAGCTTTCAGTAAATTATTGATATTTTTGGAAGTCTTTAAGTGTAAGTAATTTGGTCGATAGGATAGTTATTCTGTTTTTGAGGCAGTTTGTTCTAATTCTAACTTAAAAATTTGTGGCTTTGTTTAGATTCCACATACAATTCATTTATTCTCTGGGAAGAGGGAAAAGACCTTTTAGGCCTTCATGTTCAATTGGTGCTTCCCACCTCATTTCCAAGTTACATGTACACACACACACACACACACACACACACACACACACAATCTGAGCTCTGAGGAGCTCTACTTTGAAAATGCTCTGTGATAGTCAAGTGAGAGCACCATATTGGAGCCTGGGTCTGTCTTGCATTTGCAAAGCGGATTAAGAGCCCAAATGGAACATTTGTGGGTTTGAGCACATTCAGTAGAAGCCCCTCAGAGCCTGTCCTGTTTGTATCTCTGTGAGGTCATCACATAGCCCATCACTGGAAACTCATTTGAGTATCAAACATTGAAACTGCGATGTTTCATGTCATTCTAGTAGTTCTTACACTGTCATTTTATTGCCATGTTGAACTTGCCTGATACTGAAATTTTGCTCTCAGGTGACATGAAACATTGTTCTTGAAATAATCTTATGTTTACAACCATAATGGCAGAATTAAGATTATTTCTGTTCCATTGGAGGATATTTTTTAAAATAATGATTACTACTTAAAAAAATTAATATGCCTGCCCACAAGATGGAAAGAAAACACTGGAGGCAGCCCCACTGGTGGTGTGCAGTTGGCTTCAAAGCTGACCAGTAGCCATATAGCTCTGCCAAGCCAGTGAGGCCCTGGGGGGTTTCTACTGTTCTGTGCCTCAGAATTCAATTCTTACACCTCAGGAATCTGAGGATTGGCTAAAAGTGAGGAAGTCCACCAAAGGTTTTAGCTCTGTTTTGAAGGGAGGCAGTTAATTTCAAGTGACAGACTCACTTCAGCCACTTCCAGGGAGGTGTCAGTAAGAACGACTGCTTGAAAGAACTGAGCTTAAATCAATCTTCACCCTCACCAGGAGGTGTAGATTTGTTCAAGTTGAGAACTTAAAACAGATATTTATTAGGAATTTTCAACATTGGCATGTGCCTTATTATTAATTCTAGGATGTGGCCCGTGGGACACGGTGCTCCATTAATGACAGTATATGCAGTTCCCAGTTGAGTTGCTGGCACACAGTAGGTACTTTATTCTGCTAAAAACACAACTAGGTGTACTGCAATTAGATTCTGACACCACCTGGAGTTGGTGCAGACCCCACAGGTTAGAGGGCACAGTCTCCAACAAGACTGCCCTTATTTCACATGCCCCCCACGCGCTGGAGAGTCCCAGGCCACCTGCACTTCTGATCAACTGACTACACTGGATGTTTCCCACAATCTCCTCAGGTTTGCTAATTTGCTAGAATGACTCACAGAACTCAGGAGAGTGCTGTAATTATACAAATTATCATTGTAATCAGTGTTATAAAGAATACAAGTCAGGACCAGCCAAATGAAGTGACACACAGGCCAGCAGAGCCAGGTGGAAGGAGCAGGCTGGGAGCATACAGGTCTTCTGTGCCTTTTCCTCATACAGGTGAAGTCTAGGAAAGCTTAGTTTTCTGGTCTGGAGTCCTGTGGACCAGGGTGTGTCGAAGCCCTGGGGATGGATGTGCTCCCACAGGGAGACTCTGTGGCAGCCTCGGATTGCATCCTGGGGGCAGGCATTTAAAGTGACTGCAGGGGGGGAGCCAGGGAAAGAGACAAGGCCCAGCAAGAGGGTGTTAGGGTGGACAGTGGCGAGGTCACTGGAGAGAAGGGGTGGATGAATGATGAATTCCGTTATTGGATGTGGGAAGAGGAGGACCCTTGGTGAGTATGGGAGAAAGACCGCTGGAAGCAGAATGGTCTGAGCAAAGTTAGGTTTCTGGACGGGCATGGTAGCTAACACCTATAATCTCGGCACTTTGGGAGGCTGAGGCAGGTGAATCACCTGAGGTCAGGAGTTCAAGACCAGCCTGGCCAACATGGTGAAACCCCGTCTCTACTACAAATACAAAAATTAGCTGGGCGTGGTGGCAAATGCCTATAATCCCAGCTACTCAGGAGGCTGAGACATGAGAATCACTTGAACCAGGAGGTGGAGGTTGCAGTGAGCCGAGATTGCACCTCTGCACTCCAGCCTGGGAGACACAGGGAGACTGTTTCAAAAAAAAAAAAAAAATTAGGTTTCTAATGGAGCAGAGGGGGAGAGATTTGATCTGGGAAAGGCTTGGGGAGGTTCTGTCTTGGCTGGACAGGGATTTGAAAGGATGTTGTGATGATGAGTGGCCAGGAGGTATGGGTTAGGAAGAGGAAGGGTGCAATGGCCACTGAGGTCCCCTCCAACTCGAGGGTTGTGTGATTTTGACAAGTTCTGATTCTAAGGACTGAGGTTGTGTAAGGCGGTGCACCTGGTTATACTTGTCTTCTGTCGGCAGCCAACTCCTCCTCGCCTACGGCCTATCACCAGCTTTCCAGCTGGTGGTAGTTTCTATTCAATGGAGGCTTAAAAGCCCTGACTTTTGTGGCGAGTGGGTGGACAGTGGGGGTGGGGAGCATGACTAGGAGGCAGGAGGGCCAGGAGACAACTCTTAAGAAATGCGGCAGCAAATGAGTAGGAAAGACAGATGGTGGCAGTTTCAAGGGGTATAACAGCTTTTTCCTCTTTCTTTAATGATGGAGGGGGAGAAATTGAAGTTTTAAGAAGTGATAAGTGTTGAAAGTCCCAAAGGAGAGGAAATGAGGGGAGATCAAGACCTTAGATGGACAGGTTCACCTAGATAGAGTCACCTCTGACTCCCAGAAAAAAGGTGAGATAAGTAAGGAAGCCAAGGGCTGGGAAGGTGGAGGGGCCAGTTGTTGGAATTGACCGTCCGCCAAATGTTAATAGAGGGAGAAGTGACATTTGGCTGAATTCCACACACACTGAATGTAGCAGCCCCTCGCCTCAAGGAGTTTTGTATCTAGCAGAGAGAGAATGTCTACAAGAGCATGGCAGATACATCGTGGGGTCGAAAATGAGTACAAGTGGAATGATTGGGGGTTACATTTAAAGAGAAAACCACAGCCACTGGGGGAGTTTCGGGAAAGGTCTTGGGAAGAGGTGACATCTGAGAGGCACCTTCCGTGCTAGGCCCAGGCCAGGGTAGGGAGGGATCATGGGCAGGGTGTGTTTTTGGAACAAGTTATCCCAGGGTATGTGTAGCTCTTGGGAAGGGCAAGCTGGGGTCAGATAGTGAGGACTGAGTGCTAAGATGAGAAGTTTTTCTTCATTTCTGTGGACATTGGAGAGTCTGACATTTTTCAAGTAGGGGACTGATGTGATTAGAAATACAGTTTGAGAACCACATGTTGGCAGTGTGGGATGAATGGGGGAGGAGGGCTGGGCCTGGAGGCTCAGGCAGCCATCTGGGTAATGAGCCCGTAGCGGGCTGGGAGGTGAGAGGAGGTCTTAAATACCACAGCTATTGGGGACTTATAAAATTTTAACAGCCTTTTCAGATTATACTCTAAATCAGCAGACACTTAGATCTTTTTAACACCTTTTTCTGTTGTATGGTATGGTGATAAATGATGTATTAAATTTAAGTTTGGTTAATTTTAATTGGTGTAATTTGTATTATCCTTTGAGTCGTAATTTATGTGTAGAAAATACAGTGATGTTGGGTAATTAAAACATTCTTTTAACCAGAACACCTATTTTGTGTAAAATAGGAGTCTGCATATTAGGAAAAAAAAAAAAAATCACATCACCTGACTGAAGTTTTCAAGCTCAGGATTCACTGTGGGTGTGTTGTCCCAGTGGAGGGTGTCGAGGCTGAAAGTGAGGAAGACAGTGATCACGCCTGGCTGGGCCTCCTGTATCCATACCTGCCCTCTCCCGTGTCCACTCCACCTCGAAGCAGGAGGAATCTTTCAGGAATGCAAACCAGATTCTTGGCAGTCCCTTGCTCATAGCTCTTCAGGGGCTACTCATGCTCTTGGAATAAACAATTCCTTGTCACTGGCACCTGCCAGGCCCTGCCCGGCCCACCCCTGCCCACCTTACTATTCTTGTTCCCCTCTACTCAATCTTTGCGGGCAGAGATCACTTCCTCCAGCACATTCTACCCTTCCCTTTGGGGCCTGCACTGATGCCCCTGCCTGGAAATGCTCCTTCCTCGTTCAGCCCTACTCATCCTTCAAATCTCAGCTTAAAGGCTGCCTTCTTGGGGAAGGTTTTGCTGATGCTTCAATTAAGATAGCTCCTCCCGTGTTATAATGTGCTGTTCTCTCAGCCTCCCATACCTCTGCACCTTGTCACAGTGGTTGTACATCTCTCATTATAATTGTTGAGGCTCCGCCACCCCGACTCCCAGAATGCATCCTTCCTGTAGGCAGAAGCCGGACTATCCTGCCCTCCACTCCTTGCCCAATCCCAGCCCCAGGTTTCCCCTAGCCCCAGCCTGTGAGTGGGGCTGAGTGACGGCACTATCCCAGAGCAGCTGTCCCCGCTACAAGTTTACCAGGCAAACCTTTAAAAAATTATTATAAATGATGACCATGAAACTGGAGGGGGTCGAGGGATCACTCTGGGCAGGTTGCTGAAGGCTGCTTTCTGTGGGCTCTCTGCAGGGACGTGGGAATGACAGTTATTCTGGGTCTCCTTCATCTCAATGTTTGTCAACAAGGAATTTTGCCTGGGTTAATTTATTTGGCAGACCTTTTCTCAGTAGATAATGCTGTGATCAGCTTCAGCCCAGCCCGGATCAGATGATCATCAAAGCCAAATGAGCAGTCAAAATTAATGACGTTTTGCTTTGCTTCATGAATATAAATACTGCAAGAAAATGGAGGGAATTGTCTTCCTGCCACTTTGGAGTCATTCGTGATTTAAGTGTGCTGTTTTCCATGCATGAATGTTTTCTATGAGAACTATAAAGTTACTGAATCTTCTCAGTAGAGTGACTTGATGTGTCATGTGGTACCTTTTAGTGCAGGATCTAGGGACCAGCTTGGGACTTTGTCCTTGGGTTGGTACAGTGTGATTGTCACCGGGAGAGGACTGCAGCTGCCAGGGGGTGGTAATTCTGTCCCAACAACTTATAGAACCACAGGGACAGGTGGCAGAGTGTTGGGGCAATA
Source organism: Homo sapiens (assembly GCF_000001405.40). Lineage (NCBI taxonomy): Eukaryota > Metazoa > Chordata > Mammalia > Primates > Hominidae > Homo > Homo sapiens. The sequence continues at coordinate 70,886,844 of NC_000006.12, read as the reverse complement.
GGCAGCCTGCCACTCAGTTTTTAATCTATTTCTAGAACATGGTGCAGTCTAGAGACTTGCAGGGATTTGATGCCCACAGTACTGTGTCTGGTCCTGTCTGCATGTGCTGTGGCCAGGGCTGTGCTGGGTAGAGGTGGGCGTGTGGGGCAAGGAGCACATGTGCATCTGTGTGCTCATACTCAGGGTGCTTGCTCTGGAGCAGCTGGTAGTGGGGTCAGGTGGGGTGGACGTGGAGAGGGAGGGCTCTGCAGAGGCCTTTCAGGGCTGAAGGGGAAGTGGGGAGACGGGTTTCCAGGCCTCTGTCCACCTCAATTCTAGCAGCTCTGCATTTACATATTGGAGATCCCCTCAAGATTTCAATGGAATAAAACATTCATTCCAGGACTAAAAATTTTGAAAACCTGAAGTTTTCCTTTCTATCAGGATGTCCAGCAGACTCAATAATTATATATTGTTTGCTTAGCATTTACCAAGCATCAGGCATTTGGAAGCATTCTGTGTTCTTTCTTCATGAATCCTCACTTAGCTGTGCAAGGGATATGCTAGTTTTATTATCCCCACTTACATATAAGGAGCCCGAGGCCTAGGTATGCTAAGTGAGTTGTCTGGGATTCAGAGTCAGGTCAGTGTGTCTACAGAGATGGTCTCCAACTCACCCACCTACAGCCAAGTCACTGAGTTCTTGGTCTCTGAGCCTGCAGAACAGTTTCTTGGTTTCTTCATCTGCAGAACAGGGAAAATGAAATTTTTCACAAAATCAGACATCACGTGCAAAGCAGCCAGGAGTAGAACATTGTAGACACTTGGTGAATGTCACTCTTAACCAAGAAACAAGACTGTGCCTTTGGGTTCAGCTGGCTCACACATTTATTTTGATGAATTAGGTCAGTGTTTTGTTTGATTATCACAGTGGTGAGGTCCATGCAGGTAGCTGTAGGGTGGAAGAATCACTCATCCTTGGGTCCTGCTCTGACACATACAGGCTGTGCAGCCTGAAGATCTAGGGGAATATCTGTTTCTTCCTAATACCTGTAGATTAGGGATCATTGCTTCTTCCTAATACCTGTAGATTAGGGATCATTGCACCAGCTTTCTGGGTTGTGTTGAGGTTGAAGTAAAACGAATACATACAGAAGTTCCTGCTGTTCTGTGAATATTTGAATCTGCACCCACTTGTAGCTTTGTGAGATCACTCTTAACGGTAGTATTTAAGAACATTTGAACTCCGCTGTGGGCTCATGATGAACTTCATTTCTCTTCTGGCGGGTGGACCTGTGCTCATTATCATTCAATGAATTGGCTCAGCATGCAGGATGGCATGCTGAGATAAACGCTAGCCCTTACTTTAGATTAAATACCCCCAAAAGAGAGTGATCAACAGGAGAAAATCGAAGCCAAAAAAGATCATTAAAGAGTTGTTTAGGAGCAGATACGTGTTCATTGTTAAAATTTCCCAGCTGAAAATCTAAACAAACAGCACTTGAGCTTTCAGAAGAAAATGCCATTTGTAACATTGAGATTTGCAAGGCATTTGGTGCCATGTGAGTGCCGCTTGCCCCTGTAGGTGAGTCTATGTAGACCACGAGACAAGTATTCAATATGCAAATTCCTGATGGCACATAGGGAAGGATTTAAAAGAATGATTCTCATGCTTTCTAATCAAGTCACAAGGGGGCAAATGTCCTTTTTCACCACCTCGACTTTCCTAAGAGTCCCTAGGAGAGCATCTGTAGGTAATAGTTTTCATCTAGAATCTGTTAAATAGGTATTATTTATTTTACTCATGTAAATAGTTAGGATTAAGGGTTGTTGCCCTGCACTGCTAACGTGGGGGCCGGGGTGCAGACCACTTCTCTCTTTGGCATGCAGGTTGTTTGCTGTGACTACTACACATTTTTCTGCACTGGCTTCAGAAGTTAAGCCTTGCAGGCATTCTTCCTGGGCTCCCTGAGCAGCTGTAATCACCCTGACCCCAAACACTCTGCACATCAGTTCACCTCAATTTTAAATCCCTCAGGCCAACCGCTGTGGTCAGTCGGCATTGCCCTAAGCTGATGGGCCTGATTAAACCAAGAGTGGCACACACTGCCCTCCAGCCTAGGATATGCAATGTCACTTTTCTTCTCACGTTTGCCTAGCTAATTTCCAGTTACTCTTCCAGACTCATTGATGAGGCAGGAATCGCTTTTTCTGGGAAGTTTTTCCTGATTTTCCATCACACGTGGATGCCCCTTTCTACCTTTTCCCCTAGAATCCTTGGCTTATGCAGTTATGAATATTTCCACAAGGTGGCGCTCATGTCAGTGTCCTCCCTGCCCCTGGCCGCCTTGCTAGCCCGGGAGTACACTAGGAGGGCGCTCGGGTCTGCCTGCATCTCCAGGCCGGGCACAGTCTCTGATGGTAATAGCTTGAACAAATGTTTGCTGAATTCATGAATTTTAACATGTTTTCCTTTTCTAGTGTAAGGATTATCAAAATTAAGATTTAAAGCTTCTCGCTTCTGAGACAACATTGCCATTATTTAATGGTGGAGGTGTAAAGGGGGATGCCGAGCTGTATACTCCAGAGCTCTCTGAGGAGGGTCTAATTCAGCGGGTCTCCCCATGGCTTCGCATCAAAATGGCAAGGGGCTTTGAAAAAACACCCACACTTGAGCTCCACCTAGGAGCAAAGAGACCATATAGTCTCTGAGGGTGAGGCCTGGTATTTGTGTGGTTGCGGGTTTTTTTTGTTTTTTTTTTTTTTTTTTGAGTCTTGAGGTGATCCCGAAGTGCACCCAGGAGTAAGAGAGGCGGGCGAAAGTGATCAGAAGCGACTCCTATTTCCTTCCTGTGGCTCGTTATCGTCTCTCAGTGGTCACAGTCCTTTCCCAGGCCACCCCCTGTGTCCATCTCAGGTGGGATAACCTCATGACAGAGTTTGGGAACGCTCAATAGAGTCACTTCCATAGAAAATACGTCTTCCATTGCTCAAGCAAGAAGAGAATTTGAGCATAGGACAGGAATATTTTAATCATAATAACTGAAAAACACCAGCAACAATATAAACAAAAAGATTGCCTGTATTCATTGGGAATGCAAGTTTTATCTGTGTTTTGATTGTGGTGAAATATACGTAACATAAAATTTACCATTTTAACCATTTTGAAGTGGACAGTTCAGTGGTATTCAATTCATTCACATTGTTGTGCAACCATAACCACTGTCCAACTCCACACCTTTTCCATCACTGAACCAAAATTCTATGCTCACTAAACAATAACTCCTGACTTGCCCCTCCCCTCAGCCCCTGGTTACCACAATTCTACTTTCTGTCTCGATTAATTAGACTATTCTAGGTACCTCATATAAGTGGAATCATATTTGTCCCTTTTTTTTTTTTTTTGCTTATTGAGCATAATATCTTTAAGGTTCATTCATATTATATTATGTATCAGAATTTCATTCCTTTTTAAGGCTACTAATATTCCATTGTTACGTATAGTCCACATTTCGTTTATCCATGCATACAGCCATGGACGTTTGGGTTGTTTCCACCTTTTGGCTACTGTGAATAATGTTGCTATAAACATTGGTGCACAGATATCTGTTCGAGTCCCTGCTTTAGATTCTTTTGGATGTCCAAAGTAGAACTGTTGGATCACAGGTAATTTTTTGTTTGAATTTTTTGAAGAATCACCATACTATTTTCTACAGCAGCTGCATCATTTTACACTCTCCACAGCAATGCAGGAAGGTTCCAGATTCTCCATATCCTCACTAATACTTATTTGCTTCTGTTTTGTTGTATTAGTTTTTTTAATAATAGCCACCTAATGGGGATGAAGTGGTATCTCATTCTGGTTTTGATTTGCACTTCATGTGCTTCGTGGCCATTTGTACTTCCTTCTTAGAGAAATGTCTATTCAAGTCCTTTATACATTTCTATAAAATGTTTATGTATTTATTTGACTTCACCAACAGAAATGGATTTTCTCACAGTTCTGGAGGCTGGAGGTCCAAGGTCAGGGTGTCAGCATGTGAGTTCCCTTGAGGCCTCTCCTTGCTCACAGATGGCCTTTCCTCTGCGGCATGCATTCTCCACTCTCTCCTCTTTTTATATCAGTCATATTGGACTTTGCCCATTTTTGAATTGAGTTGTTTGGTTTATTCTTGCTGAGCTGTAGAAATTCTTTATATTTTGGGTATTAATCCTTTATCAGATATGCTATTTACAAATATTTTTCCCATTCTATGGGTTACCTTTCCCACTCTGTTAATACTGTTCTTTAATGCACTAATGCTTTAGTTTTGGAAGAAGTCTAGTTTATCTATTTGATTTATTTATTTTTATTTTTTATTTTTTGAGATGTAGTCTCGCTCTGTCCCCCAGGCTGGAGTGCAGTGGCATGATCTCGGCTCACTGCAAGCTCTACCTCCCGGGTTCACACTTTTCTCCTGCCTCAGCCTCCTGAGTAGCTGGGACTACAGGCACCCGCCACCATGCCCAGCTAATTTTTTGTATTTTTAGTAGAGACGGGGTTTCACCATGTTAGCCAGTATGGTCTGGATCTCCTGACCTCGTGATCTGCCCGCCTTAACCTCCCAAAGTGCTGGGATTACAGGTGTGAGCCACCACACCCAGCGTACCTATTTGATCTTTTGTCGTCTGTGCTTTTGGTGTCATATCTAAGAAGTCACTGCTGAATCCAATCTCATGAAGCTTTCCTCGTTGTCTTCCAAGAGTTTTATAGTTTGAGTTCTTTAGCTTTAGTCTGCTGTTAGAGAAAGAATAACAAACCTTCATTTATCCAGAATGGTTGAGGGTTGGGGGCAGAGTATGGTCTTTTTTATAATTAACTGTAATAAATTTTACCATTTCTACATTCCTCCATCCATTAAAAAGATCAGGATTAGAAAGTAGGAAAATATCTAAAACCATGCTGGAAAACAGAAAAGGACATGTACAATGAAGCTTCTGGGAGAAATGTGAGGCTAAGTTTGGATGGACAGACAGACAGAGGAGGGGGATCATATGAGAAGTAAGAGGATGGTGTCCTCATGGGAGCCCCTGGACACCCCTATTCTCAGAGTGCAGAGATCCAGTGGGCTGAAGGGGGCCGTGCCTCAGACACATGCCATCAAGCCCCTACACAGCTTCCTCGCATGGCAGAGAATGCCCCCACATCAGGTGGGGGTTGTGTGGTAAGCTCCTGGTTCTGCCTGACTTCTGGGCAGTTTCCTCCCATTAACATGGAGGGAAAGGCTCTATCACAGCCCACTGGTGAAGCCGCCTCTGAAGTGTTGAGTTTCCCTGAGTAACTCCCTGGTTTTTCTGTGGAAACCGCTCAAAGTGGCCACAGGTGTACCTAAAATAAAGCCTCTCACAATTGCTAACAAAGACCAATACAAGCCATCAATGCTGTTCAGCCTTGACTTCTGTTTGCAAATATGAGTAGATAATTAAAAAAAGTAAACCAAGACACAGGAGTTCCCACTGAAAGAGTATAGGAATCAAGAGAGGGCTTTTAAAATTTCTAGAGTTCATTCTCAGATTTTAAAAGATGTGGCATCATAAAACAAGAGCCAGCAGCTGTGAGGAAAGAGTCATTGGAGAGCAAGGATTCCTGTAAATAAAAGGCATGACTGCTGGAATAACCTCATGTGAGAGGGTGACAGCATCGAGGCTCTAAGTGTCAGTGATACTGTTAGGGTTGCAATGCAGAGGAGTGGATCCCAAAGCCCTCCTGGAAGAATCCTCCAGGAATTCTTCCAAAATAGGAGCAAAAGTACAAAGAAATAGAAATGTCAGTGGAAGGAGACTTATAAATCCAGCATGTTCAGTAAGAGTTTCAGAATTAGAAAATAACTATATATGAAATATCAAGAAAGAAACAGGGCTGGTTGTGGTGGCTCACATCTGTAATCCCAGCACTTTGGAAGGCGAAGGCAGGAGAATCGTTTGAGGCCAGGAGTTTGAGACCACCAGCCTGGCCAACATGGTAAAACCCCATCTCTACTAAAAATATAAAAATTGGCTGGGCATGGTGGTGCACGCCTGTGATCCCAGTTACTCGGGAGGCTGAGGCAGGAGGATTGTTTGAACCCGGGAGGCAGAGGTTACAGTGAGCTGAGATCATCCCACTGCACTCCAGCCTGGGTGACAGAGCAAGACTCACAGAGCAAGACTCTGTTTCAAAAAAAAAAAAAAATTAGCCAGCTGTGGTGGTGCACGCTGTAGTCCTAGCTACTTGGGAGGCTCAGCCAGAAGGATCACTTGAGCCCAGGGGATTCGAGGCTATAGTCATGCCACTGCACTCCAGCCTGGGTGACAGAGTGAGACTCTGTCTCTAAAAATCAGAAAGAAACAGGATACAAGTTCCTATAATACTTGAGTTTTGAGAGTGATTCCATTGCCAGGTTTGAATTTGGGCTCTGCTACTTCCTCAGAGTAAGCTTTTAAGCAAGTTACTTAGCCTCTCTGTGCCTCCATTTCTTCATTTGTAAATTATGGTAGTAATAGTATCTACCTAGTGGGGTCACTGTGAGGATTAAGCAGGTTAATACAGACAGAGCACCTAGGACAAGGCCTGGTTCACTGTGAATGTTTCCTAAAATGTAGCTGCTGTTAAGCCAACCGTCACTGCCACCACTACTCTTAGTTCTTAGAATGTACAGGTATGCGGCTGCCCTGTGAAAGCTTCACAGTCGGTCCGGTTTACCACTCCAGTCTCTCTCTCTACCTCCTCTGCCGCATTGCCACCTCCACCCCCACCCCCACCCCCACGCCCCGTCATCTCTTACCTGGACCAGCAGTAACCTCCTAACTAGCTCCACAGCTTCATTTCTTATCCCCAATAATATGCTCCCTGACCCGTTAGGCTCCAGGTTAAAACATTTCTGCAGCTCCCCTTGCACTTCGTTTCTCCATGGCCTCCCAGGCCCTGCATGGTTGGGCATCCCCACCCCCGAGCCTCGCTCAAGTTATTTTCCTTGTGTTCTCTGTGCACTCAGCTTCAGTGGCTTGCTGTCCCATCTCACAATCCCGCCATCACGTGTACTTGTCTCTGCCTGGAAGGCTCTTTCCTCAACCCACCTGCCTCTCCCACACCATCCTTCAGAGTCCAGCTTAATCATCCTTGGTCCACCCTGGAGGGTCAGATTTCTTCACATAGCACCCGCACCCTTCCTTCATAGCACTCACCACCGTGTGTGCACCTGCACTATTAGCCAACATTCCACCTCCCTGACAAGCCTGCACCTGGGCTATAATGACTCTAAGATGCAGATCATGACTGATTTTGCTTACCACCTTCTCCCCAGTCCCTGGCAGTTTGCCTGGTATGTATGTTTTTGTTGAATGAATGAATGAATGAATGAATGAATCCTAAGTTTAGAACAACTGTGCCAGGATTTAATAATAAAACAATCCCAAGGGTATTCACAGGGGGTCAGGGGGAAAACTGCTTCTCTATGAAGGAGGGAAAAATCAGACTAGCATCAGGTTTTTTTCTGTAACACTGAATGATACAGAATAATGGAGAAAGGTGTTTAGAGTTCTGAAGAAAAGAAATGGATCCTAGGATTTTTTGTACCCCGTGAAATCATTATGTCTGTGTGAGGGCAAAAGAGACATTTCAAATATTTTTCTCAAAAAACAAACAACAACAACAACAAAAACAAAGTCACTTAAGGAAAGCGCTTTAGCCAAAGTGAATTAGAATAAGAAACTAAAAAATAGGAAGATTGCTGTACCAGATAAAGTAGTAAGCAACAAAAGTGGCAATTTTAACAATTAAAAGTGGATAGTAACTAACATGACTGTGAAGTTTAAAGCTGTTTGTTGGAATCTGGAAATAGGAGAAGCAAAGTGAAAATGAAGTTTTCAAATAAAAACGTTGGTATATTTCAATGCCTGCTGGTGACGGAGAGGATAGGAAATGGGAGAATAGGTGCCCACTAGCAGATGTAGTCTCATTCAAAAAGGTAAGGGGGAGGGGGGGCAGAGAGAGGCTTTAATTCATGATGATAAGAGAAATATCAGTTCCTTAAAAGCTCCTTAAACAGTTAAAAATATTTTAAATAAGGAATTTTAAAGGTAACCACAGTAGAATACATATAAAACAAAACCTTTTCAACAATTAGAGGAAGAAGAGAAACCAAAATGAATTCAAAAAGAAGAAGGGAAAAAAGCAAAAAAAAAAAAGTATGTAATGCACCTAAGATAAAACCAAACATGATAACCACACTAAGTGTGAAAAAAATTAAATTGCTCTAAATAAAACACAGCAGCAAAGCTATATCTCATATAAAAGACATGTAAAAATGTGATGGAGATGGACAATAAAGAGATAAACTATAGTATCCTAAGGAAGGACAGACAACAAAAGAGCAGGAGTGTTCACATTCGTGTTGAACAAGGCAGAAGTCAAGGACAAAAATATTGAATGAGAAGGAGAGGAACATTTTGTATTGACGGAAACTATGTATACTACAAAAGTACAGCATTCATCAGCCATTGTGTATGAGTTATCAATGAGTCCAAAAACTAAAGGCAGACATAGATAAAAATAGAAAATTTGACAAAACCATAATCATAGTAGACATGTTTAACACACTTATCTAAATCTGACAGATTTAAGTAGACAAAAGGCTGTAGAAAATGGAATATATAAAAAACTTGATCTAATAATTATATATAAAACACTGTACTCAATAGACACAGAATATACCTTTATTTCAAGTGTTCATGAAACATTTATAAAAATTGAAACTGTATCAGGCCATAAAACCTTAAAAAAGTGCTTGTATAGGCTCAAAGCACTACACTAGAAACTAACAAATAATAAATTACATAATAATGATAATTAAAAAGTGGAGTTAGATCTGTTGACAAGTAGATGACCAGAGGTAAACTGACAGCAGGGCTGGAGAAGCATGGATGGTTTGATCCTTGCTCAGAAGCCTGGTCCCTGGCCAGTCTCTCCCTGTGCTTCCCCATCAGCATTTGCAGGGAGGAACACAGGATTACAAAGGTCATGGCTGGCTTATGGAAACACAAGCTGAAATTGAATCTCAGGTATCTATGCCTTTGTACCTTAGGACAGTGTGTTTTACCCACAGTTCTTTTTAAAGTGGGGAAGCGTGGACAGTCTTACAGGCAGGTGCCTTGAGCAGCTCCACCCCCGCCGCCACCACATTCATGTCAGTCTTGGCCTGAACATATCTTCAGGCTACACCAAGGTTCAAAGCCAATGTAAGGTAAGATTTGGCTACAGGATTTTGCATGCAGAAACCATCAGCGCTGTTAGAAGCCCCTTTGAAGGAGTGAGAAGGAGAAAAACCTGTACAGAGGAGAGCGTACAGGTTACTCTAGGTACTTAAGACCAGGACTTGATGGTAAGAGAGCCTACAGGAAATGTCCAGGAAGAACCCATAGCTCTGCAGAAGAGGCAGAGGGTCGGGGGAAAACTGCCTGGCCATGGAGTGAGAGTTGGACCACCCCAATCCTGCTCCTTCTCTTTTGTGTCTTGGGTGAAAGAGTGAAATGCCTTCCAGGTTCTGATGTAAGCTCCTTCTTTGTCCCAGTGTCCAGGCCTGCACTGGTGACCTTCTCCAGCACTCTCTGTACCTGTGCTGAACACCCCCGGTGGGGCCCATCTGTCTGCTCTTACCTGAACCATCTAGTGCAGCAGACACTTTGCTGGTCTCTCTACCTCAGGCAGTTACCATACTGCTGCCAGAGAAATTTTCCTAAAATTGACTTTTGATTACAATCTGGAGCCAAGGTTGCCTGCCACAGAGTAGGGTGCAGAGTCCTGGGCACAAGCAACTTGACAGCCTTGTCACCCATCATTGCTGCTCCAGCCTAAGACTTGGCCTCACAGGTCTCCCTTCCTCTACATGGATGCTTCAAAGTCCCTCTCAGATTTCAGTGTCTCCAAAGCCCTTACTCATTCTAGTCAGATAGCATTTGCTTCTCCAACTCCTGTGCTCCCAAAGCTCTCTACTTACACCTTTTATAGCATCTGTGGCACAGCTGTGCCCATATCTGTTCTTCTAATTAAACTAGGAGTTGCCAGAGGGCAGAGACCACATTCAGTATTGTGTTACCAATACTGAAAACCAGCAATGGGCCCCTAAAGAGCTTCTGAATGAGTGAATAATATCAAAAGGAAGATGAAAAATGAAAGATAACATCCTTTAGATTGGTGAATAAGAATGCTCTTTTTTAATGATTATGCTTAACAAAGAATGCTTACTATGTTTCCAGGTAAATATTTGTTTACATATATTCATTTAAGATTTACAATAACCGTATAAGATGATAGCTATCTGCATTTTACATTTGTGTAAACCAAGGCACAGAACAGTGAAAGTACCTTCCTGAGTCACTTTAATAGTAGATGGCAGAGTAAGGATTTGAATTCAAGCCCTCCAAGTTACAAGCCTTTACTCAACTACCGTCCTTCCCCGCCACACTATTTCATTAAAATAGGTCTTTAGGAAACTCTGAAGATTTCCAGTCAGAAACCAACATAGCTTCCATGTGAAACTAGGAGGTGATGTAATAGCTTCATTAGTGAATCCCTGAAGAGCTACCATTTAAAAAATTATTTCACTAGGATTGGGGAATAAGTACCTTCTTCACCATGCTCTGCTATATTTTCTGGGTTGGACTAGAGTGGCTTAGTTTGACCAATTCAGTAGTACCATGGCCTCTTACCCAGGCCATGTCAAGCATGTTGACTCTGCCATGCCCAGCATATACAAGTAAACTCTGAAGGGTTTATTTCCCATCAGAGTCTTTTTGGTTCTAAACTTCAGTGTTAGTTGTGCCCACTAAAAAATAATTCATGGATATTTTCCGTATTCAGTTAATTAAACCCCTTTATATTATGTTTGGTTATTAGGATCAGATTTTCCATCCTTGCTCAGCATCCTGATTGTTTCCTTAGAAGATTCAGTTTTCTATGATGGTTTTTTCAGAGTAGAGATTTAAATGAATTGTTTATAGATTAAATAAAGAACACTTCTTGGAAATGCAGAGTGTTTCACTTTTTTCCATGGAAAATAATGACTGCTAAATACCTTTTGAGGAATTTTTAAAATTAGACTTTTACTTAAGTTTCACCTTGAAGCAATTATAAAGTTTCAGTCAGTAGTCAGCAGATTAACAGACCTGTTTAACAACCAAGGCATGCTTTTTCATTCTTCTTCCACACCAGAAGAAAATAATTCTAAATTATAATTGGAAGTAAATGCGGGAAGCTATGGTTCTGTTTACTCAGTAGGAAAGGGTAGATTTGGAAGAAAATCTATCATGGCTGTGAAAGAACACTTCATGACATATGAGCATTCAGTCTTAGAGCCATGAAAATTATAAAGGAACACTTGCAGGAAACAGTGGCAATTTGGGATAGTAAATAAGCAAAGGAAACATTCCTTTATATAGCCTTCTTTTCTGCTTTCTATATTTGATTTAAATCTAGTGGAAATGATTCCTAAATCAATTTTACTAACACATTTGTTTCTCACTTGGATAGTTTTGAGATGCCAGGGCTGGAAAGTACAGGGCCAGGGGAAAAAAAAGTAGTTAAGTAGCAGTTTTCTGTTTTCAATCATCAAACCCTACATTACAGTATTTTGTTTTTCTTCTATACTTACCTATAATGTGGTACTGGGATTTGGGGTTGCAAAAAGAGTAATGTCATTGGGAATGACAGAGTAAGGACTTCTGAATATTCTCATCCATAAAAACAGTGAGAACACTGGCAAAATTTGTCAAAGTCAACTTCTTAAGAACTATGGAAATTAGCTAAAAGTATGCAAGAATCTGGGGAGTTTTGTTTTTTTTTTTTTAAAAAAGGCTAAATCTTGGTAAGAGCAGTATTGTAGTATATCAATTTGCCCTATTTCCATCCCCTTCTCTCCATTTCCTCCATGGTAGCTTTGAAAACCAACAGCCCTGTAATTGTGGTGAAAACCAGCAGCATAGCAGTTACTAGAAGGGCAGAACAGGGTTGGAACTCATTCAGAGCTCCATTTTAAGAGAATTGTCATTATGTGATCTGTCCAGCAATTCCCTAGAAAACCCTGTTCACAAGGCTTGTCTTTATTTGACCTCATTCACTAGAGCAAACAGGCTTTTCCCTGGGGGCGTTTGTCAAAAACAGCTTGTGGTGATTGTTTACCATCACAGCTCCCTGAGGCAATAACAGTTGTGGCAAACAAGCTAAGCAAAAAACTTCATTCCGTAGGGGCATTTGAAAAGCTCTGACATATTTCTGGAAGGCCTTGTGGATGTGTAGGACTATATGCATGCCCAGGGCTATGTGCTTGTTCAAGAAAATCCTTACAAAGTCCTCAGTCTTCCCCCTCTTAGTACTGTGAGCCCCTGTGCAATCAAGAAGTGAAAACTAAAGCAGTTGTACATTGCCTGGCTGAGTGTTGAAAGCATGCCCAAATGGACACAGAGCATCTTGGCAAAGACTGAGAGACTCTGGTTCCAGGCATTTAAGGAAATCTGTGTCCAATATTTAGTTGACCTCTTAAGCTAACTGAACACAGACTTCATTGCCCACACTCAGCAAAGAACACAGACTTTACAAAGTTAGTTCAAGGAAGTCACTAAAACGATAATGACAACAATAAAAGAACAACTAACCTTAGAGAATCTGATTTCCAGAGTTGTCACATTATATTATTTCAAATGTTCAGTTTTCAGCAAAAGAGTACAAGACATGCAAATAAACAAGAAAGCATGACCAATACACAAAAAAGAAAGCAGTTGATAGAAACTGTCCCTGAAAATGTCTGGACATTATATTTGGTAGGTAAAAACTTTAAATCAGATATTTTAAATATATGGAGTCCACTAAAGATAACCATGTCTAAATAGCTAAAGAAAAATGGGAGAATGATGTCTCACAAATAGAGATCAATAAAGAGATAGAAATTATATATTTTTTAAAAAGAACCAAATAGAAATGCTGGAGTTGAAATGTACACTAATAAAAACAAAAAATTCAATAGAGGGGCTCAAAGCAGTTTCAGCAGGCAGAAGAATTAGTGAATTTGAAACATAGATAAATTGATATGATCCAGTTTAAGGAACAGAAAAAAGAATGACGAAAAATGAACAGGACCTCATAGTCTTATTATTCACATATACTAATATACATATTATGAGTCGTAGAAAAAGAGAGAAAAAGGGACAAAAAGAATATTTGAAAAAAAATGTTAGAACTTCCCAAATCTGTATGAAAAACATTAAACATCGAGGAAGCTCAGTGGATTCCAAGTAGGATAAACTCAGAGATTCATACCTAGACACATCATAATCAGTTGAAAACCAAACATGAAGAGAATCTTGAGAGTAACAAAAGAAAACTGAATATGATTAACAAAGGCTCTTTAATAAGCCATTGTTTATTAACAAAGACTGATTTCTTATCAGAAACCACAGAAGCTAGAAGGCAGTGGGATGACAGATTCAAAGTACTGGAAGGAAAAAAAGAAAGATCAACCAAGAATTCTGTATCCAGCAAAACTATCCTTCAAAAATGAAGGAGAAATGAAAATATTCCCAATTAACAAACACCATGAAAATTCATTGCTAGCACATGTGCCCTACAAGAAATACTCAAAGGAGTCCTTTAGGCAAAAGTGAAAGGATGCTAGACGGGAACTGTAATCCACATGAACAAATAAGAACACTAGTAAAAGTAACTACATAGGTAATTTTGAAAGGCAGTATAAATGTAATCTTTATAGCTCTTTTCTCCTGTTTTGAAAAACAGCTACATAAACCAGTCATCAGAAATCTGGTTTGAGGAGCACAAAATGTATAAAGATATAATTTTTATGACAATAATAGCACAAATGAGGGGCAAAGAATGGATCTGTGTAGGGGCAAAGTTTTTTTATCCTGTTGAAATTAAGTTGGTATTAATCTGAACTAAACTGTTAGAAATTGAAATGTTAATTATAATCCCCATGGCAACCTCTAAGAAAATAACTCAAATGATAAATGACAAGAGAATTAAAATCATACACTAGGAAATATTTGTTTAATAATAAAGAAGGCAGTAATAGAGAAATAGAGGAATAAAATAACATTAGACATGTAGAAAACAAACTTCAAAAAGACAAATGTAAATCAATTTATTGGTAATTACATTAAACGTAACTGGATAAAAAACCCAATCAAAAGGCAGATGGACAGGATGTATAAAAATGATCCAACTATATGCTGTCTACAAGACAAACATGTTAGATTCAAAGACACAAATAAATTGAAAGCAAGAGAAGAGAAAAAAGTATATATCATGCTAACAGGAACCAAAAAAAAAAAAAAAAAGAACGGGAATGATTATATGAACACCAGACAAAATAGACTTTAAGACGAACTGTTACTAGAGACCAAAAAAAAGTTATAATGAGAAAAGGGTCACTCTGTCAAGAAGATATAACTATAAACATATACGTGACTTACAGCAGAGCTCCAAAATACACAAAGTAAAAATGACAAAACTGAAGGAAAAAATAATTCATCAATAATCATTGCAACTATCAACATCCCACTTTCAATACTAGACAGAACAACTAGATAGATCAACTGGGATAGAAGACTTGAAAAACACTGTAAATCAATTAGATGTAACAAACATCTATAGAACACTCCACCCAACAAGAATGGAATACGCTTTCTTCTCAAAGGCACAATGGAACATTCTCCAAGATTATATACCATCTTAGGCCATAAAGCAGGACACAATTTAAAATAACTAAAATTACACAAAGTATGGTCTTGGTTTATACTGGAATGAAATCAGAAATTAATACCAGAAAGGAGTTTGTGAAATTCACAAATATATGGAAATTATACACACACTCCTAAAAAAAATCAATTTGTTAAGAAATCACAAGGAAAATTGGGAAATATTTTGAAGAGAATGAAAATGGAAAAACAACATATGAAAACCTATGGGGGTACAGCCAGAGTAGTGCTTAGCAGGACATTTATAGCTTCACATACCTCCATTAAAAAGAAGAAAGATCTCAAATCAATAACCTAACCTTCTGCCATAAAAAAACAGAAAAAGAAGAGTAAACTCAAAATAAGCAGAAGGAAGTTATTAGATTAGAGAAAAATACAGAATATAAAAACAATATAAGAAAATCCATAAAAATGTTTTTTAAAAACCAACAAATTGGGAAACCTTTACTTAGACTGTCAAGAAAAAGGAGAGAAGCCTCACATTACTAAAATCAGGAATGAAAGCACGAATATTAATACCAACCTTACATAAATTTTATGAGAATACTTTAAAAAATTGTATTGCAACAAATTAGATAACCTATATGAAAATGGACAAATTATTGGAATGACTATTAAAACTGTCTCAAAAAAATCTAAATAGGCCTATAACAGAGAGATTGAATTAATAATCAACAAAACTTCCCTCAGAGAAAAGCCCATTTTCAGATGGCTTTACTGGTGACTTCTACCAAACATTTAAAGAATTACCAATTCTTCACAAATCCTCCAAAAAATAGAAGGGAACACTTTTGAAGGAATTCTACCAAGCCAATGTTACCCTGATACCAAAACCAAAGACATCACGAAGAAAAAAAAAAAACAAAAAAAAAAAAACAGACAGACCTATATCCCTTTTGAATACAGATGCAAAAATCCTTAAAAAAAAAATACTAGTAAAGTGAATTGAGCAACATATAGAAAGGATTATACACCATGAGCAGGTAAGATTTATCCCTGGAATATAAGATTATTTCAAATATAAAAGTAAATCAATGTAACACACCATATCAATACAATAAAGAACAAAAGCTGCACAATTATATCAGTAGATGCAGAAAAAGCACCTGACAAAATTCAGCATTCTTTCATGATAAAAACACTAGAGAGAAGATCAATAAACTAGGAATAGGAGGGAACTTCATTTATTTGATAAAGCATATCTATGAAAAATTCACAGCTAACATTTTTAATAGTTGAATGCCGAAAGCTTTTTCCCTAAGATCAAGAATAAGACAAGATGACCCCTCTACCCATTTGTATACACCATTGCACTATAGCTTATAAAAGGCATCCAGATTGTAAAGGCATTAGTAAAACTATCTCCATTTATCAATGACATGATCTTTTACATAGAAAAATCCTAAGGAACACACACACATAACTGTTTTTTTGTTTGTTTGTTTGTTTGTTTTTAAGAGATTTTCTTGAGGGTTTATTTACATGGCTGTTTGGACATCTCTGTTGAAAAGGAAAACTCTTTTTTTTTCTTTTTTTTATTATTATTATACTTTAAGTTTTAGGGTACATGTGCACAACGTGCAGGTTTGTTACATATGTATACATGTGCCATGCTGGTGTGCTGCACCCATTAACTCGTCATTTAGCATTAGGTATATCTCCTAATGCTATCCCTCCCCCCTCCCCCCACCCCACAACAGTCCCTGGTGTGTGATGTTCCCCTTCCTGTGTCCATGTGTTCTCATCGTTCAATTCCCACCTATGAGTGAGAACATGCGGTGTTTGGTTCTTTGTCCTTGCGATAGTTTGCTGAGAATGATGGTTTCCAGCTTCATCCATGTCCCTACAAAGGACATGAACTCATCATTTTTGATGGCTGCATAGTATTCCATGGTGTATATGTGCCACATTTTCTTAATCCAGTCTATCGTTGTTGGATATTTGGGTTGGTTCCAAGTCTTTGCTATTGTGAATAGTGCCGCAATAAACATACGTGTGCATGTGTCTTTCTAGCAGCATGATTTATAATCCTTTGGGTATATACCCAGTAATGGGATGGCTGGGTCAAATGGTATTTCTAGTTCTAGATCCCTGAGGAATCGCCACACTGACTTCCACAATGGTTTTACTAGTTTACAGTCCCACCAACAGTGTAAAAGTGTTCCTATTTCTCCACATCCTCTCCAGCACCTGTTGTTTCCTGACTTTTTAATGATCACCATTCTAACTGGTGTGAGATGGTATCTCATTGTGGTTTTGATTTGCATTTCTCTGATGGCCAGTGATGAACACACACAACTGTTAATGCTAATTAAATGAGTTTAGCAAGACTGCATTGATACAAAATCAATATATGAAAATCAATTGTATTTATATACACTAGCAATGAACAATCTGAAAATTAAACTAAGAAAATTTCATTCACAATAGTGTCAGAAATAATAAAATGCTTAGTAATAAAGTATGACTTACACAGGAAACTATAAAATATCACTGAAATGAAGAACTAAATAAGTGGAAAGATATGTTCATGGATTAGAAGACTTAATATTGTTATGGGTCAGAAGACTTAATATTGCTAAAATGGCAATATTCCCCCAATTAATCTACAGATTCAATGCAATCTTTATCAAAATTCTGGCTGCCCTTTTTGTAAAAATTGACAAGGTATTTGTTTCTAAAATTGATATGGAAAGTGATGAACTCAGAAAGAAGTTAGGGGATTTATACTTCCCAATTTGAAAACTTATAAAACTACAATAATGTCATCACCAGATGGAGCGACATGCACCTTATAGTCCCAGCTACTCAGGAGGCTGAGGCAGGAGCATCCCTCGAGCCCAGGAGTTTGAGACCAGCCTGGACAACATAGGAAGACCCTGTCTCAACTTAAAGAAAGCAAACTACAGTAATACAGTGTGGTACTGACATAAGGATAGCCATATAGATTAATGAAATAGAACTGACAGTGTAGAAATAAATCATTTATGGTCAGTTGATTTTTGCCAAAGGTTCTAAGACAGTTCAATGGGAAAAAAAGTCTTCTCAAAAATTGGTTCCCAGAGTTATGAATATGCTAAAACCGCCCTTAATCATACCATATAAAAGGACAAGTTTTAATATATGTGAATTATATCTCAATAAGGAGGGGTGGTGGGCAGGAAAGGTGGAAACACACAACATTCCAAAAGGCAGTGTATGCTTTGCTGGGAAGAGGTATGAAAGGAGAGTTGGCCGGCTCAGAATTAGAGGAGGTCCCACACATATCTTTCTTTCTCCAGCAAGTTCCATGACTGCACTGTGTGTATATACTTTTTAATATGAAAGTTGAAATCTCTTTTTCTTATTGTTTAACGTGGGGGGGGAAAGAGAGGCTTTTGAAATTACCTGATAGCTATTGGTAACACTAAACATGTGTCAAGAGCCCAATACTCTAGGACAACTACCCAGAGTGATTATTACACAGAAAAAGCTGTTAGTATCTTTCTTGTGGCCAAACTATAAAAGTCTTGTTGCCAAAAGTCATCGTTTAGAAACTGGAACTAGTTCTTATTTGTAACAGCCTTGCTGAGATTAGATGATGTATAGTTGGAGAAGAGAGAATGTGGCAGTGGGATGAGCCTATGGAGGTGAGGCTAAATTGATACTTACACAATAGAAGAACTGAGAAGCACTATTGATACTGTTAACTGTGGCTGAAGGAAGAAGAGGAGGCTTGCTGTACTTCTTCCTTTCCAATATTTCTGCCTTTTTTGTGGGGGTGGGAGCCTTATTTAAATGGCCAGGATCTCCAGGACTTTGTTGAATAAAAGTCAAGAGCAGCCATCCTTGCCTCATTCCAATCTTCAGGGATTTAACACTCAGTCTTTCACCAATTAAGTATAATGTTGGCATTAGGTATTTTTGTAGATGTCCTTATTAAGTTGAGAAAGTTCACTTCTAGTCTTAGTTTGCTGAGAGGCTTTTATTTCTTCTTTTCATTATGACTAGATGTTAGATTTTGTCAAAGCATTTTCTCCAGCTATTGTGATAGTCAGATTTTTTTTTTTAGTCTGCTAATATGGTGAATTACATTGATTGATTTTGAAATTTTAAACCAACATTGCAATCTGGAGATAATCCTCAAGTGGTCATGATTTATTGTCTTTTTATTGTTGAATTTGATTTGCTAAAATTTTGAGAATTTTTCTGTGATCATGAGGATTATTAGTCTGTAGTTTTCTTGTAATGTTTTTGTCTGGTTTTGGTATCAGGGCAATGCTGGTCTTACAGGATAACTTGAGAAAGATTTCCTCCTTTTCTATTTTCTAGAAAAATTCATGTAGAATTGCTGTCATTTCTTCCTTAAATGCTTGGTAGAATTTACCAGTGAAGCTCTCTGGTCCTGGAGGGTTGTGTGTATGTGTGTGGAAGATTTTAATTATAAACTTAATTTATTTGATACAGGGCTATTTCACATTATCTATTTCTTCATGAGTGAGCCTTGTAGCTTGTCTTTCAAGGACTTTTTCTATTTTGATCTAAGTTGTCAAATTTACTATCATAAAAAGTTGCTTATAATAGCCCCATATTATCATTTTAAGGTTTGTAGAACCTATCTCTTTCATTTCTGAGGCTGGTAATTTATATCTTCTCTTTTTCCTGATAAGCATGGGTAGAGTTTATCAATTTTATTAACTTTTTTTTCCTAAATGACTAGGTTTTTATTTCACTTATCTTCTCAATTGTTTTCTATTTCTACTTTAGTCGTTTCTGCTCTCATATCTATTAGTATAGTCGTTTTCTCCATTTACTTTGGGCTTCATTTGCTTTCTTTTTCTAATTTATAAAGGTAGGAGCTTAGGTTATTGAATTCAGACCTTTCTTATCCAGTAAGTGCTTAATGTTTTCTAAAAACTAGTTTCCCATCTAAACACTCCTTTAGATGTATCCTACACATTTTGATATGTCTTGTTTTCATTTTCATTCAGTTAACCACTTTATCATTTCCCTTTTGATTTCTTCTTTGGTTTGTATTTTGCTTAGAATTATATTGTTTAGTTTCCAAATATTTGGGATATTTTCCAGGTATCTTTGTATTTACTGATATCTATTTTAATTCCACTGTAGTCAGAAAACATATTTTGTACAATTTAAATTATTTTAAATGTATTGAGACAGATTTATGGCCCAGACTATGGTCTAACTATCGTGATAATGTTCCATGTGTACTTTAAAAGATTGTATTCTGCTGTTGTTGGGTGGAGTGTTCTATAAATGTCATTTAGGTGTAGTTGAAAATGTTATTTAAGTCTTACATATCTTTCCTGAGTTTTCAAGTTTGTAAATTTTTCAGTCGTCATTTCTTCAAATTTTTTTCCCTGTCTCCCTCATTCATTCACCTTTGACTCTGTTCCTGTGACTCTGTACGGTGTGTGTGTGTTGGTCTTGCCTTTTCTGTTTCATTTTGGTAGTTTCTATCATTATGTGTTCGAGTTTACTCAACTTTTATTCTGCAGTGTCTCCTCTGCTGCTAATCCCATCCAATGTATTTTTCATCTCAGACATTGTATTTTTCATCACTGAGGTGTCTTGGGCATCAGGCATTTTGAATTTTATGTTGCTAGATACTGGATGAGAGAGACATATATGTATACACACAACCATACATAAAAACACATATATATGTAATGTTATACTATATTATAAATACATATGTATTCTTGAGCTTTGTACTGGGACACAACTGAGTTAACTTGGAAACATTTTGATCCTTTCCAGGCTTGCTTTTGAAGTTTGTTAGGCAAAACCATCTCAGCCTCTAGTTTAGGGCTAATCAATTTGACCTTACAACAGGCACGATAACCTTCCAAGTTCTCCTCCAGGTGCTCCAGCTGTTACTAGGTAGCTCCACTCTGGCTACTGAGAATGGGAACTAGTCCCCTCCAGTAATTGATTCACCTGCTCCTTGCCAGTGGTTCTGTACCTGGCCTGAGGTAGTTGTGTGAGCATTTGCTCTTCATACTCAGTTGAAGAGTTGAGGAGAGCTGTCTACAGATCAGCAGAGTTCTTCCTTCTCTAGTACTCCACCCTGCATATCCTAGTTGTCTTGGCCTCCTCAAATTCTCAGTTGTTTCCTCAATTCAAGGGGACTGCAGAGCTTTCCGGGTTCCCCTCCCTGTGGTGTAGCCTGAAAACATACTTCAGGCAGGAAGCTGGGGCAGTTGTAGGGGTCACATTTCTCTTTTCTCAGAGATCTCTGTCTCATGTGCCTCTTTTCCAATGTCTGGAAACTTTTTTCAATCATTTTGTCTGCCTTTTTGTTATTTAAAACAAGTGAGGAAAAACCAGTCCCTATTGCAATTTTGTCCAGAAATGTAAATAGCTTGTTGGACTTTTAAAGTCTTACAAATTTTCTACTCAGTAATCAGTAATCATATATGGAGGTAGGCCCTATCCCTCTGCCTGAGAGGGAATAGTTATTCCTGAGTATCCATAGGGAATTGGTTTCAGGACTGCTACTCATACCAAAATCCATGGACGCTCAAGTCCCTGATATAGTGTTTACATATAACCTAGGCAGATCCTCCTGTATACTTTAAATCATCTCTAGATTACTTACCTAATACAATGCAAATGCCATGCAAATTGTTGTTATACTATATAGCTTTAAAACTTGTATTATTTTGACTGGCTGCTGTAGCTCACGCCTGTAATCCCAGCACTTTAGGAGGCCGAGGGGGGCAGATAACTTGAAGTCAGGAGTTCAAGACCAGCCTGGCCGACATAGTGAAACCCCGTCTCTGCTAAAAATACAAAATTAGCCAGGCCCACGTCTGTAGTCCCAGCTACTCGGGAGGCTGAGGCAGGAGAATCACTTGAACCCAGGAGGCAGAGGTTGCAGTGAGCCGAGATTGTGCCACTGCACTCCAGCCTGGGCAACAAGAGTGAAACTCTGTCCAAAAACAAAAAAGCCCTATTATTTCTTGTTGTATTGTCATTTTTTTGTTTTATTTTCAGATATTTTTAATCTGAGGTTAGTTGGATCTGCAGATGCATCTGCAGATACAGAGGGTGACTGTGTATCCTCCCCACCTAGCTCTGCTGAAGAAGTCAGGAAATCCTGCCTTCTCAGTGAACAATCATTTTTATTTGCATTTTTTTTTTTACTCAGCTGACCAGGGCAGAAAATCCTACTCCCATGACTTTCGTAAGCATCTCCAAAGTAACCAACATCTTTAAAGATAACGAATCTCACTAAAAAAGGAAAGATATAATACTTGAAGTATAAATACTTGGAATTACCCAAGAAAACATCTTAGGTTGGAAATCAATGGTTTAGGATTCCCTTTACTGTGATTTCAGAGGGGAGAACTCTTTAACTCTGCCCCCAGCTTCACAGCGGGTCAGATTCCCCAAAAGTAACCCAGGGGTTGACCTAGTTAACATGCAGTCTCTCCTGCCAGCTGTGACCTGCTTCCTTTCAAGAGATCACTGAGCAAAGGAAATTGCGTTAGCTGATTGTGGGGCATCTGAATTGTGCTCCTCCACCCCTTTGTATTAGAGAATAGAAAAACACTTGGGTACTGTGGAGAGCCACAGGCTAACATGTCTCCAGGGTGCTGGCCTTTCAGGTGCGCACCATTCTCTAGTGACACCAGGAAAGGAGACCTTGCTGCAAAATGATGTATAGCTTCACAACTGGCTGTTAACTTTACATAAATTGTAGATTTTGCCATGTCATTCTGTGTGAAGCGCTGGAAGGATATTCCTGTGCTAAGGAAAGCAACAAAAGAATCTGAATCCTTCAGTGGTCGTGATGGTTAATGTGTTAAAGTCTTAGGGGAAAATGAAGGAAATCAGATCCAGGTGGCTCCATATCATTTCCAGAAATCACCTCTGCACAATTTGGATCCCATGTTTTTGAGAGAATGGGGAAATACAACCAGTATCCTGAAGCCATGTGAAGAATGTATCAGGAGTTTCAGTATGACTGAGAAGGGTAGGCTCTCATCTGAATTTAAAAAAAAAAAAAAAAAAAAAAGGATAAAGCTTATTTATAAGCATGTGGGAAAAAGCAAGAAATCTTTTAACACTAAAATCTGATCTGACCTGTTGGAAAGGACACTACGTTATCAATTTGAACCTCTGGCTTTTGTTGAGGTGTCTGGTGGTTGTCCTAGTTGTGTCTAAGGAAGGCTGTGGACTTGTTACCAGAGTTGCTATCACATGTAGGTGTCCTGGCTTTGCTACCTGGAACTTTCCCAAACCTTTTACATCTGTCAACCAGTATTCTTTCAGCCATAAATGGTGGCTGGCATCACCTGCCCCTCATGATCACACTGACAATAGTATTTTTATTTATATATTGTAGTATCTTTTGAACAGTGCTTTGCAGTCAGTGGAGTCTTTCCATACCTCAATTTTTCATCAAACATTGAGTTGAAGTGTTACACTTCTCTCGCAAATAAAGAAATGGGGAAGTTAGAAAATCAAGAAAGGTTAAATGAGTTGGCCAGTGTCCCAGGGGCAGGGACCTAGGCAAAAACAAAAGGCTTCTAATTCCAAATCCAGTATTCTCTGCTAAAATGTGCCACCTCCCTCCCTTTAGGGTTGGTGGAGGTATCGATACTGGGGCTAGTCCTACAGCTAATGCTTTATGATTCTTTGTTCTGCTTCACTCAGCACCTGCTGTACCACGTTATGTTTGTAAGTGGCTTAGTGTTAACTTTTCTCCAAAAGGCAGCAGGGTCTGGAACAGGAGACTGGCCCAGTCTGGCATCTGGAGAGGATGGTGGTTGTGGTGTTTTCACAGCTCCTCCATTACCACCTGGTATCATTTAGTATTACTTTGCAAACTGAATCATAAATCAACTCATTTAATGTAGAGAAGGGCAAAAGTTGCTGAGAAATGTTTTGTGGGTTGGTGCCCGGAGCTTCAACTCTGGGAGGGTGCCTGACTTGACAGTATCACCTTAGTCACTAAGGAAAAAGAGATCCAGGGCTTCAGACCTTCAAAACAATTATTACTTGCTGAGATGGCAAAAACAATTGTAGAGTGCTTCAATGGCTGAGCTTTAAACAGTTTGTTAAACTACAGATTAAATACGAATGATTCTTTTTTCTTTGAGACAGGGCCTCATTCTGTTGCCCAGGCTGGAGTTGCAGTGGCACAGTCATAGCTCACAGCAGCCACAACCTCATAGGCTCAGGCAATCCTCCCACCTCAGCCTCCTAAGTAGCTGGGACTACAGGCACGCACCACGTGCCACAACACCCAGCTAATTTTTGTATTTTTTGTAGAGACAGGGTCTCATTATGCTGCCCAGGCTGGTCTTGAACTCCTGGGCTCAAGAGATCCTTCTGCCTTGGCCTCCCAAAGTGCTGAGATTACAGATGTGAGACACTGTGCCCAGCCAGTAATGATTTTTCGTATGACCAAACCATTGAAGAAAATTTACACTTATTTTTGGTAAATGAAATACCAAAAAAAAACTTTATCAGATGATGGCCTGATATCTCCTGCACTGATTTCTGCCCCACATACCCTTTTTAGATTGAACCAAATTAGAAATATAAACCAGATGATTAAAAATTAGGTATGATTCATTTTCCAGCTAATCGGCTTTACTTCTGTTGCTCCCTCTTCTAAATGCAAAATGAATCCAAGCAGTGCTGGATTTAAGGAAGCATACATAATTAATATTACAGGGCAGGCAGGAGAGCTGGGCATGTGGTCTCATACCCCACATGTAGTTAGGTAAGCATGTATGTTTTTCAGCTGCATTTATTTCTTAGTTATTCCTAGTGGCAAATGTGGGGGGTTGATGATCACTGTGAAACAGCAGCTTATAAAATTCACCCTTTATTATCAACAGACTAAACTTCCTATTTTGCGTAGATGCTCCTGTGCACGCCTTTATTTTACACGGAATGTAAAATATTGTAATGACTGATTTTCCTTTGAGACTGTAATACAGGTAATGTTCCTATTCAACTTTGTAAACCAAGACCTGACACACAGTAGGTATTTTAAAAACTGTTTTGATGTGACCAAAATTATACAGAAAAAAAGAGAAGTACACCAGGATTTTAAAGTCTCTTTTTTTTTTTTATTTTTCACAAAGGATTTGCTGTAAGTCTTCAAGTCATTTTGTCCAATCCAAAAGCTGTATTTAAGCGTCGTGGATCCCAGCCAGGGATGCAAGAATCTGACTTTCTCAAACAGATAACAACAGTCGAAGAACTGGAACCGAAAGCAAATAACTGCACTAAGGTATTCATTACACTTGTGCTGCCCGACCTCGAGTGTCACCATGAAGAGTGCGCTACCCAAGCTATTTCCTTCCCCTTCAGGTTCTCGTGTGGCACACTCGGACAGAGAAGGTTAATCTAGCCAACGAGCCAAAGTACCACCTGGACACAGTGAAAATTGAGGTATAAATTGAAGCAGCAACTGGTGCAGTTTGTCCAGCCAGTGGATCCATATGGAAGAGGATGTTTGGAGTTTAGGCTACAGAGCATTCAGGTATTGTTTGTTTTACTTCAGTACAGCAGCCTTTCTTGTCATCTGATGGACATCTGTTTAAATGGAGCTTGTCAGTTAACATAAGCTAATTGGATGGTTGGTACAAAATGTATGTTTTGTCTTCATTTGTTCTGCATGTTTTCTCTACAACAACTAAATTGGAAGATTTTTTTGTACAGTGCCGATACTGCAAGATACCACTCTTGAGTATATATTTTTTCTTTTTCTCCAATTTGCCCTTATAATTGGTAGACTTGAACAGGTTGGTAGACTTGAACAGGTTTTTAAAACAGACAAGTATTTTGTCAGCTAAACGTTCCTGATGATTCCTGACTTTGCAATACTAAGTAATTTTTGGAAGGTTAGTGGCAGTATACATCATAGGAAATAAAAACCCACAAATGAAAAGGTCTATGGAGTCATGTTTAATGTAGGGAAATAACATTTTGTCAATACTAGGCACCATAAAATGTAAACACAATTACTGTCATAAACCTAGATATACCTTCAAGGATTGAAGATTGAAAGTGGCTTTGTTTTAGTTAGTTACCCTGTTTGCATATAGTGCAGAAAAAGGTCTTCATGTTAGCACTATGTACATTAAGAAGAGATCCAAATTACAAGAGAGGCAGATAAAATTTGAATTCTTTAAGCATTCATTAAACGAAGTTTTGGAGTAACATCCACGTTTATCTTCCTTTCACTAATCACGTTCCCTGTTAAGCACATCATAACAACAGCACAGTGAAGTGAATGATGAAATAAGAGCATTTTGATACACTAGAAAACAGTGCTCAGTGAGACATTTACATTCTATTTATATGATTAAACATTTGATCATACAGTACCTTCCTACAGGATTACTGGCTAATTTTGGGGTGGGGTTTATACTATTAGAGGTATTACTAACATGATAACTACTTCCCTTATATGCAAACATTAGAGCTATAATTTTATTGAGAGGAAAACTGATTTTGCAAGTTGAGCAGCTTCTCAAATAATGCAGTACATGAAATCATGGGAAATATGAGCAAAGCTGCCCTTGACATAAAATGATTTATCAACCTGCTTTTCACCACATCAAATTGAATCAGTACAGACCAACACGGTCAATCAGATCATTCTTAATATGAACAAATGGGTAAAAAGAAAAAAAATATGCATATGAATAAACAGGGGAACTAGATGCGTTTCAGCAAGGAATGTCAGGTGGTAGTTCTGGATGAAACTTGTATTGCAGTTTTCATTTCCACAGTTGTGTGCTGAGAGTCTGACCTGATGAGCTTCCAGACCATCCTGCTGTTGTGCTGGAGGGCTGGCCAAAACCTGCAGTAGGGGTTGCACTACTGATACTCATGCCAGCCATCTGCTGATTCATCTGTGAAACATATAAAAGGCTTAGTTCAAGAGGCTTACTTCACTTTTAATTCTTGTTTCTTTAGCCACACAGTTGGTCATTTTTTCATTAATGTGACAACTAGTCCAAGCACTGGAATAAAAACAGAGTACCATACAAATATTTCTTAAAGCAAATAGCTACTTTGTTCCCTTCTTTATCTACTTTCTAGATACAGTTTCCCCAAAGATTAACCACAACTTACTTAAAAAAAAATACCAAAGCAATCTTGGGATTTTAATGAGTCCGCTACTCTAACTAACTTTCACCTACACTAGGATATTGTGCTTTAACTACTAAGGAGTAAGAAAATTTTAGGAAGTAAAATAGTCTAAAATTATCCTATAAACTTTGTATGATAGATATTATTCTCTATTAAAATCTTATATACTTCCTAAATATTTTTAAAGTGGTCATAAAGCATTTATTTCTCTCGCTGATCTAACAACATAAACATCTAAAATTTATTTTCATTGTATGCAATAAAGCATAAGATTACATGTATTTTTCTTCAAGACTGGAGTCAAATATATATATATATAAGCATCTTAACCCTGTGATTCTCTTACTTCCAAAATTGGTGATAAGAGAAGGAAAGGCAAGATTTACCATATAGTGAGTGGGTTTAAAACTTACACTCAGAGTTAGACTGTGTTCTTAATTTAATACATTTGACTTGACTTATTTACAGTTTCAAAGACACTAACATAAACTACATCACTAATCAGGCATAAGTGTCTGAAGAAGCAGATCACGTCTTCATACCTACTAAAGGACATTTTAACCACCTTGTCATTGGCCAGTAGATTGCACTGATGGAGTGCTGGAGAACAGCATCACCCTTCTGCATTATCTGGAAGTAAGAGCCAGTATTAACTCCTTCCTGGTTCATCTAGCACCTTAACCTGAGCTGGGTGTGCTTCAGCATGTTGACCATGTGACTGACACTTAGCACATACAATTTTTTAGATTCCCAGCGGGTAGAGACCAATGTTTTACCTATATTCTTGTAAATGGTGGTAGCAAAATTAACTGTGATATATAGTGATTGTGCTAATGTTAGAAATCACTCTAGACTATTCCCTGAATGCTCTAAAGGTAAAACAAGTGACCAAACAGAAACCAAGATTGCCAAAATGCTGGAGGAACATCAATGGGAAGTGTAAAAGGAAGAAGAGTGGGAGCATGAACCTCTCTAAGAGCCTTTGTCTGTGCAGCTAGAGAAAAGTCAGAACACAGCACCTGAAATAGAAATGTTCTATCTCAGCTCTAACTTAGGTAGAAATAGGATTTTATAATATGAGGGGATGTCTGGTTCACACCTTATGGGAATTGAATCTTTTTGTACTCTTTTTAAACATAAAAGTCATTATAGGGTATGTAAAAAGAAAATACAACTTTACAAAGGTTTCTCAACAAAAAGAATTTTTACAGAGCCATGGGGCAGTAATCATCCGACCTGAAAAATAGCCTTAGATCCCTCATAAAATAGTGCTTTGAGAATATGAGGCTAGATTTTTATTTTCTAATAAAAGATCCTAAAATTATTAGTGAAGCTAAGTTGTCTAAGTGGACTGTAAAAATGTCCCACCAGCAAGCTGGATAAAGCTTAGTGCTAATCTCAGAGGTGACAGAGAGGGAGTCTCATGATGCCTGAGATAATTTCTGGCCATTAGTGGTGTTCACGTTACAGTTACATTACAATTTGAAATGAAAGATGTTTAACCTTTTTTTTACAGAATACTCTAAAATAGCGATAATAACACATCATTTGTCTATCTGATACAACTTCATAATATTTATAGATACTTTTGACCCTATAACATATTATCCCTATTGAATTCTTTCTGCCAGATCACTAGACTTAAAAAAAAAAAAAAAAAAAAAAAAAAAAGATTTAGAAAATAAATCTGGTTTGATTTGGGAGAAGCTAGAAAGTAAATGACCCCTACCTGTGAGAGGCTCCACTGGGGCTGCTGAGCTTGCGGCAGGCCAAACTTACTCTGGGGTGCACCCATTTGTCCCACCATTCCTCCTTGGGGGCCAACAACGTTCTGAGGAAGTGGCATCACACCAGTTTGTGCATTTCCCATAAACCCATTGGGCATGGGCATGCCCACCATCATGCTTGGACTCTGTCCCATCACATTTCCTATAAGGCCAGGAGCTGCAGGCACAGGCACGCCCATCGATGGAAAGCCCTGAAATGCAGCTGGTGCTTGTGAGGTAAATGGTATATTTGTGGGTCCCATAAATACACCTGCACCACAAAAAGAAAATGAATGAAGACAGAGCTATCACGTGTAGTTGCACTCATCTCTATAATCACAGAAAAATTGCCTTTCTGAACTACTCACAGCAAACATTTTAATTCCAGTTTGGCTGCTCCTACTACTCAGACCAACCCACACCTAAACCCTGAGAGCTGGTTGTTTCTAGGATGCAGACAAATCAGTTATTAACCTGAGTAAATTTAATTAAGAAATGTAAATCATATGCAACAGCCACACAAAATATCTTCCACTGTGAAGACCAAACTATGTAGCATGACATCATACACTGTTTTATTGCTGATTTGTACCACTGGTCCCCCAGTACGAAACAGGGAAGTGAGAGCTGACTATATCTCGCTTCAATAGGTGTAGTGGGCTGCCCAACAATTTTAGCTCACATGTGAAATGCAGCTCATTATTTTAAAGGAAATGGTGTGAAAGATTAAAACTCTGTAAACAATAAGGCTTATGCTAATATTTTGTTATGATTACAAAAAAATTCATAGATTTTTTTTAATCCATGTGGTAACTCAAGACTGTTTACCTGCAGAGAAAATACACTGTACGCAGTCATAAACTTCATGCAAATCGTTTCAATAATTCATCAAAGATAATCCATGTTCTATAAGCTTGTGAAACAACATTTAGTGATCTATGAACAGCTTGTTAATTCCAAATAAAGTTCTGTGAATCCTGTACATGCCTCTTAATTTTTTAATTCTAATGCTCATTCATTTCGGCTTCATAGTTGTATAAACTGCAACAACAAAAGCACTCACTACATGGAACAATAAAAGATATATAATTGATCTTATTATATAATTACAAAGGATGTACTTCTAGTAATGTCACTGAAAGCAGATATCAAAATTCATTACCAGGAGTACTTTGCTGTTGAATGGTTCCTGTGCCATACAGAGATAAGATGGAGTCTTTGGAAAGTTGTTTCTTTGCCACTTCTTCTGATTTTGTAGTTTGCTCAGTGAATAAATCTAGATCCCCAGATGTTACTGTAGACAGGGTTGCAGCTGCTGGTGCAGAGGGTGTCCCCTGAGACAAACACCAAAATAAGCTATCAAATTCTGCATAGTAAAGCGCAGCTTATCCATTACTTAAAATCCAAATAAAGTTATAAAATTAGATAGGAATCAAACAATTGTAGAAGGTAAAATGGTGCCATTCAAGAGGATCACTTACAAGCCCAAGCCCATATAAAAACATCTACAATCAAGACAGTACTTCTTAATTTGAATCTGTTAATGTAGGTAGACTGAAGCATTTTCACAGTAAGTTGCATTTACTACCTAAGGTGACACCAAGTTTTTGCTCATCAAATCCTGGGGCTCAACAATAGTTAGAGATGAGAGGACCACCACTCCATAGCAACTACTGCTTCAAGAAACTGGTATCCTTTGGAATAAAGAACATTTCTACAACTACAACAGACTGTAAGAGGATTTGCAATGGCTACTTAAAAGGTTTTATCTTTTCAAAACCTGTATCATAGGATTTTTATACATCTAATCAGTTTTAACTACAATATTAGACTGCTTCTAATCTATCCAGAAATGAAGGTACAGCAAAACTTTGACCATCTATTGTCTGAACATATCCTGCCCTTCACTTTTGGACAAGGGGGCAAATGAACACAAATACAAATAAACATGTAGATATTTAATATAAAATATTCTCAATCTCATATCTTGCACACACTATTATACAATCACAACTGCTAACCTTAATCATCTCCGTAGTCACTAAACATTAAATCACATTCACATGTTATATGGACTTGTTTTGAATATGAAGAGAGTTTCAAAGAATTCTATGAAGACTAGTAAAAGCTGGCTGATCCTTCTCAAACTACAGAATAAGGTGAGTTGCAAGTGGAAATTAAATTCAAACATTTAATGTCCTCCTAGAACACCATGCAATAAGTTACCATCCAAACATTGTACTTATAAACTACACAGTATTTTGAATCTTATGACTAAGCAAGAATTGTAAGCGACAAAAAGCCGCTTAATTTTCCAAAAATTCAAATATGTAAGAAATTAGATATCATGGAATACTAAATATCACAATACCCCTGAATAAAATATATCTAAGCTACCAATGAAGCAGCAGCAGATCATAGAGCTAAGAGCATGGGCTGGAGCCTGTCTGCCAGGACTAGAGCCTGCCCCCATGACTTTCTGTGGTACACTCAGACATGTTACTTTACTTCTCCTTTCAGTCTCTCTCCTATAAACTTGGGATAAGCTTAATGATCACAAAAGTGTTCTGCACAATGGTTGGATTAAGTACTTGGTGTTTATTGTTAATATTGTTTATAAAACAAAGCAACTACATCACTAAGTGATCTTTTTATCACACTTAGTATCTGTTCAACCTAAAAGTCTGCTGAAAACCCTGGGGTCTATTCCCTGTGGATAAGAGACAACTATAAGAAAACCCAAAATGTTGGGAAGCTATGATTCCACTCTCATAGTAGAGCAGCCTAATATTCACATACTGTAAACATCATAATATGAAATATCTACCTCAACAAGGACACAGTCTAAAAACAGCCAAACCAATCAGCAGGACTAGTAAGCACTCAAATGTCCACTTACTTTCTGGTGCTCCACTCGCCAGCACTACGACCCCAGGATAAAAGGGAAACAACTTCTGCCTCTCATTTT
The DNA here is from genome assembly GCF_000001405.40 of Homo sapiens. Lineage (NCBI taxonomy): Eukaryota > Metazoa > Chordata > Mammalia > Primates > Hominidae > Homo > Homo sapiens. The sequence continues at coordinate 70,855,224 of NC_000006.12, read as the reverse complement.
ACACTTCAGGAAGCTGCAGAGCATCTAATCGAAGGCTCTCTGGCCTTCTGGGACCCAAGGGCTTAACCAAGAAAAAACAGGACTTAGCCCTTGTGTATGTCTAGGTACTGTTGGTATATGTATATGTATATGTATATGTATATGTATATGTATATGTATATGTATATGTATATGAAAGAACAGGAAAGGGGTTTCTCCATGTCAACAATGAAGACTCTGGAACTGTTCCTCTCCAGCCCCCAAAACACAGGTACACTCCTGTCAGCTAAGTATTTCTAACTAACCCCTTTAAGAAAGACTAGACCCCAGACAGGTAAGGCAGATGGTAAAATCAATCTATTTCATATTCATAAGTTAGAAAATATTGTACTAGAATTTGTATATACTCAGAAAATAACACAAGGAGTGAAAGAATACAGGGTTCAGAAGAATTCAAAATCTTGGTGTCCACAACTAGTTTGAGCTCAACTTCACATATTAAAAACCCACCAAAATGACTAAATTACATGGTAGCAATATATGCATAGAATCTGTAGTTTCAGCACCATCCCCCATTTTCAAAGGCATTATTTTGAAAATATGTCTGGATTTTTTTTTTTTTCCAGACGAAGTCTCACTCTTGTCCCCCAGGCTGGAGTGCAATGGCGTGATCTCCGCTCACTGCAACCTCTGCCTCCCGGGTTCAAGCAATTCTCCTGCCTCAGCCTCCCGAGTAACTGGGATTACAGGCGCACGCCACCACGCCCAGCTAATTTTTGTATTTTAAGGAGAGATGGGGTTTCACCATGTTGGCCAGGCTGGTGTTGAACTCCTGGCCTCAGGTGATCCACCCACCTCAGCCTCCCAAAGTGCTGGGATTACAGGCATGAACCACCATACCTGGCCAAATATGTCTGGATTTTAATCTCTACATGAAGTTTAGACGAAAGATACTACTGTTCACCAAATATTTTACAGGGCTCAACATAACTTGTACAGTCTAACCAGTGCTCAACATAACAGTGTTCCAAAAGAAGTATTAGATATGATTTTAAAAATTAACCCTATGTCCTACCAGGTAATGCTCAGAATGCCTAAAGTCTGAAGGCCAGCTGCCACCCCTCTTAAAGCCAGAGGCTACACTCCTTGTCATGGCACTACTTGTGCTTAAGAATTAAACGAAGTCTGCATTGTTCTACTTGCTGCTTTAATACAGAACAGAACACGTGAAGTACACTGAAACCTCAGAGGTGGGATCTAACTCTCTTAAGCAGTTGCAAAGCAACTGTCAGACCCCAGTGACAGTGCTAAATAAGTCTAGCAGGTATAACAGCCGCACTACAATGCTAGACTAAAAATAAATGGCTTTTCACATTCTGGTTGTCAAATATCCTAAATGCTTCTTTCCAAAGACACAATATTAGACAATTTTGTCACATGTACACCTATGCCTGTACCAATTTGTAAGGTAATTAATCTTAATTGAAATAACAGTAACAATATTCTCTTTTTTATGTGTGTTACAGGAGGGGAAGAAGGGGCAAAGCCATAAAATAAGCTATTTTGCTGAAAATAAACACTACTGCTGCAGACAATTTTGATAAAGATCCATTTAATCATTCCTAAGAAATCTACTTGTTCCATTCTAATGGTAACTATATAATGACTATCATAATAACAATAAATATGTGCAACAGAAATATGTTCCTAGCCTTATAAGACATTGACTTTTTCTTATTAAAACTGTCTACCAGAACAATTCAGATTTGACTCAGTTTTTCTATGGAAAAGGAAATATTTTATCTCAAAAATTATGCTGCACAAACTGCTTGTTTATTTGTAAAGTATAAACTTAAGATAGAATCTTAATGTTGTATGCTTAAGAGTAGTTTGTTTCCTGAAAGTTCATACAGTTCACATTACAAAAATTCCATGTAATGTTAAGAAGGCAATTCAAAATTTCTTCACCATTAATACTTTTATTAAAATATCCCGATCATTATTATTACTGTTCTAGATTTTTAAAAAATCACTTAAAAAAAAAAGCAAGGTAGATTTTAAGGCTAACTTAAAACATAATTTACCTTCATTTTGCCTTTATTTTAAAAAGACAGTACTAAATTTGCTAGAACTTCTGCAGTCAATATTTACAAACAGCCACAGTTTTAAAAGCTCTGAAGTAAGTGACCTTGTTGATCTCAGGAAAGTTGAGGTAGTCAGGGTTTTTCCACTTGTTCATTCTAAATACTGTTGTTTCCCTAAAGCAAGGGTTAGAACTTTAAAGACAGTGAATATTTTAGGTTTTGTGGGCTATACATTCTCTGTTTTTAATATTTAACTCTGCTTTTGTAGCAGGAAAGCAGCCACATACAGTACCTAAACCAGTGGGAGTGGCTGTGTGCCAATAAAACTTTATTTGCAAAAACAAGCTGCTGGCTTAGTTTGCTAAACTCTAGCCTAAAGAACAGGAGACTTTTAAATCAGTTACTGCTCAGAAACAATTCTTCCAAAATTGAAATTTTGAAACTTTTCAAAAAGGAAATAAGCAGTGACCATATAAAACCATATTCTTATCACATACCTGAGCTGGGGGCATGACAGTTGCAGGTAAGGGATTAGAAATCATCGGTCCAAAGATGTCCAGATCATCGTTCAGGGGTGGCACCGTTGTGTTCCCGTTGGTCACTGGTGCCACAGCAGGGCCATCTGAAAAGAATATAGATTCTCGTCTTAACGTAGAATATCTTAAATTACTTGAAACATGGCATTATTTTAAAAATTGATATATGGTTAAAAAAAAAGAACAGTTCAAAAGTTGGTAAAACATTTGTTCTCCTTCTACCTACCCCCGATCCCCTTTCCCAAAGAAACCATTTCCAGTTTTGTTGATTCCCCCAGAAATATTCTTTATCCACTGGTTTCTAGGTATATATCCAAACCTCCTTTTTAACCAATGGTATCATACTATTCACATTATTTTGCACCCTAATTTTTTTTAATAAGATCATAGATTTTTATGGTGCTTCCTATATGCCAGGCACTGTTCTGGGTACTTCACATGTATCAACTCATTTAATCCTCATAACCTTATGAGGTAAAAACTACTTTTGAGATAAGGGGCTAAGGTGGAATTTGATACCACACTTATTAATAATCCCTCTCCATAAATGTATGTGTGAGGGTGTGTGTGTTTTGGAGATAATATCATTTTTACCTACCATGGAAATAAGTTTTGATGATCTAAAACATCTGAAATGTTATGTTTTGAAGTCACAACATGGAAGAAAACTAGATAGAAAAAACAAAACACACATACAATACTTAAACTGATTCTACAGGAAGCATCCATAAAACTCCAAAATAAGTCCTTTATTTATTCCAGCACAGCCACTTTTAGTGATGGCTGTACCAAGCCACTGCAATGTACAGGGAAAGGGACTCTGACAGAGCTTCCTACTTAAAAATTCAAATTAAAAAACAGTTTTTAAAACTGTAATTTCAAGAATTCAAAACCGGTTTATTTTATATCCCCTTTTTATGTTAGTGAACATTTATAAGGGCTGGGGGCAGGAGATGAAGTGGAGTGCTATAGGTCGAGTTTGCATGCACAGCACTCCAGGACTGGAACATCTCACAAGGTTCAGTTTTCTGTAACCACAACCAAGTTAACAGTTCAGAGCATCACAACTCCAGCCTCTTGAGAGTTATAGCCTAATTAACCTTCTATCTTAACAATTTACAGTCTCATTTGATATCTCTTTGGTAGACCATACTCTCATCAAAGGGAAATCTGTCATCTTTGAAAACCTTTTCAACAATGAATGGGGTATCTTGCACAAAGTAGATACTCAAATACTGACAAATTCAATGGAGGATCTACCATCTCATTCATATTTCCACCACAATCCACAGAAACTTAGAGAGTTCTTGTCTTTTTCCAAGTACAACTAGAGAAATTGGTATCTTTTATTTCCCTGTTTAAGCTTCAATTACAAAGAATTATTAACACATAGTCACGATAAAATATTTTTTGCTATTTAATTTACAAAAGAGTGTGTAAAGCCCAAATTAGGTTAATCTGAAAGTTATTCAACTGCAAATTTTTCAAGTCATTTTCAGTGATATCACATTATCACAACCATTAAAAGAAATATATTGATATGTATTATACATATCTATATCAAGTACTATGGACAATTAAAAGGTGAAGAAATAAAACAATGTACATAGATTATAATTTACAATATATAGAATTTTAAACTGAGACAACTATCAAAGAATTAAGACTCATACATGAAAATACTTTTTTTCATTTCTAACCCTTTCAAATGGCAATATTCACTTTAAAGTTAGACCTCCTTAAAGCGCTACTTTGTTTTCCAGTTCATTCCATACCCCATTTACATGATGTATAGTACATTATAAATATCAGCCAGAAATAAAGTGATATTTTAAAGGGACAAGGCATTCTAGGTTTAAAAACACAACTAAGGAATATCTTTTTTGTTTGTATCTACACTTCAGTAAAGGAAGTCCAATAATAATGACATATAAGCCAGTGGTGATTTAACTCATGAGCTACAGAGTTAGAGATGGGCAAACATCGTCATCAATTAGACATGTTTCATTCTATCACATGAATTGAGGAAGCACTTTATTAGCTGCAAATATAATTATATATATAAAATGTATATATACTTATATATGTACAAATTTTAAATGTTTATAAAATTTAAACTCAAATAGAAGCACATGTCCTCTAAAACAATGTAAACTGCAACCAAAATAAAAGGAAAAAAAACGGTGACAAGCTGAATATAAGCAACTATTTCCAGTTTTTCCGTTATAGTTGTTTTTACTTTATTAAGTAGTAGTTAACAAAATCAGACAAATTTATGGAAAAAAAAATTTAACATGAGAAAATCCCGTTGATTTTTTGGCAAACTGAGAAAATACTATCAATTGCTTTTTACCACAGCACATGTCAGTCTAGTTCACAGAACACCAGTGTGCCCAGGATGCATTTAGTGAGAATCACAAAGCGCATCCACTAAAAACCAATGCTATGTCTTATTACTTTTATAAACTGTACAGCTTTCCGAAATTTTAAGTCTGTTCTACTTAGTACCTTAGACTCCTCTCAGAATATTTACTTATACTTTCAAATCTAAACCACATTTGGTATCTAGCAATACATTTTCTAATCCGTAAAACAACACACAGCATATTACTTGGTTTCTGAAGTCTTATTTTACCTTTAACCCCCTTTAGTATCACATATGTGACTAATAACTTGTCCAGTGTCACAGAGCAGGAGCAAAGTCTTAGATTGTAATCTTATTCAATGTTTACTGTAAAAGCAACACATTCTTGTAAAAGATTCAAACCATGCAAAAATGAAGAAACTAAAAGTACCCACCATAGATGGTGGTGACAGTTGTGCAATGTGAGTGTACTTAATGTCACTGATTATACATTGTAAAATATTTAAAATGGTAAATTTTATGTGTGTTTTACCACAAGTTTAAAAACAATGTATATAGGATCATACAAAAATAGTCTTCTTTATATAAAATTATGTATGTGTAGGTAGGGGATTTGCATTCTGTGATACTGCATGTGCCTATAATAATTTATTTATTCAATGTGTGACTCAAGAGAATTTAGGTAGTTTCCAGATTTTCACCATAAAAGCAGAACATTCCTCTAAATAAAGTCTACACAGCTCATGTCCCTTCACTGCAACATAACTTGAATTCTGTTTTTACCACTGCACTATAAACAAGTCCATATTCTCTTTCCATGTGTTTTTTTTATTATTATTACTATATTAAAATTAGCCTCTTGAAATTTCTGGCATTTCACACAAACAACAAAGTTGTGATCTCTCTGTAACCAGCCACCATGGTTAATGGAGCTGTCATGAAGTCAATTCACAAAGTAAGTCTGAGGGACTTCAGAATCCTTTTTAGAATGAGACAGAGGAAGCACCTGCTTAGGGACAGCAATCTTTGTGGCAAGGCTGACACTGTTTTCAATTGATTAAGGAAGACTTTTTCATACCCCCCCAAAAACCTGAGGTAAGGAACTTTCTGCCAGGCCTCACCAAGATTTTTCTCTACAGAGCATCCTTGTGATGAGCATAGGTGATTGCTCTCTGCTCTCACCATCTGCAACATACCTGCCCCTCTTTTGTCTCTACTCCATCTTCTCCCCATGTGATTGATCCCTTAACGGTGGGTTCTGGATTTCACAGCCATCAATTTTTCTAGTTACTATCAAAGCTATGCATTCACAGAATTGTTGAAAAAACAAATTCTTAACCTAAATGAAAACTTCTCAGCCTTGCAAAATTGGTAAACACAAGTTCCCAGTGGGTTTTCAATAGTTGCTAATTTTACTTACAACATTTGGCTTGCTTAACACATTATTTAAAAGGGATTGCTTCAATTCATTTTGAAGGTCATTGTGTTTTTAATTTTCAGTGTTTAAAAAAGACAATTAAAGACTCGTTATCATTACCATCATTATAAACATCACATTCATCCTGGATGTTTTTAAAGAATGTTTACATGTTATCATTTTTGTCCCGATGCAAGATGAGAAGGGCATCTCCTCCATTATCTCCAGTTATACCAACTAGGACACAGAGCAATGAAAAGACTTCCTCAATGTCCTTCACCTTTTTAAGCAGCAAAATTTGTACCAGAACAGAGTCTTCTCACATCTAGACTAGAGCTCTTTAAACCACATTTCATCAAAAGCCATGTAATTTCAACTGCGCCTAATTATAAACAAATCACTTAAAGTTCTGAAAATTAAAAAACAACTTTAAAATAGTTTATAATTATTTGTACTAAGTTTGAGAAGCAGTTACTTAAACAGTCTAAAAATCATTTGGTGCCACACTCAAAATTTTCCTCATCATGTCCCCACTCCACTATCCTGTACTGACACCAGTATCTTTTCAGTTTTTAGGGAGGGATTCAGGTGGATATGGTCATCAGTGAGCAAACTGGGCTCCTGGAAGCAACTGTGGGATATAATCAGGCCTTGGTCAACTAAGAATATTCACAAATTATTGGGAGTTAAATGCATCCTTTTGATCATGGGCCCACTAATAACATGGTCTTTGCTGATTAATAAAAGCTCAGAGGCCACAAAATCAAGAAAATACCAAGATGCTGAAAACAGTTATTCAGATAAATAACTTTAACATTTAGAAAGCATAAAGCTTATTCAAATTAAATAGTGTAAATCACCATAATGTGAGAAAAACATTTAAATCAGCATGGGTTATACCTTGTTGGTGCATGCACACACATGTAGTCACACAAACACACACACACACACTTCCTCTTTCAGGGGAGAGAGAACATCAGACCACACAGTGCCTTCTATGAGATTAGGGGATGTCTGTGAAAACTAATCAGAATTCACCGTAGACATGCACCTTGCTCAGCTACGGAATGATGGTGGGAGCAGCAGGAGGCAGCAGTCCCCCTTTAATTAGTATGCAGAAACAGCTGGTGGACAATAAAAATAATGGGAGATCCAGAGTACAAGAAAAGCCTAGGGCAAATGGAGGAAATTCAGCTGGGAACATCATAAAGAATGATAATGAAGCACAAAGGACCCCTTGAAAAGGCAATGAGCAAACAGAAGAAATTAGGACAATGCAGTAAAATGAAGATGGGATTTCCATCTTAAAGGCAAGACATCAAACCTACAGTTAAGTAGCTTGTGGTAAGTATTTTCTTTCTTCATTACCTTAAGATGTTAGGCTAGTGTCTTATTTGGGAACTGAATTGATAGATGAATGTTTTTAACTACCCACATATGAGAAACCGACAGGAAAAGGTTAAAATGTTTTCAGCTGCAGAAAAAAATTGTTAAAATCAGTGCTACAACTTCCAAGAACAGAAGGCATTCCCAGCATGCATTCACTGGCCCACTTCACATCATGACACTGAGAGATGTTAGAAAGAGGTAACATTTCAAATATGACAAAGTCATGAGGGCCAGTCTCTTGTCACCTAAAAATCCTCAATTTGGGAAGTGAGCCAAATGACTCTATTAACTGTAACTATACCAGAATTCATCTGACGCCAATAATCCAAATGAGTATGAGGTAAATAAAGTATTTTTAACAATATTGTCTTCCCCTTGGTGCATTCCAAGTGCCTTTAAATTTATAAACTAAAACTAAAAGGAAATAAGAATACAACACTTCATATTTTAATACAAGTTTAACCACTAATATTTATTTAAGTACTATGTGCCAGATACTCTGATCAATAAAGTATCTCAGTTTAATCCTTACCTCACCTGGAGGGAATCTGCACAGTAAGCCTAGGACTTCAACACGGGTCTCAATGGTGCACCCGGAAAACTCAACTGCTATAACCAGTTTGAGAAATGTTTCCTGGTGTTCTCAGGCAGAAACAGGTGCCCATTCCCTACCCAGAGTTACAATGATTTACATGACCATTGACCTACCTCCCTAAAATAGTGCCCTGAGGGCAGGGGCTGGCTTCACTACCCAGCCCAGGCATAGTACTTGGCACAAGCTCCTTTCTGAGGCACAGGATGACTCCTGAGCCCACAACACCCAGCACCACCTCCACTGCAGGCCATACCACCCACAGCGGGTCAGTCAGGCCTACCAACTCCACCTCCAAATGTTCCGCTAATCCAGGGGCTGCAAAGTAGAAGCCTTCCCAAGCATCTTATCCTTTTCATTTTTAGTTTTTATGGCATCGGAATGTTCTTAGGCTGAACAGGCATGCCCCAGTACTCCAGAAGCCTCTTTACTCCTCGCTGGCACCACTTTTATAGCCCCGAGCCATGACCAGTCCCACCTGCTTCGTCACCAGGAAGAGTGCAGCTGCCTCCTTAATTCAATGCGTGGATTAAGGCACATACTCAATACATGATTAATTGAAATGCTTTCCAAACACAGGTTATGGGAGGATTTCTTGGTGACAGCAGAGCCATGGCGGAAAACAAATAGTAGTTCAGGTGATCCTACTTTTGTGGGAGAAAAGTGAAATAATGACACTATTTTTGAAAAGTACAAGCAATCTCCTGGCTACAAATCCTTTTCAGTCCTCTTCCTACTTACCACCAGCACATTTAGCCCTAGCTGATCCTTCTCCTGTAAAATCGCCTCTCTTAGAGTTTACAGCCACATTCTCCTTGAAGACTCCACAGCCATTGCTACCAATATCCTGGACTGGCTCCTCTTCCTCTGTTTTCATAGACACAGCTTCCACACAACTATCTGCCTATGAGATTACAACTGCTTCTTAACTAGAATCCCTACACCAGGGCTTCCCCTTTCCAGTTGAACAAGTACAGTGAGGCTGGAATTCTTTCTCTCAATCATAAATGTGTCTCCAGCGCCCCTCTGTCCAAACCTCAGTGCATCACTGTTGTCACGGCACCTCCCAGGACTATTCTACCTGCTACCTCACTGGTCGGAGCCATATCTTACCCTCTTGCTCATCTGTTCCAACTGTCCTAACATAGCACTTGTGTGCCCTATGATAAGATACAGATGGGTTTTAAATCATAAGATCCTCTACAAAGGTACAGCTCTAAAAGCTGCATTTATCTGGGCATTTGCTTATCTTTTCCAACTGTTATTCACTCTAAAGGTGATGTCCGTAAAACATTAGATTTTACTTGAAATAAGTTTGCATAGTACAAAATAAACTTATTTTATTCTCCTCTAGCTGCAGCAAGAAAAAATCAACCTCTGAATTAAGGAAAATAGAATTTAAATTGGAATTTTAGCATTAATCCAGATTTCAAACTGAATCCTCACAACCAGTTCTCTTAGATAATCCCATCTTTTCCCTCAATGATAATTCTGTCTTCCAGTTTCTGGACAGCAGCCCCATCCCCCTCTTGCACTACTATAAACACACAGAGCTGCATCTTCTGGTGTTTACCAGTGTTCCATGAACTCTGCTGGTGCTCAATAAATATTAATTGAATTCATCCTTTACTTGAATGTCAGAGGCATTAGCTGATCATAATCTATTTGCACAAATAAGAAAAAATGTCAAAGAGCAACATGAGATTTTATGTATTACTAATCTAGTTTAAGGCAGATAAGAATGTGGCAAATGGCTGTTTTTCATTACCATTTTTGACTGAGCATGAACCTTCTACCTGTAGTACACCCTTGCTACAATGAAAACTCCCAAATCTAATTCTTCTTCCATAACTAGTGAAGCGTCATCATAACCAGTGATGAAATTAAAGTGGAAACAGCACTGTTTAAAGAAGGCTGCGTCCATGATATGAAGTGATTCTCTCCTTAATGGCAAAACTCCTTAAAGCTTTCTAAATTTTCACGTTGATCAAAGAACCCTTTTTATTTTCTACTCAATAAGCCATTTAAAGTTTTCTCCTTAATTTTTATTATTACTTGGAATTCCTTTATATTAAAACACAAGACTTGATTTGTAACATCAACTCACATGTCTTATTTTAGTAAATTCAAGTCACAAATGTCCATTTGAAGCATATTAAACTTTTCAAGCTTTAAGTTGTTTTCAATTTGTTTAAGTGTGCCTGAGAGCTAACTGGAGCTATTTATTTTTATTTTTCAGTTAATTTTTTATACAGTTAAATAGTATTTAGGCTAATTTGCTAAAATGACTAACATGGTCTTAAAAGATAATCCTAATCCTCTTACTGTATTTGGCCCTCCCTTTTCAAGCCACTACCAAATGCCAGTCTACTGTGCCAGCAGGGAAATCTACTACACATTTCTACAAACCAGCCAACTTTTGATCAGGGGATTCTCTTATGCACAGGCACTATGATGCTCTGTAAGGGGAAGAGCCCCATGGTGCTACTGTCTTTCAGAAGACACCACACACACATGCACACATGTGTACACACACACACGCACTCTGATTTAGAGCTATCTGAAATAGCTGAGAAGTGGTATAAGGAGGAAGCTTTGTAGAACTGATTGTTTAAAAAATAAATATATATCAAATCACTGCACCATTTTATGGCCTCAAAAAATAAGAAATATATAAATATGAAACCAGATTGTATAACCAAATTTCTTTCTAAATGTTTAAAATGGTGATAAACTAGATTCCTGAGGCCACCCAATTTCCTCAGTTCTTTTAGTCAACTGCAAATCCATCAGAGGCCACAGACCATGCTTTGCAATCACTGTTTCCCTCTATCTCCCTCTTTCTCTCTAATGGTAGTGGCTATTAAAGGAATAACCCAGCAGGAGTCCTACTGTGTGTTACTCAGCATAATTTTTGAGTCCCTTCTCCACACATTCCTTCAAAGGCCTGTACTACCTCTTGGTGATCTCCCATGACCTGGTGTTCAGGTTATAGTCTCAGCACAGGACTGTGTGCAAGTTACTGTGCTAGGTGCTTCACATAAAGCACACCATTTATTCTGGCCCTCAGCTACAGAAGAGTTCCTATTTCCATTTCCCAGACGAAGCTGCTAGAGGGCAGACAAAACCCAGGTACTACCTCTAAACCAAGTGTCCCACCCCCATGACTTAATACTGCCATCTATTGATTTGATGAATGGGTCCAATGTCTATTTCGTGTATAGCACAATCTCACCTGTTAGAGTTTTATTTTCTATCACAGCTCAACATAGTGTTAAGAATCTGAGCCCCGAAGTCAGACTACTCAGTCTAAATCCCAGTTTTGTAATCTACCAGCTGTGTGACCTTGTGCAACTCACTTAACCTCTCTGTGCCTCAGTTTTCTCTTCTATAAAAGCGAAATAATGATAGTTCACCAATCTCAGGGCTGTTGCAAAAATTCAATAAATAAATATCTGTCAGCACACAAGACAGCCCCTGGCATCTAGTTAGCAGTATCTGATTATTAAAATAATAAGATAATTTAATACTTGGGTTAGATGCCTTGCTTTGGTTCATCTTAAGAGCTGAAATTAGACTTTGGCATTAAACACATCTAGGTTTGAGTCCCAATTCTATACAGTACAGCAGCAGTGCCTTGGAAATTAATTTTTGTTAGCTTATTAGTTGTTAGTTTTATTATTAGTTAATTTTAAAAAGGGGGGGGGGAGTGTGTGTGGGTGTGTAAAATACTCTCTACCCTAAAGAGCTGCTGTCAGGATGAAATGCAACTGTGCCAGATACCACAGACTGCCAAAGCCCCATCTGGGCGCTTCTTGCTGGCACAGCCTACCTCCATTCTATAGGATGAATACTATTTTCCTAGCCTCTCTTGCAACTAGTGAGGTAATATAATCCAATTCTGACCAAGCGTACCCTGGGAATCCTGCTGGGGAATTTTCTGGCAAGTTTTTACTCCTGAGAAAAGAAACTGGTAAGGAAAAGCCATCCTTTAGGCGTGGTCCTGAGGATAGGATGCTGCACCTTCCATGTGTTGGCCATAAGGTGACAAGCCTCCAGAGTAAAGCCAGTGCTGTGATGAGGGCGGCAGAATGAGGAGAAGCAAAGAGGAAGCTGGCTCCCTGCGCTCACTGTTCCACCACTGCACGGCCCCAAACCACCGTGTCTCCCGATTTCTCTTCAAATGAGATAATTAGATGTCCTTATGTTTAAGCCATTTTCAGGCTTCCTGTTACTCGTAGTTTGAAGTCGCCTCATTCAGAGGTCAATTTTACTCCTCTCAACACCTAACAATTCTTTGTCCTATCCACCAGCACATTCTCTGGAGGTTCTGTGCTGTTTCTAAGAAGCTGTCCCTTCTTGCTCTCTTCTAAAGTCTGTGATATCATCAACTCACCCAGCGGCACCCGTTTCTGGTGTCAGTTCACCAACTGCCCTACTACTGACTCAGGACCACTTGCAAGTATCCGCCCATTGCTAGTTACCTTACACCAATATATTCATGTAACTGCATTTTCTTTCCTATGCAGTGTGACTACATAAGAATAAACCAATCCCTGAGACCTCCTTTTTGAAAGGGTAATAATAGTTCATAATAATAGTTCACTGAACATACTTTTCTGAGCAGAGGCAATACAAGTTGTTATCAGGTTTTAAACCATCTCTGAAAAACATAACTTGACTATAAAATTTTCTTGGGCACTTCTGCTACAGTCTTCCTCACCTTCAATCCTCCTCCAAGAGAAGGGGAATGTGCACATAACTACACAAACGTCCTCCAGATCTGATCAAATAGGTAGCTCTAGGACACCAGCGGTTTTCCAGGTCCACTGGTAACTGTGGATCACCAGGACCACTGCTGCTAAATCTGGCATTCTTTTACTCAGCTCATTCCCAAATTTGCTTTATATAGCACATGGACTTTGAGAAATGGCTAGAAATTTCTCTGTAGGAATCTTCTGTTTGAAAGGTAAGTAGAGTACTTTCTGTATTCACCTCTCTCATATAAAACTGGGTATATGTTGCTAATAATAAAATGGGTTATATACTAATGGCTTAATTTCACTAGCATTGTCTTGACCACTGTCATATGTTAAAGCCTTTATTTCCTGAACACAAACATGAATGGGGGAACTAAAATTTGCAAACTTTTCTCATCGACTTGCCCAAAACTGTATGTTCCTTTGAGTGTTTCAATTAAGAAAAAACTGAGGGAATCTCTACCTACTTCTCCATATAGTTCAGTATTTAAAATAATTTAAAGTAAAAGTTATGAATGTTTAGATAGAAATTTCCCCAGATTAAAGTAACGAATAGAATGGATAAAATCAAATCAGTTTTATATAAGCAGTGAATAGAGAAACACATGATGTACACCCCTGAGCTAGATTTTCATTACCAAGATCATGACTCGATTCTTTGTGAGATGCTTTCTGGGGCACTGAGAGGATGCGGTCCCCCCAGACAGCCTCGGCAGTGCACCCGACACATACAACTCTGTGTCTGGTAGGACTGTGGGTAACGCCTCCTGACAAGGAACCAGGCTGCTCTGCAGTGCGCATGTGGTACACAGATGGCCACAAAACAGAACCCCTGCAGGAACCATTAATGGGAGGTTGAAATGAAACCTCTAAGGTCACATTCAAGGCCACTAATGTGTAATTCTTCTCAAGCCTTATGCCCAAAGCATGTGCTCGCCCTTGAAGACTTTATTCTCAGAGGCGGTCTTATGCCCCCACACTCTAAAAATGAGCCCCATTGAATAGAAGCATTAGTCGGGGGGAACTGTCCTAACCAATTGGTAAGCAGTCTGTCAATTTTTATCATCTTTAAAACTAATAAACAACAAAGAATAGACACTACCCTAACAGTATAATTCACAGTCCTAAACTAGCTTCCTAAGTAAGGGGACCCGAAGAGCACTCTTCTCACAAACCCTAGAAGCTGATTTTAATTCTATTTTAACATAGGACGTGCATACTCAAGTCAGGATATGTCTGTGTTTGATTCAAATCTGGTACATTCAGAGATTATTCAATCTGGCACTTAGTCAAGAGGGGCCCCAGGCCCTTGGTAATTTCTAAGACGAGGCAAGTCAAGTATCTCACCCTGTTTATGGTATTAGAGAGTAAAGTACTATAATAAATAGTAGTCCTATAGCTTTCAAACACAAATTAATATCTAAATATGAGGCAGCTCTTGTAGGTACTATTGGGAACATAAAGCAGGGGTGAGCAAACCCTAGCCCATGCCTGTTTTTACAGTTGATAGGAACACAAGCATGATCGGAACACAAGCATGCTCATTCATTTACATGTTTGTTTATGGCTACTTGCACACTACAATGGGAGTTGAATAGTTGTAAGAGATCATAAGGCCTGCAAAGCCAAAAATAATGTCTATTTGGCCCTTCTTGGAAAAAAATGGACAACCTCTGCTATAAAGTATATATAATATAAAGCATTTTATGTTTGAACTTTGAATGGGTAGTAGATCAGGAAAGGTGAGCTTAAGAAAGGTTTTACCTGAGTTACTGGGTTACACAAAAGAAAGTAAGTTCATTAAAGTCCCATATAAAGGAAAGATCAAAAACTAGTCTTAAGTATTAGGCTATTATGAAACTGTTAAGAGTGATAAAGAAGGCCGTGAGTCCCAAGGATCCATAGCTGTGTTAACTGAACTATCGCTATACAAGTTCTCTCTATATTTTCTGGAAATGTTTTAAGTTAATGTCTGTTCTAGTCTCACTCATACGGAGATATGCTGTCATCTTTGCATGACCATAAATCATACTTCAAGGCACCTACGCCCCCAATCCCCGCTGTGTTTCAATTTACAGGGGAAAACCAGGGTCCCATTGGAGGAGAGCGGCATGCTTCTGAGCAGATAAATAGCCTGAGGCCCAAGGTGGACACCAATCATCAATCCAGATTTAGAACCACTGTTTGTTTTGAGCTGAAAGAGACCTTTGATTCTCTGTAGTCTCCTGGACTTTCATGAATTCATCGATTTTATGCTGAAACATAGCTTTTTTAAAAAAAAAGTCTGAAAATATTTTTTAAGAGTTTAGGAAATTGATAACCAGCAGATGTGAAGAGCTGTATGTGCTCTGGGTAAGACACTTCCTCTTCCCTGCTGCTACAACTCCCTCACAGCAAGACAGCCCTCTTTCTAACCCCATCTCCCACTCCTCCTATCTTTGGAACTCTTCTGCCAAATGATCTAATGACCCACTGTGAGTCATTGCAAAATCCCCCTTATATTCTTAACCTTTTTTCACAAACATTCCCTAACTTCTCCTGCTAAATGAACTTTGGTTCTCCCTTAAAGACACTGTCCTGAAAATGTTCCACTGTCCAAAAGAGTGACATCCCAGCAGACCTACAGGCCCATGAGTGACAGAAATAAATGTTAGTTGATGTAAGCCACTGAAATTTTGGAGTTGTTTGCTATGTAACACACACAGCAAGAGCTGACTACTTTAGAAACTGATACAAGAAGGGTGCTGCCACAACCAAACCCTAAAATCTGTGCAATGACTTTGAGACAAGGTGGTAGAAGATAAGGAAACACTGTTGGAACTTAAAATGGAGACACATATTGCAATAGTGAAATGGCTGGTAAAAAGTGCCCTGCAATAATCAGGAAGGTAGAAAATGTATCAAATGAAGTTACAGTAGAGCTGCCCTAGCTGACCCACAGAAAGAGAAACAGATGTTTAATGTTGTAAGCTGTTGAAACCTGAGGCTTATTTACTATGCAGTATTATTCCAACAATAATGGAGTATCTGAAAGGCCACTCATACCGTTTGTCAACTAGATCCCATCCACTCCGGGCTATTCAAGGACACTGCTAGAGCAATTTTTCCTTGTCCTGAAAGTATCAGATTTACCTCTCTACAAGCTCATTTCTAACACTAAACATCTTGTAATGTCATCCTTAAAAAAACCCTTTCCTGTCCACCTTGCCCTACTATAATCTAGTCTCAGCACAACCGCCACAATAATTCTTCAAATACAAAAGTCAGATTATTTCTTTTCAGCAAATTCCTCCAGTGTCTTTCCAGGTCACTCAGAGTTAAAGCCAAAGTCCTGTTATACTCAGCTTGCCCCCTCCCTACCCCCTCCTTCCTTGTCTCCTCTGTTACTACTCTCCCCTAGATCATTCCACTTTAGCCACACTGTCATCCTTGCTGGTCCTTGCACACTTCAAGTAGGCTCCTACTGAAGAGCCTTTGCATCTGCTGTGTTCTTCTCAGAATACTCTTGCTTACAGATCCAGATACCCAGACCTTCTTCACCTCTTTGCTCCAATAAGACATCTGTGAATGCCCCCCGTCCACCCTATTTAAAATTACAACCATCCATTTTTGTTTTCTTTCATCTATAGTATTTACCACATATAACCTACAATATATTTTATTTAATTGTTTATTCACTGTCTCTCCAGATGGAATGAAAGCCCCAGAAGGCAGGGGTTGCAGTCTGTCCTCTTTCAGATCTATCTCCCTAGTATCTACAATGGTACCTTGACACACAATAGACAGTAGCTATTTGGTGAATGAATGAGTGTAAGATATGAATCAGGCCTAGATTATATTTTATATTTCTAAGTTATGAACTAATAAACCAGGCATGTAGACTGGAAAAGAAATGCTGCAGTGAAGATAATGATATACTAAAGTTTTACTAAGATTTTTTTTTACTTTAATAATAATTTCTTTTCTTTTTCTCTCATTTACAGTAAAGGAAATAAAACAAGAAATTATGAGGACTACAATTCAACATAATTATATTTAGAGCCCCTGGACTGAAGCCTTATTTTCAAAATTACAGTTATTTTTTATATTTCTAATACACAACTTTTTACCATCATAGAAGAATTGTACCTCCAGGGAGTATATTTGTACGATGTACCAGCTTCCTAAGAAATGAATAAAACATTCAGCTATAATTCTTAAAACAGACAACAATTTATTCAATAACAACTAGGATCAATTTTTTGGAAAGCAGTACATGAAGGTCAACTCTTCCACTTCAACTAACTGCCTTTCACTCTTTTCCTTCTCAATCTTTCTCCAAACTAAAAAAAAAGAAAAATTTAAATTATTCCTGTGCCAAGGCTCAGGTATTACTAAAAGTAACCTTTCATCAAGCCAATTCTTTTAGAAGAAAAAAATGTAAAAAAAAAAAAAGAGAGAGAGAGAAGCTAACAATATTTGTAGATAAGCACACTATAAACACTCCTTGAATGAAGGCCTGTTTACTTACCACATAGACAATATATACCTTTCAGCCATGAGAACAAACAGGACATTATATTAAAATTAGCACTTCTTATTCTCATTGAATAAGTTATATGAATCTAGTCACTAGATCTGGATGCAAAATGTGTTGCTTCAGTTAACCAAAATTAAATTTTATTTTAAACCAACGTATTTTACAATAAGGCTACCCTAGAATTATTTTGCTAAGAGGAAAAATCCCCCACAAAACTAAAAATTCGAGAAAGAGAGAGAGAGAAGAGAAAATAATCCACTCTTTATTGTAAGCGCTAAAATGTCACATCCAGCAAGCCTTTGAAGATTACTTTGATATCTTCTTTTCCCCAAAGAACTCATTACTTGTATTTCAGTGAAAACAGTGCTGACAGACACTGGCTCCCTTATTAAAGATTTCTTTTTTGTGGGAAGTTAGCAAACTAATCATACCATTTTCAAATTCAGTTAACAGGTACGTTTTGGCATACTCAAGATAAAGCCATTATATTCACTCCAAGTAAAGGTTTCAATTGTTTTGTAACTCCAGCAGTGACTTTTATTTTTTATTACTTACCAAGTCCTAAAAGATCCACAGTGGGCTCCGCAGCTTTTTTAGGGCTGGTACTTTTTTTAGGCTCCAGTTGCTGATCTTTCTTCTGCAGCTTTAAAGTAAATAATTGGATTTATTAATTTTTCTTAAGTAAATTTAACAAGATTTTAAGCCCCAATTAATTACAGGGTTCTGATAAAGTTAGTGTAAAAAAAATATGAAACATAGTATAATAAAACCTAGAATATTATTTGTCATATACAAAACAAGCGAACATGACTGTTGAAGTTGCAATGACAATCCTCACATATTGGGACCCCAAAATAGTGAATAAAACAATTTAACTCTTAATATAATTGTCCTTAACTACTAGCTCTTTTATATGAAATTACACATTTTAAAGAAATGCATTTCATATTAGTTCCTAGCTACTATTAATGTACTTCTGTGATAGAGTTTGGCTGTGTGTCCCCACTCAAATTTCATCTTGTAGATCCCGTAATTCCCATCTTTTATATGAAATTATATATTTTGAAGAAATGCATTTCATATTATTTCCTAGCTACTACTAATGTACTCCTGTGATACAGTTTCGTTCTGTGTCTCCACCCAAATCTCATCTTATAGCTCCCATAATTCCCATGTGTTGTGGGAGGGACCCAGTGGGAGGTAATTAAATCACGGGGGCGGGTCTTTCCTGTGCTGTTGATTTGACGGTATTATAAGGGGTAGTTTCCCTACACAGGCTGTCTTTGCCTGCTGCCATTCACATAAGATGTGACTTGCTCTTCCTTGCCTTCCATCATGATTGTGAGGCCTCCCCAGCCACATGGAACTGAGAGTCCAATTAAACCTCTTTCTTCTGTAAATTGCCCAGTCTCGGGTATGTCTTTATCCGCGGCATGAAAACGGACTAATACATCCTGTTAGCTGAGACTGGGGAGGCCTTGGAGTCTTCGTGAGCACACTGTTAGCCCATCATCCACACACTGTATGATACATGAGACACAACTGCCAGGAAAAGCCTAATGAAATGGTATTTGATATACTTTCTTCCTGAATCTACATTATTAATTACTTTTTAAATATAATATTCTTCTAGTTCTCAGGAGCCGAAGTCATAGTTACACATTC
Organism: Homo sapiens; assembly: GCF_000001405.40. Classification (NCBI taxonomy): domain Eukaryota; kingdom Metazoa; phylum Chordata; class Mammalia; order Primates; family Hominidae; genus Homo; species Homo sapiens. The sequence goes on along the minus strand of NC_000006.12, from coordinate 70,835,918 downwards.
CAAACTTACTTTCTCACAAAAAACATTGCGTAGGACAGAATGAAAAAACCTACACCTACTGGATTATCAATTCTAAAGCCTACTTCTAATAAACTAAGAAAATAAAACGTTCAGTTGAGTGCAGTGACTCACACCTGTAATACCAGCACTTTAGGAGGACAAGGTAGGAGGATCCCTTAAGCCCAGGAGTTTGAGACCAGCCTGCGCAACATAGCAAGAGTCTGTCTCTACAAAAAATGAAAAAATTAGCTGGGTGTGGTGGTGCACACCTGTAGTCTCAGCTACTCGGGAGGCTGAGGCTGGAGGATTGGTTGAGCCCAGGAGGTCAAGGCTGCAGTGAGCTATGATTGCACTACCGCAGTTCCAGCCTGGGCAACAGAGTAAGACCCCATCTCTTAAAAACAAAATGAAATAAATAAATAAAGAAAACATTCATTCATTTCTCAAACCATTTCAAGATCATTTCTTCTACAACTACCTGAAGAATTCACAACTTAGTTGTTACATGAGTTCATTTTTTGTTAGCTATTAGAGATACGTTAACTTCTAAGAACACATATCTACCCTTATTTGTTTTTTAATCACTACACTCTCCCTTAGAATTATTGTTTAACCAATTAGCCTACTATTACCAGGTGTCAATTCTTTTTTTTTTTTTTTTTTTTTTGAGACGGAGTCTCGCTCTGTAGCCCAGGCTGGAGTGCAGTGGCGCAATCTTGGCTCACTGCAAGCTCCGCCTCTCGGGTTCAAGCCATTCTCCTGCCTCAGCCTCCCAAGTAGCTGGGACTACAGGTGCCCACCACCACACCCGGCTAATTTTTTTTTTTTTTTTTAGTAGAAACAGGGTTTCACCGTGTTAGCTAGGATGGTCTCCATCTCCTGACCTCATGATCCGCTAGCCTCGGCCTCCCAAAGTGCTGGGATTACAGGCGTGAGCCACTGCGCCCGGCCCAATTCTTTAATAACTCTCTCAAATAAAGAATTAGCCACCTGTAACAGTATATAATTTTCAGAAGTTTAACATAATCCATTTCACATTCTCTATTCTTTCACTTTTCAACCTCTAATACAGGTTCAGACTTATCTTGCTTAGCAAAAGGATTTCAAAATAATTTCAAGAAAAATATTCCCTGTAGTCATGAAGAAAGGAATTCTTTTCAACTGATTACTCAATCTGCTACTATAAATAATCAAATCTGCAAGGGAATCTGAGAATCGTGTGGCCACGAGCATGCAAACTTCAAATATTGCAGGGCAGGATCCTAGCAGCTTCCTGGGGTGGGTCTTCATTGGTCTCATCACAGCCTATAATACTCTGAAGAGTGTCTTAAAGTAGTCTTTAAGTAGGTAGTTAAGTCTAATCCCTATTTTAATTTGGCTTAAAAATCAGAAAACTTTGAAGTTGAAAATAAACTTAGAAAATCTGGCCAAACACTTTCATTCCGCAAATTAACTGAGGCTCAGATGTTATGTGCCAAATAGGAATACAGGAACTAAAATTCTTATTTTCTGCCACTCCAAATTTAGCATTCTTTTTTTTTTTTTTTGGTGTATTTTACTGAATCTTCTTCCATGGAAAAAAGCATAAAACAAACTAAACTTGTGAGGAATTCCTTCCTATTTATTTTCTATGATCTAAGACTTTGGAACCTCTTCAGGCTAAAAAGGATCTTTTTTAAAAATTCAAATAGAAACTCTTGTTTATAAGGCATTTGTCACCAAATTAGAACTACCTTTTAAAATGCTGCTGAGTATGAAACTATCTGTCATAGTTTGAAAAGGAAAGAAAAAGCTAAATTGAGCAATGCAGAGGTCCTCTAGTAATCCCAACTCCCACCCTCAGAACTACTGCAAACAATTTGGAAAATATCTTTCCTTCCAGATGTTCACACATGTATCTGTGTTCTAAAAGCTTCTCATCTTCCTTACATTTCAATTTAAATGGGTAGTCATCAACCATTTTCATAGGAAACTGTATAAATGAGAACATATATATAGCTGTGCAAAATAAAGAGAAACACTAAGGCGAGAATAAGAGAAATCCTAAACAGTTTATCAAATTGCAGGTGGGGCCCACTAGCAGTTTTTGAAATCTATTTTATGGGCCACAACGAAACTTTTTTTGGCATATAAAAATGATACAGAATAGAAAATAGAGTACACTGACTGCATAAAAGAAAGGTAAATATTCCCAGATTGTTGTTTTGCACATTTGCACACACATGTGAGCACAAATCTGGATCATAATGTAAAATGTATTTCTTAGCAGAGTGGTAGGTTGACAAATGCTGCTCTAAAGACAGTCTGCTCCTTTGCTCCTACAATGGTCAGATTATGAATGAGAAATGTCTATGCCCTAAACCCTATTATTCCAAATAGAGTTGGCTATTCTAGATGGATTTCAACAATTCAGACATGAATTATCCTTAGAGTTGGCATCTGAAAGGTTGTCCCACAAATCAAAAAAGCAAAAGGATTGATCACTTTAAAATTTACTTTGTATCCCTCCATTATCAAATCTTGTGGAGGCCGTAACCTGAACACAACGTGTGGCAAAGGTGATTTTAGAGATTACTTTTCTATGTCTTCATAGTATATACAGTATATACTTCTTCATATATATTAGTGAAAGCTACAAAGATTAAATTCAGATGATACTCTTCTTCACTGATAATTGTAAACATAAGAAATTAACCTCACTATTTTTATTTTTAAAACATTTAAGGACAGATACACCAAAGCACAAACTACATAGGTAAGGAATCCTTCTAAAATTCTAGATAGAGTAACAAATACTTAATCTTTTAGAGCTTAATATCCATTAAGAGTTATTAATTTTCTATACAGTTTTCTTGAAAGACTTCAACAAAAACTGAAAGTTATTTCTTATTTATATTTAAAAATATTTTTACAGATTTTTGTGTAAAACGACAGGAAGTAAGTACTTATGTTCCTAGTCCTAGATGAGTAATAATAACTTAAAATACAGACTCAGGAGATGCTATTGTTGGAATGTGTCACCCAAAATTCACATGTTGGAAATGTAATCCCAGTGTAACAGTGTTGAAAGGTGGAGTCTAGTAAGAGATGATGAGGTCAGGAGGGCTCTACTCTCATGAACAGATTAATATCATTACCACAGGCATAGGTTAGTTATCAAGAGAGTGAATTTGTTATAAAAACAATTTCGGCCCCCTCTTGTTCAAGTGCTCTCTTGCCCTTCCAGCTTCCAACCATGGGATGATACAGCATGAGGGACCTCACCAGATGCTGGAGCTGTCCTCTTGGACATCTCAGCTTCCAGAACCATGAGCAAATAAACTTCTTTTGTTTATAAATGAGTCTGTGCTATTCTGTTACAGCAGCACAAAACAAACTGAGATGGAATAAAGAAAATCTTTGCATAGATACTGCCATTATGAAGGTTCCAAAAAACCTGAAAACATGCAATCCCCTAATAAAGATACACACACACATAGATTCAATGTTTTTTAAAAAAATTTTTAAATAGCTAGGTGTTGTGTTTTATTCCATTACATTGTACATTTAAACCCAATACTATCACCAGTAAATCAAGGTGGGCAAAGCCTATCAAAAGACTACTTCCACACCAAAAGCAATTGCAAGAAAAACAAAAATTGACAAATGGGACCTCATTAAGCTAAAGAGCGTCTGCACAGCCAAAGAAACTACCAACAGTAAACAGAAAACCTACAGAATGGGAGAAAATTTTTGCTAAGTATGCGTCTGACAAAGGTCTAATCTTCAGAATCTATAAGGAACTTAAACGAAATAACAACCAAAAAACAACCCCGTTAAAAAATGGGCAAGGACATAAGCGCTTTTCAAAAGAAAACATACACGTAGCCAACAAGTGTATAAAAAAATGCTCAACATCACTAATTATTAGAGAAATGCAAATCAAAACCACAATGAGACACCACCTCACATCAGTCAGAGTGCCTATCATTAAAAAAATTTAAAAAATAACAGATGCTGGCAACGCTGTGGAGAAAAGGGAACACATATACACTGCTGGTAGGAATGTAAATTAGTCCAGTCATTGTGGAAAGCAGTTTGGCAATTTCTCAAATAACTTAAATGGAATTACCATTTGACCCAACAATCCTATCATTGGGTATATGCCCAAGAGAATAAAAATTGTTCTACCATAAATACATATCCACACGTATGTTCATCGCAGCACTGTTCACAATAGCAAAGACATGGAATCAACCTAAATGCCCATCAACAGTAGTCTGGATAAAGAAAATGTGGTACATATACACAAGGAATACTATACAGCCATAAAAAAGAAGGAGATCATGTCCTCTGCAGCAACACTGATGGAGCTGGAGGCCATTATCCTAAGCAAACTAATGCAAAAACAGAAAATTAAATACTGCACGCTCTCACTTATAGGTGGGAGCTAAACACTGAGAATACATGAACACAAAGAAGGGAACAACAGACACTGGGACCTACTTCAGGTTGGAGGGTGGAAGGAGGGAGAGGATCAAAAAACTATCAGGTATTATGCTTATGACTTGGATGACAAAATAATCTGTACACCAAACCCCTGTGACATGCAATTTACCTACATAACTAAAACCTGCACATGTACCCCTAAACCTAGAATAAAAGTTAAAAAAAAAGTAAAAATAAGAAAAGACTACTTCCAATCATTATATCATGACCACTGCTAGGATGCCTAATATTGCCATATTCTAAAAGCTGACAAGACAGGTACTCAGTCTCTGACTGAAGGGGAAAATCATGGCTGGCCTCAGCTATTGGACTAGGAAGAGACAGTTGAAATGATAATTCTCTTTTGTCACATTGAAGAATCCAGCATTTCAAAAACCAAACATTTAAAATAATTAAAATCAAATCTCATGAAATAAGATAGGAAGTTCAGAATAATTTTCTTCTTGTCCCTCATTACAGTATCTGTAGCAACAAGGCAATTTAAATAATCCAGATTAATCAAGAAGAGAGCAGCAGTACCCTGTGTACATGCTAAAAATCCTGTCTCATGGCCACTCTAAAGTCTACTTAGTTTCTACAGCAAAGCACATTTGATTCTCTTTGTCTTTCTTTACAATATAAATCACCAATGTTAATGTGTAGAGAGGAACAACAGATTTCCAAAATGTATTCCAATTAAATATTTTGGTTAACAGACACAGACATATGTGTAATGGATTATGTCTTCCTGAAAACTTTCTAAAATGGAAAAGTCTTCAAGAACATGTTTGACTTTTTCCAGGTTTGCCTATAACATAAGAAGTCATTTTTATCAATATTTTCAAGACATAAAGGTTGTAAACCTTAAACAACAAACATGAATACATAAACTATCAATTTGTACTTTTGCTCTGTAGCATACCAACTGTATTGTACTTTGCAAAGACTTACAAGATACAATTATTTAAGATACTTAAAATATAGCTATCACATAAATACAAAGTAAATAATATCTGGAAGCCAAATTTTAGAAGATTTAAGAATAAAAATGCTATTATCTTGTTAGGATTTATGGGCAGGGATACTAGTGTGTGATAACAGTAAATTAATACCTTGATGACCACACCTTCCCTCATTTAACTGTCATCCTTTTGATACCTCACATTCATCTCAGACATGGCAAGCAACAGATACAGACTCACTCCACTTTAAATTCTGCTGCTATTGAAAACATTGCATAGGAAATTTGTCTTTTAATAAGTGAAGAATGCAGTCAACTGTGGGTAGATAAAATTAGGCAATCTATAATTTATTAAACAAAATTTTCTAACAAGCAAGAACATAAGTCTACTTAGATAAAGCAATTTTATAAAATGTAATTTCCTTAGAATCACATTGAGCAGATGTCTCGTTCAAATTATTAAAGCTTTTATTAGCAGAAGCTTTACTACCCAATCTTTTTGTGATTCATTAACGCTACCCCACAGAATATAATTGAATAAAAAACTATTTAGGTCCCAACTCCTACATTTACCACCATTTCCTAGCCCTTTAAATAACAGACATAACAGCTGAGCCTCTAGAAGGTGATTCACTATTCTTCAGCTGGCCAGTTAATGTAGACAAGAGCATAAATATATAGTCAATAGGAAAGCTATACAATTTTCTAAGTTCTAGTGGTAATTATTCAAAATTTTCTTTTAAAACTGACATCTCAAATTATAACTTAGTTTATTTATAATCAGTTTCCTTTAATATTCCTAGAATCTTAGAACAACAAGAAACATAAAATGTATTACATTCAACTTTTTCATTTTAACATTAAGGAAATTAAATGACATGATTTGTCCAAAGGCTCCGTAAGTGGCTATCGTGGCAAAGGTTAATCTCCTAACAGGGTTCCTTGCCCTGCACCATGGTGCCTTTTGCTGAATAATTTCTATCTATCAAAAATTAGATTTAAAAATAAATATTTACCCAATGCTTAACAATACATGCATATTCTTACAATGACATAACAGAAAACTGCAATTTAAAAAAATCATGCCAGGTGGCACGTGACAGTAGTTCCGGCTATGTGTGAGGCTGAGGTAGGAGAATCGCTTCAGCCCAGTAGTTGGAGAACAGGCTGGACAACATAGCAAAAACACATCTCAAAAATAAAAAAAACAAAAACAAAAACAAAAAGAAGACAAAGAAAAAAACAGAAAAAAAAAATAAACACAATCTGATAGAGGGTCAGAGCAAGCATGCCAATAATTTTAACTCAAGGTACACTATAAAGACCACATGAAAAGTATGACTCTTTGAAGTTCAAAGGTAATGGTAGTCGTGGGTGATTAGGATTTTATAAAGGTAGTGACATTAACTTTTGTGTATGTAGGAAAAATAGGAAAGAGTCAAATAGGAAACACGGTGCACTCTACTGCCCAGGCTAGAGTGCAGTGGCAAGATCGCAGCTCACGGCAGCCTTGATCTCCTGGGCTCAGGTGATCCTTCTACCTCAGCCTCCCAAGTAGCTGGAACTATAGGCATGCACCGCCATGCCCAGCTAATTTTTGTTTTGTTCTGTTGGGGTTTGAGACAGAGCCTCACTCTTGCCCAGGCTGGAGTACAGTGGAGCAATCACCACTCACTGAAGCATTGACCTCCCTGGAATTGGCAATGGCACCATGTGAAGAACACTGAGTGGGAAAGGTGCTAGATGGTGCTTGTATCTGACTGACCTCTAGTTCTACATGTAAGGAATAAAAGATGAATCTGAAGATTTTTATTCTATTTCCACAATGTGGAAGGACCTAAATAAATAGCCAACTAGAGCTAGCATTCATATATGTCACTGTTTTTCAATGGGGGTAGTGAAAAGAAAAAATATTACTCCTGGAGAAGTATGTTGTGCATATGAACTGCAGTGAGGAAGAAAAATCTGACCACCATTGTTGTAGGTGGGAGGCTTTGTGACTGTGATGTGGTCAGAGCAATACTTTAGGAAAAAACTAATCTACGGCCTCAGTAGAACCTGATTATCTGAGATACATTTTCTAACAAGTTACTCAACAACACATAATTCCCAGAATACTAACCTATCTTGATTACCTACTGAAATCTTCATAGGTTTAACCTTTAATTCCCAGAATACTATCCTATCTGATTACCTACTGAAATCTTCATAGGTTTAACCTTTACTAAAATTTTCAGTAAAAAATTCATGAGTTAATATTATCCACTATATTACCTACATTAGTTGTTTACTCAAATAAAGTCTTTTGACTATATGCTATAAATACATTAATAAAAACCAGTCTTATATTCCTATATAGATTGATAGCTATAATTACTATATCTGTTTGTATTTGTATGCTTTCAAAACTGAATTATATACAACCTTAAAACTATTTTATGTGAGAAAAAATTTTGCATATAATTCTTGTTTATTCCCAATATCTTATTTATTCAAAATCTTTAGTTTCTTTTTCTCCTGTTTACCATTCTTTATAATATAGATCTTTTACAAATTAAAGCTGTCAACACATAGAGTACTCTTTTTGAATTTAATATTCTTTCTTAAATTGTATTTTTAGGATTTATTACAATCTACATTTTATTTCCCCAATCATATGGACATCTTTCAGTAAATGTTCTCTGTAAGACCTATGGACACTACCGCCCCAAACAGTATCTCACTGGGCTGGAGAAGTTATCAAGGATTTACACAAATTGCAGAAGTCGGAGCAGCCTTGAAGACATTTAGTGAATTATGTGATACACAAAACACTACTGTAACATCTCTCTTACACGTCCATTCTCTCTGTAAGAAAATCTTCCAGTGTTATGGAATCACTGCATATGATGATATAGCATATTTTACATTTGGATAATTACAAATATTAGAAAGTATCCTCTTCAGACAATTTGTAACATCTACCCATTTAGCCATACTCTCTATGCTACAGCCATGCATAAAACAAATGGAGGAATAAATTTGTGGAGCTGACCTTCTCCAAAGCAACAGAAGACCATTAATTCATACCAGACCTTTGGTCATCTAAAATTCAATGACATTTTCTTTTGTGCTATATTCAGGACAGTTAAGTTTGGGTACATTTGCTTCAGAATTTTACATTTATCCAATTTGTTGGCATTTATTTTAACACTATCTGAGGGATTTATTCTGTCATTTGATATCTTAACTAATCTTTATTGCTTGGTCATTTGAAAATTTGAACAATATGGCACAGATATCCACAGTTAATAAAAATGCTGAAAAGAATGAAGTTCAGTATTGACCCCTGAAGAAAGCAGAGAACTTCCTCTAAACTGACATCAATTCTATTAATTGGATAGCTGTCTATCCGGTTCATAATCTACCTTACTATCTGATCATCAGGCCCACCTGTCTACATCTTGACCAGACGCATATTTAAGAATCTTGGCCAATAAGCAAGCTTAGTCTGACAGGAACTGTGGGGTTTTTTTTTTCTTTTCTTTTTCTTTTTTTTTTTTTTTTTTTTTTTTTTGAGACACGGTTTCACTCTGTTGCCCAGGCAGGAGTGCAGTGGCAAGATCACAGTTCACTATACTGCAGCCTCGATCTCCTGGGCTCAGGCGACCCTCCTACCTCAGCCTCCCAAGGAGCTGGGACTGTAGGCGTGCACCACAATGCCCAACTAATTTTTGTTTTGTTTTGTTGGGGTTTGAGACAGAGCCTCACTCTGTCATCCAGGCTGGAGTGCAGTGGTGCAATCACCACGCACTGAAGCCTTGACCTCCCAGGCTCAGGTGATCCTCCCACCTCAGCCTCCCAGGTAGCTGGGACTACAGGTACAAGCCACCACGCCCAGCTAATTTTTTGTAGAGATGGAATTTCACCATGTTGCCCAGACTGGTTTTGAACTCCTAAGCTCAAGCAATCCACCTGCCTCGGCCTCCCAAAGTGCTAGGATTACAGGTGTGAGACACCATGCCAGCCAGGAACTGTTCTTAAAGAATCCATGGCAGGCAACCAGTGAGTGCTGGTAAGACTATGGAAAAGAAGTAAGTTGTTAAAAAAAAAAAAAATCCTTTTGAATTTTGCATAGAATCCATGTCAAGCTTAATGATACAGCATTCATAATCCACTACATTTTCCTTCTGAAAATCAAGACGTGAGCCCATCTCTAATCTCCTGGTTCCCTAGTTTGTAGCATTTCTCAAAGAATGACCTAGAGTGCTTTATAAATGGTTCTAAAAAGTTTCTTATTATTCATCCCAAATACTGAATGGCTACACTGGTAAGTTTCCTTAAAATAATACTTTGCAGGATTTTTGTGAGAAGTAAGCAAAGTAATTTAAAGAGAGTCCCTTTCACAGTAGCTGGCACATAAGTGCTTCATAAATGGTAGCTGCTAGTGGTTGCAGTAGTACATTTTATCGTTACATACCAGGACTAGTAAGCACTAGGGATACAAAAATGAAGAACACGTTTCCTAATCTTAAACTCATACTCTAGTTATGCACATGGACACAAACATAATCTGGTTCAGTGTGGACCAGTGTAATGATGGAGTTAGAAAATAGAAGTTTTCTGGGGCACACAGGAGTGGCATGCTTATTCGGCTTAGCATGTGTGTGAATGAGAGGCAGGTGAACACAAGTCCTGGTTTGCTCAAAATAACTCCAGCTGATGCCTGTTATTCCAACTTAACTGTTTAATAGTGCCTGCTTTCACTCTTACAAGTATCCAATTTGAAATACCCATCATAATTATACTTAGAGCCTTTAACTTTAGACAGGAATTGGCTACAGTACTGCTAAACTTGTCATTAATAGGTTCCTCTCTTGACAATGGTAAGCTCCTGTTCGTAAGACTCTATGGATTGCACACAAATGCCCAGTCACCTCTCAGTAGTGAATTAGCAAGATTTTTTTTAAAAGCAGTAAACCCAACAGGAGTGGCTATACCTACAGCTATATCTTTAACACTCATCTCACTATTGTTATTCTTGTTTTTACACAGTATTCTGGAGGTTTGCAGAGAAGGAAAAAAAAAAGTAGTTTTTGATAATACCACTTATTAGCAAAACTATGAAAGAAAAAAATTAGCCAAACACCTGAGTTTTTAACCCCAGCATGGACACTTCCCAGCTGGGTGACTGTGAACAAGTCACTTAGTATCTCTGAACATGGCTGGCTTCATAGGTTTGCAACCTATGCAGTCTCACAGAGCCCCAATGCTACCTTTAATATTTTCCTATGGCCATCTTGAAATTTGTAATAATTTTCTCTTTGAATATCTATTTTGTAAATCCGATGGGACATAAGCTTAAGCACAGGATATATGCGCAATGTGTGTCCCCACTGTTCCTTGCTGTACATCTGCATACAGGGCTCATGATGCTCCATGAGCACAGAGTCACAGTACAAGACTGCAAGTGAATACAAGATAAGTATATTAGCTCTATGACAGGGTGAGCAGGGTTACTGACAGCCGCAAGAGACCATGATTTCTGTTCCTATTAGAACTTGCTTCAAAAGCAGAAAGAAGGCAATGGTGTTCTAAGAAACAAGGAAGACCAAAATATCCTATCCTATCTTACTCATGTCACTTCCCTGTGTTAGCCAACACATACAGTAAAAATGATGACAGAGAAAGAAAAAAGGGCAGCCGACAGTTCTTTTTCCTTTCCTCATCGGTAAACTGAAGGTAGAGTTGATAGAAAATATGTGTATCAAGAAGTGAAATAAAAACAGTAGAGTTAGTTTCTGCATGTTTCCACTGCTCTGCTAAGAACAAGTGACATATGCATGTGGAAGCTAAGAATATGAAGTGTATCATTTCATTGATTCCATATGTGGGTTAAATGCTCTTATGTTTGCAATTAAAACTTCACTGCATAATATAAATAATAAAATTCATATTAAGAATGTAAAATTTTAATTTTTCTTGATTTAAAACAACATTAAGTAACAAAAACATACCTTCATAAGTACAGAGACTGTGGAAGAAAAAAAAGCTTTATATTTTAGTACCTTTAACGGTACTTTTTATTCCTGTTTTCTAAACAAGAGGTCTCTAATTTTCATTTTGCACTGGGCCCACAAATTATGTAGCTAGCCCTGTGAGCCTAAGCTTTTGATCGGTAAAATAATAATAATAATAGCTATCATACTGACCTTATGACTGCTGAAATAATAATTAAGATTCATATTATGAGACTTTCCACTTCTGGTCCAGCAAGCAGGGAGCTTGCAAGTCACCATCCTGTTTTAACGAGTAAAAAGCTGAACGAACTGGAAAATAAACAACTCTTTTTAAGCCTATCAAAGAAGTGAAGTCATAAGGCAAACTGTAGCCCTGAAAACAAGAGAGACAGGCAGGCAGATAGACAGAATCAACTTATGGGGATAGAAACCCAGTCCCAAGGTAGGAAAACCTGAACTGTAATTGATGAACTGCTGGAGGCTCAAATATAGACAAGTCTGAGAGATTAAAACTTCAGGGGATCCAGGTCATAGGGTGGCCCTCACCCTTCTGAGTTTTACCTCCAGGATCTCAAGCAGGTTCCTACAATGAAGATTTAAAAAAAAAAAAAAACCCTTGGGCTCTGGCAGGGGGAACTGAAAAATAACTACGGTTGGCTCTCTATCTGTGGGTTCCACATGCATGAATTCAACCAACCACAGATTATAAATATCCAAAATAAATAAAAATAAAAAATAATACAACAAAAAATACAAATTAAAAAACAGCCTAACAATCTGCATAACATTTACATTGTATTATGTATTATAAGTAATCTATATATTATTTAAAGTATATGGGAGGATGTACATAGGTTAGACACAAATATGACACTTTATATAAGGGACTTGAGCATTTGTGGATTATGGTATCTGCAGGGGGTCCTAGAACCAATGCCCCATGAATACCAACAGACAACTGTATTTTGAAATATGATGGAACATTCTGTTCTTTTTAACAAGGCCTGCCCTGAAGAGAAACTATTTTACCAGAGCCTGACCTGCTAGGAGTTTTATTAGAGCTTAACCTACCTAGAGGAAGGAAAATACCCAATTCTACTCCCCTCCAGCCATCCTGTCTCACCTAAGGGGTGCAGGATAGAGGCACTTGTGAAGTATATAACATAGGGGCACAGGCTCATTAAAGGACTGAGACCTAATCACAGGATTATAGAACACTTCCCCTCCCCCGAAATATTAATAAAGTCCTATTTATCTGAGTTCCTTTCACCCACTACATCATGTCTAGCTTTCATTAAAACATTACAAACATACTAAAAGGTAAAAAACACAGTTTGAAGAGAAAGATCAAGCATCATAGCCATACTCAATTATGGCAGATATGTTGGAATTATCAGACCATGAATTTAAAGCAGCTATCATTAGTATGCTAAGGGCTCTAATGGAAAAAGTAGACAATATGCAAGAATAGATAGGTAATATAAAGAGAGATGAAAATTCTAAGAAAGATTAAAAAAGAAATAAAGAGATCAGAATTGAAGAACGCTTTTGGTGGGCTCATTAGGAGACTGGACACAGCTGAGGGAAGAATCTCTGTGCTTGAGGATACATCAATACAAACTTCCAAAACAGAAAAGCAAAGGAAAAAAAAAACACTGAAGAAATGGAAAAGAATATCCAAGAACTGTGGGACAACTAAAAAAGTGTAACATACATGTAATGGAAATACCAGATGGAGAAGAAGGAACTGAACGTAAGAAATATCTGAAACAGTATGACAGAATTTCCCCAAAATTAATGTTGGATACAAAACCACACATCCAGGAAGCTCAGAGAACACCAACTAAGATAAAAGGCCAAAAAATTATACCCAAGTACATCATGTTCAAACTGCAGAAAATCAAAGATACAGAGTTGAGGTCCTTTGCCCTTACCTTTTCTTGCTTCTTTCCTTCCCATTCCTATTTTTGGATGTTATAGAAATAGACTGAAAAGCCATATAGCATATTGGTTAAGGATACATATTCTGAAGGCAGACTGATCATATTCAATTCTCAGCACAGCCACTACTCAATAGCTGTGTGACCATGAATAAATTGCCAAACTTCTGTCTCTCAGGTTCTCATCATAAAGGAGAATAATAATGGTATCAACCTGATATAACTATTGTGAGGACTACGAAATAATATATTTAAAGAGCTTAGAACAATGCCTCACAAACATTAAGCACAAAGTATGTGCTTGCTATTTTTATTACCTTCAATGACCCATCTAATCTAATTGTTGACCCTTTCACCTGGGCTGCAACATTCTTAAGTATAAGCTTTAACTTAGTAAAACTACCCTCTATCAAAGTGTATATATTCAGGAAGTATTTTCCTAATTTTCTATTTCAGGAAATTTCTAATTTACTAAGAAGAACTGTAAAGCATGCATGCTTAGTGAACAAAAGCCTTTCTTTCATTAACTAGGAAATGAAAGCTCTGCACATAAAGTAATTGGATTTCTTCCCTTTTTATTGCCTCACTTGCAATAAAGCTTCAAATGATTGCAAAAACATTTTAGAAATTCCATGAAGAAAAAAATGTTTTCAATTTACTACAAGCCTGTAATAGAACCTAAAATATGGTTTTCTGCTACAACCTACACATTCTTTATCATCACAGTTACTTTGATAATAAGCAAGTGTTAAAAAGCTATTACATCTCTGGCGGGTTTCTTCTTCTAGGCTTGCGGGCATTGTAGTAAATGGTTATTTAACTAACAAAATAAAGTTACTATCATCTTGCTATTGCTTTCTGTTAAGTAATAATTCTTATTTTAGGTATTCAATTCGCTCTTTTTAAAACTAGGTAAAACAAAACAGTAAGAACAGAGCAAACCATCTTGGCTGAAAGAGCTTTCTTCACGTAGTAGTCAATATTTTTTCAGGCTAATTAAATTTACTCATTTAAAGATAACCTCTCAACTGCCAGGAAATTCTGTACTCTTGATTAGCACAGAATAAGAAAAAGATTAGTTTCTATACTCACTAGGATATTTTTCTTCATGACAATGCCATATATTTATAAGAATGTTCATAGCAGCTTTACTCATTGAAGTCCTAAGCCAGAAACGACTCAAATGTCCACTAACAGCAGAATAAAAAAAAAAGTATGGCATATGTAGACAGACAATAGAAGAATGTTCAGCAATAAGAAATGAGAATGCAATGACATAAATGAATCTCACAGACGCAATGATCAGCAAAAGAATCCATACAGAGGAAGAGTTGCATGGTATGATTACATTTACATGAAACTCAAAAACAGACAAAACTTAATCTTGTTGATATAAATCTAAATAGTGATTCAAAGTTTTTAATAATCCTCTTAATTTTTCTCTTTAAAAACAGGACATCTTGAGAAAATGGGGCAGGGAGGGGGGGAAATCCTAACAGGAACTTCAAGTGCTACCTAGAGTGATATCTACTAAGGAAAAGGATACAGAAATCAAACTTTAGACTTTACAAGGTCTAAATCCAGCAGCTATTGATTATTCCCTTGAACCACTGTTACTGTTTGTATTAATTAGTTTATTTACGTATGATAGTTTGGCCTACTTAAAAATAAGAGTCGAAAAGCAAACTTCTAAATAATGCTTATTATAAAAAAGCAAATCAACACACTCTGCAAAATTAAATGGGAAAAAATAACCAAAAAAATCTGCTAGACTGTCTTAGATGGAAGTTCTCTCTCACTTGATCAAATTATCTTGAACAATAAAGTTTTCTTTTTTTTTTTTTTCCGAGATGGAGTCTCACTCTTAGCCCAGGCTGGAGTGCAGTGGCACGATCTCGGTTCACTACAACCTCAGCCTCCTGGGTTCCAGCAATTCCCCTGCTTCAGCCTCCTGAGTAGCTGGGATTACAGGCACCTGCTACCACACCCAGCTAATTTTTTGTATTTTTAGTAGAGACGGGGTTTCATTAGCCAGGATGGTCTCGATCTCCTGACCTCATGATCCGCCCGCCTCGGCCTCCCAAAGTGCTGGGACTACAGGCGTGAGCCATTGCACCCGGCCTAAATAATAAAGTTTTCATAATATTTCTCTAGTCTCTGTATCAAGGCATACCATAGTTATCACAATCAAATTAAAGAGTTTCCTTTTCTTTTTTAATTAAAAAGCTCATAACATCAATTATGACTATTACCTATAGAAAAATGACATGAAAATCTATAAACAATATCTCTACTGATACATCCAATACATATAATGCTTATATATTTAATCAAAAGAAGATATTCCTTAAAGGTATAAATACAAGAAGAATTTGAAATCATTTTTTATATTTTTGCTTATAACATTCTGTCATCAATATATGGCTCCAGAACCTTATCTTTAATCACATCCCTATAGCTCCAAACACATGAGAAAATATTAAAAGAAAAAATCCATAAGATTAGTCAGGCTCAGAACCGAGGTAAGTATCTTCCTGGAGCAGAAATCAAAGAGAAAGGCAAGCAGACAGTGGGACTGAAGCCACTATCCTATAGAGCCTTATGGGCAGGAAATAGAATCTCACATAGTAATAGGGGATTTCAAGTCCAGTCCAATGTTTGAAACCACAGGCTAAGACAGGTTTTTCCAAAATGATCTGAAGTAGAAGCATATTACTGTAATTCAGAAGAATGTACTCTTCTTCTTAGCAGAATTTAGTTTAAGTAACAATATATGTGGGCAACCTATTTCGAAATCTTGGAAATAACACTGTTCTTATGCGACTTCAACATATTCTATTATAATTAAAAACTGTATCCTTTTAGCATTCAATTTGACTCTCATTATATTACGATAAATAGTGCTCACTATTTACCATCTGGGTCTAAACAACCTTCTTAATTTTCCTGTATATTTTCAAGTCATTTTATGCTTTGGAGAAGAATAAAGGGAGACTGAAACGCTCCATTAAAATTTTCAATAAAAATGGAAACACAGCAAACTCAAATTTTAATTCCACGTTTCAGGTTTTGATGGTATGAAGACCTGAAACAGGAAACATCCTTTGAATGAAACTATCATGAATGAACATAGAACTTATCCATCTTGT
Organism: Homo sapiens; assembly: GCF_000001405.40. Lineage (NCBI taxonomy): Eukaryota > Metazoa > Chordata > Mammalia > Primates > Hominidae > Homo > Homo sapiens. The sequence goes on along the minus strand of NC_000006.12, from coordinate 70,819,402 downwards.
AAATATTTATTCTAGATTTAAAATACCTGTATTAAGTTCTAACATATAGTTACTCTGGTTCCTTTTTTTTTTTTCACCCTTACATCATTAAAACATGGTATTTTTTAAAACACTGGCAGCTCATCTTTTTGTTGATGAGAGAATGACCATTTCTTTGCTCTATAAGTGCAAAAATAGCAAAAAAAAAATTGCAAGAAAAGAATGCAGTACTTTTACATGCTACAAACATGGATAAGCCTTGAAAAGACTATGCTAAGTGAAAGAAACCACTACGAAAGACCATATCTTGAATAATGTTTACATAAAATGTCTAGAATAGGTAAATCTACAGAGACAGAAAGATTAGTGGTTGCCAGGAGCTGTGGAAAGGAGAAACAGGGAGTGACCACTAATAGCTGTAGGGTTTCTTTTGGGGGTGATGAAAGTGTTCTAAAACTGACAGCGGTGATGGCTACGCAACTGCTGATATAAGAGAAGCCACTGAACTATACATTTTAATGAGTGACATGGATGACATGATATATGAATTAAAATATCAATAAAGTTGATATTTTAAAAGTAACATCGTAGAAAAATTTTAAATTGGGGAAACGTTACTAGCACAGTTCTCCTGTAAACTGGAAATAAAAAGGCTGCTGTGACCATACTTTAGCAGTGAATACATATTCCAATCCAGTTTGAGGAATGCCAACACTCTACAGGGACAGTCTTCCATTACCACAAATTTAGCATCCCCCAGCCCAGCTCCACTATCTCATCTGAAGGAAAAGAGGGATAGAAAGCCAGGAAAGAAGAGAGAGATGACTACGGGAAGCAGGTTTGATAAAGAAACCTCTCCACTTCAACATCCTGCCTCAAGGCCAAAAGTACCTCCTGGATACCAATTCCTAAAAGAATTCCCCGTTATAACCTTCTTTATTCTATTTTGCTTGCAAATACATTTGTATGTGGCAAAATAGCATAATATGAAAACCCCAGAAATAGGCTTTTTTTTTTGAGATGGAGTTTTGCCCTTTTTGCCCAGGCTGGAGTGCAATGGCACAATCTTGGCTCACTGCAACCTCTGCCTCCTGGGTTCATGTGATTCTCCTGCCTCAGCCTCCTGAGTAGCTGGGATTACAGGTGCCTGCCACCATGCCCAGCTAATTTTTTTTTTTTTTTGTAATTTTTTAGTAGAGACGGGGTTTCACTATGTTGGCCAGGCTCATCTCGAACTCCTGACCTCAGGTAATCCGCCCGCCTCAACCTCCCAAAGTTAGGTTTTCATTATAAAGAAGATTTGATACACTCCAGAAACTCTAAAATTACTTGAATATTCAAAAGTAGAATTTAGAAAGAGGAGAAAGTGAAAATAATGGAGAAATGGGAATGGAAAGAAATGCCTGATGCTGACGGTTCTTGAGCAGCAAATCACAAATCTAACAAGGTCATTGTTGGCTATTTTAGTCTGGAGATACACTTTTTCATCTAATGAAACAAGAGTTCTAATTTCAAATCCAAAATCTGCTTTTGATTTGCTTTTGTTTCAAAGACAATTCTCAATTTCTAAAATTCTCAATCCTTAGTCTTTGGAAATGGGTTTGAAGGGTAACCCTTTAGCCCCTTACAGATTTTGATTGGCTTCTACCTGGTTTTCAGGGAACTCAAAACAGCCTGGTTGTACAAAATAAATACCAAATTCATTTTTTGACCCCTCTTTAAAATCAACAAAGAGATGGGGCCAAAGAAAACTCTGTGAACATCTTTGAGAACTCAGAAGTACAATCACAAAGGGGATAACAATAAAAACAAACTTTTTAAAGCAAAGAACACTCTCAATAAGTCCTGGACTATTTGGTTGTCATTTAAAAGGGACTTTTTAATGAAGGGGAAGACCTTAGTCCACAGCTGTGTTTGAAGAGAAAAAGTCCCAGTTTTCTGAAAGCAATGGATAAGAGCTTGCAGAAAAGAAGACTCTATTTTGTATCACTGCAAGGAACTATGATTATACAAACCACTTTTGAACTTTCCAAAGATCAGAAGAATCAAAGAACCTCAAATTGATCTTTCCTTAGATGTTTTTAAATCAACTATGAAAAAAGGATTGCTTTTCCTTCTAGCAATCAGTTCCAGAAATTTAAAGTCTACAATACTAAAGCAATAAAGGTCCTAAGGTGTGGTGAGAAAACATAGGGACAATGAACTAATATCTATTCAGTAGAATAATAATGTGCGGCTTGAGCAGGGTTAGTAGTTAAGAAGCAGAGAATATGGCAAAAAAAAAATATATATATATATATATATTCTAATACAGTTTTCTAATATAGTTGGAGAGCTACTGCTTCTGGGAAAGGGGTCCTGTCACTAAAATCTACCGATTGGAAGTGGGAAGAGATGGAACTGGGGGGACTTGTTAGATGCAATGCAATGTCCATAAATCACAAATATATCCGAAATAGACATTTGCTTCTTTTGTGTTCATTTTATATATTATCCCTTTTATAATTGTTATAAATGCTGTCATTAAAAACAAATTACTAAATCTTTAAATCTTTAAATGCTATAAAGTTTAACGCCTAATCATTAGTTTTAAAAAATCTTCTAGGAGATAAAATACAGAGTTGGCAAAATAATATTTTAGGCTTTTGGTTAACATAAAGCAGTGGTAGTGACAACTACTAACAATCACACTAATACCTTTTATTGATAAAGCACCATATATGTTTGAAATGATTATATGTGACAGCAGGACATTTTGTTTTGTTTCTACTATATCCCCAGTGCTGGACATACAGTGACTGCTCAATAAAAACTCACTCAGTGAATAAATAAATGAATCTGATAAAGCAGGCCTTGGAGTTTGGTAAGGCTGTTTGTTCAAAAGCAAAGTAAAAAAGTATTTCAATCATTCTTTGAGAAGCAGGTTAGGCTAATCTACCTTTATAAATAGGACTGTACATCAAGCTCCAATTATCTCTCTCCCATAGCTTCTTAGCTAGTTTCTCTTTTTCTAACCTCACCTGCCTTCAATCCATCCTACATACTACAGCCAGGATTTCATCTTACTAAAATGAAGTATACTTCCCCACTCAAAATCAGAAACAATCCACTATTTATCACGAAATTTAAGGCTCTCTCAATATTATCTTTATTGGTTTGTACTCCATTATTGTCCTATACTTCAGTTAAATTGGATAATTGCCAAAATATGCCTTACAATTTCCATTCTTTTAATGTTCTTCTTCTCTCTGCCTGTTGCTCTCTCCTCCTAACAATGTTTCAAAGCTCATGTCAAATATAAACAACTTCCATGAAGACTTTCCTAATAATCTCAACATGATATCTCTCAATTCTCCAAACCTCCACACTCTGTCTCCTATTGTATCATATCTGCCTTTTGCTAGAGTTATTTATCATATCATCCCCTTTTAATCACTAGTTCTTTCTGAATTTTAAGATTCTTGAGGGTAAGCTGTTTTCATCATTTTTATATTCCTTCCAACCCTTTAGCCTGCCTTACACACTGCAGGCATCCTAAGAGTTGCTACATTCAATCCCAAGATTTCCTCCCAGAAACCTTTCAATGCATTTCCTTAAATAATACACAAACATACACAAATACATATATGCAAATATAAACATATGTCTATGTAAACTTAAAAAAAAACACCTTGAGTGTATGGGGATTGACAGCAATCATCCTGTTTCAGTCTAACTGCCTTTTGAGCTTATTTCATCTCAAGGGAACCATCCTGTCTTTAAAATCCCTACATTCCACTATCAACAGTGGGGTGGGGCATGAAACAGAATTAAAAGTTTTTAGATGCCACATGGAAGGTTTCTCTCCTTTCTAGCTATAGGTCACCTGCTCGGCAATCTGCCCCACTCCCCCCGCCAAAAAAAGTATTCTTTCTAAAGAGGACCTTAAAAATGTTTTTTGCATAATTATGCTTCTCACACATCTTACATACATAGTCCTTTACTAAGAGTATCATATTCCACAAATATTTTATGCAATTGTTATGGGCCAACCATCAGGACTGCCAAGGTAACTTACACAATTGGACTGCCCATCATAAAGCACTAAAAAGGTAATTTACTGTTCAATTTTATGTATTGTATTTTATACAACTACATTCAAATAAATTAGACTTTAATGTTAACCTATAGTTTTGGTCCTCTGGGTAGGTATTCTACCTTAACATTTTGGTTAGCATTACAAAAAATCCTTGGGACAGTAAATTACTGTACCCAGATAAGACACTAAAAAGGAACATATTTATTTAATCAGCATAGTACCACTTACGAGCAATTAGTGTGAGCAATGCCAAGGTCAGGAACAAACCTACAGCAGATAAATTTTATAAAATGCTAAGATTATCTTTGTCATTAAAAGCTGGGCTCCAGTCTAACCTCTGAGTAGGAAAAACACAGCTAGTTCCATATCTGTCCATCCTTTGCCTATTCATTTGACCCTTTATGAGCTGAACTATCCCTAGATGATAGGTAAACATTTAGCAATGTACAGAAGCTAACAACACAGTGTGTTGATAAGATGGTAAGTGTGACTGATAGTTCACTATAAAATGAGACAAATGTAAAACGGTGGTAACATTTAATCTACCACCAATCTCAAGAACAAACTGTCAGACCAAATCCTTCTTAAGATTGCTTTTTTCAGCCTCACTCTTCAAGTCACACTGAATGTCAGAGTGGCTAGAAGAGCAATGCCTCCTTAGTCCTAAGGCCTGCTTTATACAGTAAAAAGAGGAGGGCTAAGTGTGGGTAGGCAGGACGAAATCAGATGGTATACTCAGGAGACTAAATTCAGACGAAAGGAAACAATAGGATGTAAAACACAGCACAGAGCTGAAGGCTCTAATGACATCTGATCAAAGCTATGCAGTCTATAAATCTAAAAGGGAAAGTTTCAAATGATGAAAGGTCTTGAGAGCATTGGCACAGGGAAAAAAACCAGGGCTGCATAGTAGTCTCTATAAGATTATTACATCCACTGCTATCAATGTTCTCATCAGAGTCTACAGATGTTCCTATCAGGTAACTATGAAGTGATAAGACTGATTTTCAAAATCCATACATAAAAGCCATTGTTGATACTTTTGATGCAATATCTCAATTATCATTGCTATCAAAAGAGAGAGTCTCTATTTCTTCCGATCCACAACGAAGAATGTCAAATGATGGGTCAGTAATGGGTCCAGGCTGATAGTAGGAGGCCATAAACCTAGGAAAGAGGCAACTGTAAAAGACAGAACAGCCATCTTTTGGCAGGCAGCAAACCAGGGAGACTAGAAACTCCCAAGGCCAGAAGATGCTTTACTATAAATAGGTGCAATCATTTTTAAAAATAGAACATGGATGCCTCCCATGTTAGTGGAGAGACATCTCCTTTCATCGCTGCACATTTTTTACTTTCAGGTTAAATTTTATTTCCTTCAGTTAAATGCTACCAGATGAATTAAGGATTAAACAGAAAAAATGATTTTCAACTCATTAAAATTGGATTATAAAGATAAAATTGTATATGTCTGCAATGTATCTTTTTAAAACTGTATTTATTAATTTTTTATTGTGCAACATAGCATAAAACCTACCATCTTAACCATTTTATGTGTATTGTTTATTTAACAGATTTTAAAAATTTTCTGGGAGATTTTGTGCATTTAAAATATTTTTTTAAAAATGTTAAAAGACAAATATTACCAAAGGAAGCATATATTAACACATCTAGAACACTACAAGTTTAAGGCTCAATATATACGTCCTTCTGCACTAGTTTTATTGTGGTGGGGATGGGTGAGAGGGAGGGAGTAGGGGAAGAGAAGGTAAAAAATGATTTATCAAATTTTAATATTTAAAAATTTTGAATAATTATGAAAACATAATATTAAACCCTTAATTACTCTCGGTAGTTTATTACACAGTATGTAAGTGGTTGGTGAAGAGAAGCATCTAACAGAATTATATTTATTCATTTAAACAAAATATATTATGCAAATATATTTGTATAACTTAAGCCTATTTTATTTTCAATTCATTGCTGTTCTCACTTGTAAGGATGGAATAATAAATGGGAAGATAAAATATCCTTATTCCCATTTATTAACTGGTAGGTAATCTTTACTCAGTTGGAGAAGCAAACCCTTGCTGGGTACTCTCCAGAAGCCTGTGACATACCCCCACCTCCTACACTATCATAGGCCAGTACAACACATTACCATTAAAGGTAAAATAAATGCTTATAATACAACATTAAATTGGGGGTGAGAGAAAAAATAAAAAATACGAAACCATACCATCTACATTCCCAAAAGAGAACTAGAAACAACTAAAATGTTAAAAGTGGTGAGACTCCAGGCAGTAAGATGTAAGGTGATTTTCCTTTTTATTTTTTCCTCTATTTTCCACAGTTTTTATAATAAGGGAAAACTGCTAAAAAAAAAGAAATGAGGCTGAACATAATTATCACAGTGATAAAGATTTAGAAGGAGATGTAGACCTTGTTATGTAGAAAGGAGAGACACACTGGGGGCACGAGTATAGAATTAAATCAGAGCTACTGAGACAAGAATAAGAATGCCATGTTCAGAAGACAGTCTCTATTCCGGTTCCCTGAAACTTCATAGGTTTCAAAAGAATAAACTGAAATGAAATGATAGGTGAAAACATAGGTAATGGACAGACTCTGAAAGGGCTAGGCTTTATTAATATTTATTCTGTAAGCAATTGATTATCTTTTAATTTTTTAGCTTATAATTTCTCCCTGTATTCAGGTCCCTACTAAGTTTTGAAGAAGTTAAAATATTTCTTTCCTGTCTCCAGTTTTTCTGGCACTGCAATACTTTCAAATAAATGCAGTACTCTAGAAAAACTATTGTTAAGTACCACAAAAGTAATATTCCAGAAGATGAAGAATAACAAAGTGTACGGCTACAGGCCAATGGTTTCTGTGGCTCAAGACTACATGTCTAATCAAATTTTTATCCTAACATTCTGTTCTGTTTTCTTCCTCCAAAATGCAGATAATTCTAATCAAATAAGAATTAGATAAAAAGATGTGTGATTTTGAAAGATAAATCTGACTTTGGATAACTTATAATTAAGAAAACGCTAATTTCTGATTCACTCGATCGTGTATTTTACTTTCCACCTAATGGTATTAAAACTTTTCTTCATATACACAACTATATTATTTCCTTCTGGCATCCGAGTAAAACCTGAGAAAAAGATCTTGTGTCTACAGCAGTCCCCCTTACCTAACGTTTTGCTTTCAGTGTCTTCAATTACCTACAATCACAGTCACAAACTATTAAATGGGAAATTCCAAAAATAAGCAATTCATAAGTTTTAAATTACACACGGTTCTGAGTAACATGATGAAATATTGTCCCAGCGATGTGAATCATCCCTTTGTCCAGCACATCCACGCTTTATACGCTACCCACCTGTTAGTCACTCAGTAGCCATCTCACCTATCAGATCAAAATCATAGTATATACAAGATTTGGTACGACCCAAGGTTTCACTGGCTACATCTTGGGACATATTCTCTGCAGATATGAGAGGGACTACTGGATACAGTTGGCCCTCCATTTCCATGAGTTTCACAAATTCCAAAAAGCAAAACTTGAATTTGCCATGACAGGGTACTACACTGAATCCACAACAATAAAGGGATCTGCAGGCATTGTACTGTATTACTATATAAGTAATCTAGAGATGATTTAAAGTATATGGGAGGATGTGCAATAAGTTATATGCAAATCATGTCATTTTAAATAAGGGACTTGAATATCCACAGATTTTGGTATGTGTGTGTGTGTGTGTGTCAGCAGGGGTGGGGTCCTGGAGCAAATCTCCCACGGGTACTGAAGGACAACTATATTCAAAGGAAGCCTTGACTGATCTCACCGGTGCCCTCCCGAGGATCGCGTAACAGGCAGGTTTTCATTCTTCTATCGAGACCCAGTTTCATGGATCTAGATTTTGAATCAACAATTCTCAAGTGAGAAGTGATTATGCTTCCCAGGGGGCATTTAACAATGTCTCTGAAGACACTTTTTACTGTTAGGACTGGTAAGATGCTGCTGAACATCCTACAAGAAACAAAACAGCCTCCTGGCCACTCTATCCCTAATGCCAAAAATAGCACTTGGCATGTAGTAGGTACTCAGAAATGTCCAAAAAGATTTACATATGAAGAAACTGAGGCACAGAGTAGTTAGACATCTAGTAAACAGTAAAGTTGAGAATCAAATTAAAGTCTTGTAATCAAGTATAGGTTCTTCTATCTGCATCTTTTAGTAGTTTGTTAATATTTTTCAAAAGGCTTTTAAAAGCCTATTATCCTTTGACTCAGCAACTCCAGTTTTAAAAATTGATTGTAAGAAGTTATTACACAGTTGTACACAGATTATGTATACAGATTTTCATTATCCCAAAGAGAGATAAACTTTAAGTAGAGTCTTACTGTGCTCAGTGGAAGGTAAATTATGCTACATCCATTTGATGGAATGTTAGTAAAGACAGAAAGGCACAGTATATGTATCAATAAAAAAAGGGGAGCCAGGTGCAGTGGCTTATGCCTGACTTGAGGCCAGGAGTTCAAGACCGGCCTGGTCAACACAATGAGACCTCAACTTTAAGAAACTTTTTAAAAAATTAGCCAGACATGATGGCATGCTCCTGTAGTCCTAGCTACTTGGAAGACTGAGACAGGAGGATTCCCTTGGGCCCAGTTTGAGGCTACAGTGAGCTATGATCACACCACTGCCCTCCAGCCTGAATGAAATAGTGAGACCCTGTATCTAAAAAAGAAAAAAACAAAGAAAAGTCAGTCAAAATATTGTCAAATGACAAAGGGACAAAGTAGGTTACAAAATAATATGTATAATATGATCCCATGTGGATATATATATTTCCATGGGAAACAATTAGGAAGGATGAATGCCAAGGCATTAGTGATCATTTTTTCTAAGTGGTAACATTAATTTTTTCTTCTTGCTTACATGGATTTTGTGACTTCTTACAAATGTATATGGTTTGAATATTATGGGGAAGCAGAAGAAAGAGACTATCAAAAACCTACTAGGAGAGACAGGCACATTGGTGTATGCCTGCAGTCCCAGCTAGTCAGGTGCAGAAGGCTGAGACAGAAGGATCCTTTGAGCTCAGGAGTTCTACGCATGCCTGAGCCCCACAGAAAGACCCTATCTCAAGAAAAAGAAAAGAAAGAAAATACACTTGGAGGAAACATACATTTACCAATTTCTTGGTTAAAGAATAAGAAACCCTATACATTTACCAAACAAGACAGATTATTTATTTTTACTGAGGGGTACTACACTGTAATCTTTCCTGCTTCAGAGGAAAAAGATTTTTTCTTTTTTAATGCCTCCTAGCTAAAGAAAGATGAGGAGTTGTTAACAGCAACTAGCATTCTATACCATAATAAAACTTGGGCAACAGGGAAGCAACACTAAAATGCTTCCTAAACCTAATATATAGTGATACTGAATCTATTATTTCCTTTAAAAATCTATAAACAAAAGATCATCATCAAACTAATCTTCAAGATCTAGCTTTAAGCTAGAAATGTAAAGATTTGAGGAAAATATAAAGAATCTTCCAAAACTACTTATACAAATGTTCTGTGAGACATCTGCTGCATTTACTCACCTATACCATGTTTCTATGATTTTTATAAAAGTATTATTTATTGAAAATATCTTGTTCTAAAATGCATTCACGCATCATATGAAAGGTTTATTTAGCTTAAATTACAATGAGAGCTTGGTGGGTGTGTAAATGTATCTGTCAGATTGTTAAACAACATAACCTATCAATCTAGCATCTGGCAATGAGCCATTTAATTTAATGATTTACTAAGAATAATTTATTTGATTTACAAGTGGTTGTCACTTTTACATGGTTATATTGAAATTTCAAGTTCAACAGATTTGCAATTGTTATCTTGTGCTTATATTAATAGGTTAGCTGACATATTTATCAAATACAAATGTATTTTTTAAATTGTATTAACATAAAAGGTTTGTTCAATGAGGAAGTTTGATGGTTGTTTTCATTTCTTTCCCAACTAATTTTTTTTAAATCATTATTCATCTACATTATCTCCTTAAATACCCAAATACTTGCCGTATCTTGAAATAAATGTATTGATGCTGGTAAGTATGTATTATCAAAAGCAGTGGTCTTCTCTTATAGCGTCACTGCTTCTCCACTTTCCTTCCTGGAATTTTTATTCTACTTTTATATACTTTGTGAATTGATTTTCTCTTAAAAACGTCAAGAAGCTAATGGCAAATATCTGCACAAGAGACATTATTTTACATTAAAAAATATCACAATACATACTTTAGGGACTCTATGCCAATGAAAACAATCTATTTTAAACTAAGAATACTCCACCAAGGCATATATGCAAGAAACCAGTAAGTGTGTACACACACACACACACACACACACACACACACACACACAGGGAAACAGCCTGCACTAGAAATAAATGGTTCTATTTTCTCCTAAATTAGACTTTGTGTTTTAACAGAAAAAAAAAAAACCTGATTAAAGAGAGCAGTAACTAATGTAGGCGAGAAACCAGTTTGAAATAATAGTGAGGAAAAGTCACTGAATAAAAACTAATTATGTAGCTATCTGAAATCCACCTTTAAGGATACTGTTAGATGATGTTTGGAATCAGTCCCTATGTTCAATAGGCGAAACAAGCAATTCTAAATTTAAAGCTATGTATTGGCAAAAGAGGCTCTAGAGATCATCGAGGCAAATCTTATCACTTAATAAAGAAAGAAAAGGAGGCTCTGGACAGTTAAGTGACTGATGGATCAGGAGCTGGAGCCTGGCTCTCCACCTGACCCTGCTTCTTCCGCGGCAACCGTTTCTCACTGTAAGGAGCTGGGGAAGGAAGTGTCTCAATAAATTGGGCTATCTGTTTTTAAAAATAAAGTTTTCATGGAACACATTCACTTACTGCTTTTATGCTATAAGAAAAGAGTAGTTGTGAAAGACACATTAAGGTCTATAGCTTAAAATATTTACTATCTGGTTCTTCACAGAAAAAAGTTTGCTGATTCCTACATTACAGATTTCTTAACACATGATCAGAAGTTTCAGAACTGAATACATAATAAGTACAGCTGACCCTTGAACGACATGGGTTTGAACTGCGTGGATCCACTTACATGTGGATTTTCTTCCACCTCTGCCACCTCTGAGACAGGAAGACCAGCACCTCCTCTTCTTCTTCCCCCTCAGTCAAGTCAACATGAAGACGATGAGGATAAAAACCTTTATGATGATCTACTTCCACTTAATGAATAGTAAATATATTTTCTCTTCTTTCTGATTTTCTCTAGCTTACTTTAAGAATATATTCTTATATATAATATATAATTAAGAATATATCTAATACATGTGACATACAAAATATGTATTGACTATTTATGTTATTTGTAAGGCTTCCAATCAACAGTAGGCTATTAGTGGTCAACTTTCTGAGGAATCAAAAGTTATATGAGGATTTTCAACGGCACAGTGGGGGTAAGGGCCACAACTCCAGCACTGTTCTAGTGTCACCTGTATATATAACATGTTGTAATAAATAGTACTATAACCAGAAAAGAGTAGCAATCATCTTAAAAAGGCTTAACTTCTTTTCCCAGCAAAGAAAAGATTATTTTGCATGTTCCATGCTTTGATATGTAAACCTTTGAGAAAACCTATAAAACTTAGAAACTTCCAAAGGACAAATTAAAATCTGATTAAACTGAAAGATAACTCATATAACATTCCTTTAATAGAGTACTCCTCATCTACAGAAACATATTTATAGATCATTGATTACTTGAGAGACAACCTGGTACATAAATCTAAACTAAGTGAATTAAATAGAAATGTCCAGTGAATGACAGAGTATTTTAGAAAAAACGAAATTTACACACAATTTTCTACTGGTATATCTTAAGCATAAAAGAGAGATATCTATTTAAATATCAAAGGCATCTGCCTTATTAGTCACTTGACTCATTACATTTTTAGGTTTTACCTTTCTCCTCCCAGAAAAAAAGTAAGCCTAGCTCCAACTGACACAATTAGTAATAGTTTCTGGAACACTACAAAAATGTAAACCTCAATGAGACTTAGGTATAAACAAAATACAATTTAAACAAAAGTAGTAGACTGCTCAAGGAAAACAAGTTTACAGAAGGAAGAAGTTGCTAACTGGAAACTCACAAATCAATGAAAGTTATTAATTCCCTAGTTAGCATAGTATGGGATGAGGTTATATATGAACACAGTTCTTTTACAGGGAAGCCTGGATAATTCATTATAAATTATGTAGAATGTACAACAGCACTTTAAATTGCAATAAAGAACCTGAAGACATATATGACAAATAGAAATACACACACACAACACAGGGCTTGAAACCAGAAGACTTGGGTTCAAATTCCTGAGCTGCCAGCAACTAGTAACACTGAGCAAGTCACTCCTGAGAGACTTTAGGTCCTTCGAGGATTTAGTTTACTTCTTTATAAAATAAGGAACTTAAATGAGATAAGCATGGTTCCTTCCAAATCCCAAATATGTTTAACTGCTTATTAAGCTATTACTATGTGTCAAGAACTATATTAATGGCTTTAATTACTTATAGAAATAAATTTGACTTGAAAAAACTAATTCTAGAATAAATAATCCCTATCGAGCATCTTCTTTCAAACTCATAACGAGGTGGATCTTCATCCAAGACAGCTCCGGTCTGCAGCTCCTAGCATGATCGACGCAGAAGATGGGTGATTTCTGCATTTCCAACTGAGGTACCTGGTTCATCTCACTGGGACTGGTTGGATAGTGGGTGCAGCCCACGGAGGGTGAGCTGAAGGAGGGCGGGGCATCACCTCACCAGGAAGCACAGGGGGTCACGGATTTCCCTTTCCTAGCCAAGGGAAGCTGTGACAGACTACCTGGAAAAACGGGACACTCCTGCCTAAATACTGTATTTTCCCCAAGGTCTTAGCAACCGGCAGACCAGGAGATTCTCTCCCGTGCCTGGCTTGGCAGGTCCCACGCTCACAGAGCCTTGCTCACTACTAGCGCAGCAGTCTGAGATCAAACTGTGAAGCCGCAGCTGGGCAGGGGAGAGGCATCCGCTATAGCTGAGGCTTCAGCAGGTAAACAAAGTGGCTGGGAAGCTCAAACTTAGCGGAGCCCACCGCAGCTCAGCAAGGCTCACTGCCTCTATAGACTCCACCTCAGTGGACAGGGCATAGCTAAACAAAAGGCAGCAGAAACTTCTGCAGACTTAAACGTGCCTGTCTGACAGCTCTGAAGAGAGCAGTGGTTCTCCCAGCACTGCATTTGAGCTCTGAGAATGGACACACTTGCCTCCTCAAGTGGGTCCCTGACCCCCGTGTAGCCTAACTGGGAGATACCTCCCAGTAGGGGCCGACAGACACCTCACACAGGTGGGTACCCCTCTGGGACGAAGCTTCCAGAGGAAAGATCAGGCAGCAATATTTGCTGTTCTGCAGCCTCTGCTGGTGACACCCAGGAAAACAGCGTCCACAGTAGACCTCCAGCAAACTCCAACAGACCTGCAGCAGAGGGACCTGACTGTTAGAAGGAAAACCAACAAACAGAAAGGAATAGCATCAATGTCAACAAAAAGGACATCCACACCAAAACCCCATCTGTAGGTCACCAACATCAAAGACCAAAGGTAGATAAAACCACAAAGATGGGAAGAAACCAGAGCAGAAAAGCTGAAAATTATAAAACCAGAGCCCCTCTTCTCTTCCAAAGCATCACAGCTCCTCGCCAGCAACAGAACAAAGCTGGATGCAGAATGACTTTGACGAGTTGACTGAAGTAGGCTTCAAAAAGTCGGTAATCACAAACTTCTCGGAGCTAATGGAACATGTTCTAACCCATCGCAAGGAAGTTAAAAACCTCGAAAAAAGGTTAGACGAATGGCTAACTAGAATAAACAGTGTAGAGAAGACCTTAAATGACCTGATGGAGCTGAAAGCCATGGCACGAGAACTTTGTGACGCATGCACAAGCTTCAATAGCTGATTTGATCAAGTGGAAGGAAGGATATCAGTGATTGAAGATCAAATTAATGAAATAAAGCAAGAAGACAAGATTAGAGAAAAAAGAGTAATAAGAAATGAACAAACACTCCAAGAAATATGAAACTATATGAAAAGACCAAATCTACGTCTGATTGGTGTACCTGAAAGTGATGGGGAGAATGAAACCAAGTTGGAAAACACTCTTCAGGATATTATCCAGGAGAACGTACCCAACCTAGCAAGACAGGCCAACATTCAAATTCAGGAAAAACACAGAACACCACAAAGATACTCTTCAAGAAGAGCAACCCAAGACACATAATTGTCATATTCACCAAGGCTGAAATGAAAAAAAAAAAAAGTGTTAAGGACAGTCAGAGAGAAAGGTCAGGTTACCCACAAAGGGAAGTCCATCAGACTAACAGCAGATCTCTCAGCAGAAACACTATAGGCCAGAAGAGAGTGGGGGTCAATATACAACATTCTTAAAGAAAAGAATTTTCAACCCAGAATTTCATATCCAGCCAAACTAAGCTTCATAAGTGAAGGAGAAATAAAATACTTTACAGACAAGCAAATGCTGAGAGATTTTGTCACCACCAGGCCTGCCTTACAAGAGCTCCTGAAGGAAGCACTAAACATGGAAAGGAACAACTGGTACCAGCCAATGCAAAAACAGGCCAAATTGGAAAGACCATCGATGCTATGAAGAAACTGCATCAATTAAAGGTCAAAATAACCAGCGAACATCATAATGACAGGATCTCATTCACACATAACAATATTAAACTTAAACGTAAATGGGCTAAATGCCCCAATTAAAAGACACAGACTGGCAAACTGGATAGAGTCAAAACCCATCACCATCAGCGTGCTGTATTCAGGAGACCCATCTCACCTGCAGAGACACACATAGGCTCAAAATAAAGGGATGGAGGAAGACCTACCAGGCAAATGGAAAGTTAAAAAAAAAAAAAAACAGGGGTTGCAATCCTAGTCTCTGATAAAACAGACTTCAAACGAACAAAGATCAAAAGAGACAAAGAAAGCCATTACATAACGGTAAAGGGATCAATTCAATAAGAGCTAACTATCCTAAATATATATGCACCCAATACAGGAGCACCCAGATTCATAAAGCAAGTCCTTAGAGACCTACAAAGAGACTTAGGCTCTCACAAAACAATAATGGGAGACTTTAACACCCCACTGTCAATGTCAGACAGATCAACGAGACAGAAGGTTAACAAAGATATCCAGGACTTGAACTCATCTCTGCACCAAGTGGACCTAATAAGACATCTACAGAACTCTCCACCCCAAATCAACAGAATATACATTCTTCTCAGCACATCACACTTATTCTAAAATTGACACATAATTGGAAGTAAAACACTCCTCAGCAAACGTAAAAGAACAGAAATCACAACAAACTGTCTCTCAGGACACAGTACAATCAAATTAGGACTCAGGATTAAGAAACTCATTCAAAACTGCACATCTACATGGAAACTGAACAACCTGCTCCTGAATGACTACTGAGTAAAGAAATGAAGGCAGAAATAACGATGTTCTTTGAAACCAATGAGAACAAAGATAGAACGTACCAGAATATCTGGGACACATTTAAAGCAGTGTGTAGAGGGAAATTTATAGCACTAAATGCCCACAAGAGAAAGTAGGAAAGGTCTAAAATTGACACCCTAACATCACAATTAAAAGAACCACAGAAGCAAGAGCAAACAAATTCAAAAGCTAGTAGAAGGCAAGAAATAACTAAGATCAGAGCAGAACTGAAGGAAATAGAGACACAAAAAAACCTTCAAAAAAATCAATGAATCCAGGAGTGGTTTTTTGAAAAGATCAACAAAATAGACTGCTAGCAAGACTAATAAAGAAGAAAAGAGAAAAGAATCAAATAGACGCAATAAAAAATGATAAAGGGGTATCACCACTGATCCCACAGAAATACAAACTACCATCAGAGAATACGACAAACACCTCTACGCAAATAAACTAGAAAATCTAGAAAATGATAAATTGCTGGACACATACACCCTCCCAAGACTAAACCAGGAATAAGTTGAATCTCTGAATAGACCAATAACAGACTCTGAAATTGAGGCAATAATAGCCTACCAACCAAAAAAAGTCCAGGACCAGACAGACTCACAGCCAAATTCTAACAGAGGTACAACGAGGAGCTAGTACCATTCCTTCTGAAACTATTCCAATCAATAGAAAAAGAGGGAATCCTCCCTAACTCATTTTATGAGGCCAGAATCATCCTGATACTAAAGCCTGGCAGAGACACAACAAAAAAAGAGAATTTTAGACCAATATCCCTGATGAACATCGATGCGAAAATCCTCAATAAAATACTGGCAAACCGAATCCAGCAGCACATCGAAAAGCTTATCCACCACGATCAAGTGGGCTTCATCCCTGGGATGCAAGGCTGGTTCAACATACGCAAATCGATAAACGTGATCCATCACATAAACAGAACCAAAGACAAAAACCACATGATTATCTCAATAGATGCAGAAAAGGCCTTCAACAAAATTCAACAGCCCTTCATGCTAAAAACTCTCAATAAACTAGATATTGATGAAACATATCTCAAAATAATAAGAGCTATTTATGACAAACCCACAGCCAATATCATACTGAATGGGCAAAAACTGGAAGCATTTCCTTTGAAAACCGGAACAAGACAAGGATGCCCTCTCTCACCACTCCTATTCAACAGTGTTGGAAGTTCTGGCCAGAGCAATCAGGCAACAGAAAAAAATAAAGGGTACTCAATTAGGAAAAGAGGAAGTCAAATTCTCCCTGTTTGCAGATGACATGATTATATATCCAGAAAACCCCATCGTCTCAGCCTAAAATCTCCTTAAGCTGATAAGCAACTTCAGCAAAGTTTCAGGATACAAAATCAATGTGTAAAAATCACAAGCATTCCAATACAACAATGACAGAGAGCCAAATCATGAGTGAATTCCCATTCACAACTGCTACAAAGAGAATAAAATACCTAGGAATCCAACTTACAAGGGATGTAAAGGACCTCGTCAAGGAGAACTACAAACCACTGCTCAATGAAATAAAAGAGGACACAAACAAATGGAAGAACATTCCATGCTCATAGATACGAAGAATTAATATCGTGAAAATGGCCATACTGCCCAAGGTAATTTATAGATTTAATGCCATCTTCATCAAGCTACCAATGACTTTCTTCACAGAATTGGAAAAAACTACTTTAAAGTTCATATGGAACCAAAAAAGAGCCCGCATTGCCAAGTCAATCCTAAGCAAAAAGAACAAAGCTGGAGACATCACGCTACCTGACTTCAAACTATACTACAAGGCTACAGTAACCAAAACAGCATGTTGCTGGTACCAAAACAGAGAGATAGACCAATGGAACAGAACAGAAGCCTCAGAAATAACACCACACATCTACAACCATCTGATCTTTGACAAACTTGACAAAAACAAGAAATGGAGAAACGATTCCCTATTTAATAAATGGTGCTGGGAAAACTGGCTAGCCATATGTAGAAAGCTGAAACTGGATCCCCTTCTTACACTTCATATGCAAATTAATTCAAGATGGATTAAATATTTAAATGTAAGACCTAAAACCATAAAAACTCTAGAAGAAAACCTAGGCAATACCATTCAGGACACAGGCATGGGCAAGGACTTCATGATTAAAACACCAAAAGCAATGGCAACAAAAGCCAAAAATGACAAACGGAATCTAATTAAACTAAAAAGCTTCTGCATGGCAAAAGAAACTACCATCAGCATGAACAGGCAACCTAAAGAATGGGAGAAAATTTTTGCAATTTACTCATCTGACAAAGGGCTAATATCCAGAATCTACAAAGAACTTAAACAAACTTACAAGAAAAAAAAACCACATCAAAAAGTGGGCAAAGGATATGAACAGACACTTCTCAAAAGAAGACATTTATGCAGCCAACAGATATATGAAAAAATGCTCACCATCACTGGTCATCAGACAAATGCAAATCAAAACCACGATGAGATACCATCTCACGCCAGGTAGAATCGCGATCATTAAAAAAGTCAGGAAGCAACAGATGTTGGAGAGGATGTGGAGAAACAAGAACACTTTTACACTGTTGGTGGTAGTATAAATTAGTTCAACTATTGTGGAAGACAGTGTGGCAATTCCCCAAGGATCTAGAACTAGAAATACCATTTGACCCAGCCATCCCATTACTGAGTATATACCCAAAGGATTATAAATCATGCTACTATAAAGACACATGCACACTTATGTTTATTGTGGCACTATTCACAATAGCAAAGACTTGGAACCAACCCAAATGTCCATCAATGATAGACTGGATTAAGAAAATGTGGCACATATACACCATGGAATACTACACAGTCATAACAAAAGGACGAGTTCATGTCCTTCACAGGGACATGGATGAAGCTGGAAACCATCATTCTCAGCAAACTATCACAAGGACAGAAAGTCAAACACCACATGTTCTCACTCATAGGTGGGAATTGAACAGTAAGATCACTTGGACACAGGGCAGGGAACATCACACACCAGGGCCTGTCAGGGGGTGGGGGGCTGGGGGAGGGACAGCATTAGGAGATATACCTAATGTAAATGACAAGTTGATGGGTGCAGCAAACCAACATGGCACATGTATACCTGTGTAACAAACCGGCACACTGTGCACATATACCCTAGAACTTAAAGTATAATAATAAAAGAATTAAAATGAAAACAGAAACAAAATTAGACACAATGAAGAAATAAGGTATTTGCAAACACTTAACTGAAAAAGGACTAGTATCTCCCATACATTATGTATATGTGTATAGAGAGCTACAAATCAATGAGGAAAAGCAGGCAATCCAACAGAAAAATAGGCAAAAGACCTGAACCAGGCCTATGAAAAGGAAGATTTTTGTTTTTTATTCCCTTCTGTATTTTTTTTTTAAAGGGTGTCTTGCTGTGTTACCCATGCTGGAGTGCAGTGGCTATTCACAGGTATGATCATAGCACACTGCAGCCTCAAACTCCTGGGTTCAAGTGATCCTCCCACCTCAGCCTCCCAAGTAGCTGGGGACTACAGAGGTGCACCATCACACCCCATTTAAAGTTTCACTTTTTAAAAAACACGTGCCTTATTTTCACATGTATTATTTTCATTTTTTAAATGTAAAATAAATGAAGCTATAGTGAAAAAAAGAAGGCAAAAAAGACATGAAAAGGCACTGGGCCTCATTC
The DNA here is from genome assembly GCF_000001405.40 of Homo sapiens. Lineage (NCBI taxonomy): Eukaryota > Metazoa > Chordata > Mammalia > Primates > Hominidae > Homo > Homo sapiens. The sequence goes on along the minus strand of NC_000006.12, from coordinate 70,800,001 downwards.
TGTAATCAAGGAAATGAACAGTAAAAATTTAATGAGACACCATTACATACTCACCATATTGCAAATGCTAAAATCCCTGACAACACTATGTGTTACATAGAATGTGAAATTACTTTGATGGTAAGAGTACCTTTGGTATACACTTTGGAAAAAAGTTTGACATTATCCAGTAAACTTCAAGATGCACATACTTTATGATGCAGAAATTCCACTACTAAGTCACCCTAAAAACATACAAGCTTAGATTCCATATACAAAAGTTTCAAAGCAGCATTATTTAGAATAGTTAAAACCTGTATATAATCCAAATGTTCAACAGCAGAATGGATCTTCTTTCTTATATACAGTACTTCTATTATGTACTTTAAATGGATGTACTTTGCAGTATCCAATTTATGCCTCAATAAAGTTGATTTTTAAAATTTCAACAACTAAAATCAAGGATGCTCCCTTTACTGACAATTCTCTTAGTATGATTCCATACTCTTATGATGAAATGCATTCAAAGCCAAGCCACCATAAATATTTAACCAATCCCTTTACAAAGTACAACATTCTCACTAGCTGTAGTTCGCCTAATCACATCTATCCTGCATATCACTGCTAAAATAATTTTCAAAAAAACCCTTCTGAATTAGGAGTACCATGTGCTTTAGAATTTGAAGTGCTGCTCACAGCCTTTCCTCCCCCCAAAAGAATAAACATCTACAATTTGAGTTCAATCTACCATTCTGGTGTTATTTTTCACTAGTTTCTATACATAGACAAATCCCTTTCTTCAAATTCACTATTTTTCTAAACATTTTATTTACAATTTTCATACATTCTTCAGGCTGTTCTCTTAAACATGTACCCGTTTTCCACCTTAATCCTACCTATGTTTTAAGAGGTAGCTCAAAGGCTAACCTTAAGCAGAGTCTTTTCTGAAGTCCCTTTCATTTATGTTCTCTTCATTCTCTAAAATTCTAAGTCTTCTAAGTCTGATTGTGTATGAAAGCTAAAAACACCATTCTCTATGTCATTCACAGGAGAATACCTGTCTCCAAGGAACTCAGAGGGTTTATACCCACACATATAGATAACTGATTACAAATAATACAGAGACAAGCTAGAAGGACATGCTGAGCACACAGCATTCACTCAACAATTGCTTGTTGAAAATAATGATTATTTACATATTATAAATATCCAGAAAGTCATTAATATATAAGTATACAAATAAAATGGTAATCCTAATAGATTATTTTTAAAAAAAGAATTTTACCTTTTCAGCTGTAAGTGGTTTTGCCGGCTTTTCTGGCTCCTTTTCTCTCTTTTTCTCTTCCTTTTTTTTTTCCTTTTCTTTCTAAAACACAGCCCAAAGTTTTGATAAGTTTACTTTTTTAAAAAATGGCAATTTTTGACTCATCCTTATTAGTTTGAGTAATCATCTGAAAAAGGTAGAAATATTCAGTAATTACAATATCTACGTGCTACTGAAATATAATAAACAGTAAATTCATATTCTCATTGAGGTTATATGCTGATGACACTAAAGAATATCTGTTAAAAAATTAAGACAGAGGCACAGCGGTAAGACAATTTAGAACTTCTTTGATATAGTAGGGTTTGTTTCATGCTTGTTTTAAATGAATGAGATCTCCATTCAATAAATTCTCACTATATCCTTTTATTAGGTTAGACTTCCTAACAGCAATCACGAAGTTGAATTTTGAATGGAAAAAAAAAAAAAACTAAGTGATAGAACAGACTTCTTTATTACACAAAGATAAATTATAATAGGCAAATATAAGGGGAAGACTATAAAATCAGCTTTTTTTATCACAAAATATCTTCAGTCCATTATCATAGATTTTGCTTTAGAAAAAGGAGTAAATACAGTGATTTTCTCATGAAAAAAATAATGTTCAAGATAGTGCTTGGGGACCACAGCCAACTGACTAGTGTAAGGCAGTGAAGTATAAATGGCATTATGATATTCACAATTTGCATTTCCAATAAGGATTAGATATAATGTTAAAAACTTAAGGATTAAAAGTATCAACAATAAATCTTAAGGGCCAATAGAGGAAAATGAAAAGAGATTAAACAAAGAGCATTCGTAAGGCATTTAGAGGAAAGAGATGACTAGAAACTGAGAACTGAAAGTCTACTGCAACTAAACACTAACCTGGCCCTTAGTTTCCTGGCAGCAAAAAAAGAAAAGATAAACTGATGAACCTAGGGAAGGCAACATGATAAACATGCAGAACTTACTCAAAATACCTAACAGCTGCATTTGTACCTATGCCTTTAAAATGGTGTCTGATGCAACCTCTGTCAAAGTAAATCTGCCATTTGTAAATCAGGAAATATAATATTGGCAATTCCCAGGCCATAATGTGAGAGAAATAATAAAAGTTCAAAGGGCTTTGCAACCATTCATATAAAGTTCAAAAACAGGCAAAAATATGATGTTTGGGAGGGTACACACTAGTATAAAACTATTTTAAAAAGCAAAAAAGTAAAGACGATGATGATAAAAATCAGGATGTTAATTACCTTTAAGGAGAAGGGATGAGGTTATTTGGGAACAGAGTCACACAGGAGCTTTCAAAGTGGTAATAACATTGAGTTTCAATATTCATTACACAGTGATAGTCTTCTAAGTATTAAACCAGATATATATTTAATGTGCATTTCAACACTAAAAAGAAAAAGGCACTAAGAACCTAGAAAGCAACTTTGCAAACTATAAAGCACTACACAAATATGGCACATTATAATTTTAGTGTTTGTTGTGTGATTTTAAAAAGAGGAAAGGAAAAATTTACATCTTAGTTCAAAATTTTAAAAGAAATTCATAGCAAAGATCTTTATATTTGGGGCATGAATAAGCAATGTCTTCAACTGCAATTTTAAGAACAGGGAAATTCTAAAGCATTTCTCTTTTTAACCTTTTATTAGCCATTAATAAAAGGCAGTAAGTGTTATAATAGTAATTCATCAATTAGTGAAAGCATTTAAGTAGAGGACAAAGCTAACAAACTATTGGTATATTGCTTTGCAACAAAAGAAGAATACATGGATAGAATTTCCAGAATCTGAACAGTTTATATATCAGGCTCCTTTAGACTAGGATTCTCTAAAATTATGTTTCAATAATGCTGTTCAGGAACAGGATAAAAGTCAACATAAAGTTGAACTTGTGCTAAAACCTGAAGAGTAATCTATATGCTTTAGTTACCAGAAGAGCATATGTCAAAAGTGACATTTTGCCTTAAACATTAAGGATATTAACATAGTCTAGCACAGACAGAAGACCATCTAGAAAGTTGGGATAGTTCTCAAAAAAGATCTTCATATCTACTCAAGTGCCTGGGCTTTATACTGGAAATAAGGAAGATGTAACCCTTTAAGGATAACTAGAAACATTACCTACTGCTGACTCAACCATTTCCCAAATCAAAACCTTCATTTCCAAAACACAACTACCACTTATTAAGTGCTTCCTATGGGCCAGGTGATAAGCACCTTATTGTCTAATTTAATCTTTGCAACAATTTTCTGAAATAAAAACTTTACCTACTGTCATCTTACAAATGAAGAAACAAAATCTTAAGAAGTAATGCCCAAAGCAACACAGTTAATCAAAGCTAGTAGCAGGACTGAGGGACTATGGAGCCCAAACTTCCAGGTCTCACTACTAACTGTGGTCCAGTGGAGCTTTGATATTTATTATTGCTGTTATTATTCCTTACAGTAACAGCTAATACTTTCTGAACCGTTACTATGTGCCAGGCACTGTTTTGGCTCTTTTAATCCTCACAACAACTTTATGAAGTTAGTAATATTATCCCCATTTTATAAGTAAAGAATAAATAGGATGTGCAAAAATTTTATATATATTATAAAATGTTTTCTATATATTCGTAGTAAACTATGGTGCAGAAAGCAATGTGACAGAACATTTTCATTAATATGTTGAGAAGGAGGCCGGGCATGGTGGCTCATGCCTGTAATCCCAGCACTTCGGGAGGCCGAGGCAGGCCTATCACGAAGTTCGAGACCAGCCTGACCAACATGATGAAACCCTGTCTCTATTAAAAATACAAAAATTAGCCGGGCGTGGTGGCGGGCGCCTGTAATCCCAGCTACTTGGGAGGCTGAGGCAGGAGAATCACTTGAATCCAGGAGGCGGAGGTTGCAGTGAGCTGAGACCATGCCATTGCACTCCAGCCTGGGCAACAAGAGCAAAACTCCATCTCAAAAAAAAAAAAAGAAAAAGAAAAATATGTTGAGAATGAGTTGCTCCCTAACCTCTCAGAGCTATTAGTTATTGCTATGGTTTGAATGTTTGTGTCCACCCCAAAATTCACATGTTAAAACCTAATCCCCAATGTGATATTATTAGGAGGTGGGGCCTTTGGGAAGTGATTAAGTCATGAGGATGAAACCTTCATGAATAGGATTCACACCCTTATTAAAAAGGCCCCAGAGAGATTTCCTGCCCTTTCCCACTATATGAGGGCACAAAGATGTATCGTTTTATGAACCAGAAAGTGGACCCTTCAGAAGACACAGAATCTGCTGGAGACTTGATCTTTGTCTTTCCAGCCTCCAGAACTGTGAGAAGTAAATTTTTGTTGTTTATAAGCTACTCAATCTATGGTATAGTGTTAGAGTAGCCAGCACAGGTGAAGACAGTTATTTCTCAAGAAGGCCATTGTCATGAGTAGGAAAGAAGTTTGACTTCCTAATCACCATGATTGGTGGGCACATATGAAATCACTAAAAACAAATCAAATTCGCTTGCTACATTTACTAGAGGGAGAGCATGACTTGATACTCTTTAACACCAGAATTCAGCTGTAAAAATACAGCTGTCAAGACACATGCAGCACATCTATGTTTACTGCAGCACTATTCACAATAGCAAAGACTTGGAAACAACCCAAATGTCCATCAATGACAGACTGGATTAAGAAAATGTGGCAATGAGGTCAGGAAATCGAGACCATCCGGGCTAACACGGTGAAACCCCATCTCCACTAAAAATACAAAAAATTAGACAGGTGTGGTCATGGGCACCTGCAGTCCCAGCTACTCGGGAGGCTGAGGCAGGAGAATGGCGTGAACCCGGGAGGCAGAGCTTGCAGTGAGCTGAGATCGTGCCACTGCACTCCAACCTGGGCGACAGAGTGAAACTCCATCTCAAAAAAAAAAAAAAAAAAGAAAAGAAAATGTGGCACAATACACCATGGAATACTATGCAGCCATAAAAAAGGAAGAGTTCGTGTCCTTTCTAGGGACATGGATGAGGCTAGAAACCATCATTCTGAGCAAACTATCACAAGGACAGAAAACCAAACACCCCATGTTCCACTCATAGGTGGGAACTGAACAATGATATCACTTGGACATAGGGCGGGGAACATCACACACCGGTGCCTGTCGTGGGGTGGTGGGAGATATACCTAATGTAAATGATGAGTTGACGAGTGCAGCAAACCAACATGGCACATGTACACCTATGTATCAAACCTGCACGTTGTGCACATGTATCTTAGAACTTAAAGTATAATAACAATAATAAAAATATAGCTGTCACCTACTCTGATTCTGGCAGTGGTATTAGGATACAGGCTTCGAAGTAATATTAACAGCATGGGTTCTAAACTCATCATGCAGTTTGACCCACAGATGACTCCCATCCATAGAATCAAAAGCTGCTAAAAGATCTAAAAGTACTGTGAAAACCTAAGTTGTTTTAAACTATTTTCTCAGCAAGAACAAAATACTGCAGTATTTTATATTTTAAAATAGTCGTTCTTGAAACCTGGTGGCTATATGCACAAGTGACGTAGTGAAACAGCTGACCTCCTGTGCAAGAAAACTGGTTAAACATTCAAGTCCAGTAAGATGGAGGTAAGTACATACTGGGTTCATTATAATCAAACTATACTTGAGTGATTTAAATAAAGACATAGGGCCGGGCACAGTGGCTCACGCCTGTAATCCCAGCACTTTGGTAGGCTGAGGTGGGCAGATCACCTGAGGTCGGGAGTTCGAGACCAGCCTGACCAACACAGAGAAACCCTATCTCTATAAAAATACATAATTAGCCAGGCATGGTGGCGCATGCCTGTAAACCCAGCTACTCGGGAGGCTGAGGCAGAAGAATTGCTTGAACCCGGGAGGCGGAGGTTGCAGTGGGAGGTTGCAATAAGCCGAGATCGCGCCACTGCACTCCAACATGGGCAACAAGAGCGAAACTCTGTCTCAAAAAAATAAATAAATAAATAAATAAAAATAAAATAAAGACATAGTTTCCAAAATTTTTAAGCTTTCTCTCTCTCTCTCTCTCTCTCTCTCTCTAACTACTCTCCTCCCCTTTTCTTTCCCATGGGCCTAGACCTGTATATCCAACCAACTACTAAACACCTCAATGTTCCACAGTGACCTCATACTTAACACGTCCAACTTCTAATTCACCTCTTTCCTTTTCTGCTCAAACCTGTTCCTTCTTTTCAGCTTGTATCCTTGTCTCACTAATTGGCACCATCATCTACTAAGATGTTCAAGATAGAAACTGGAAGTCACAAGCTTCCCAAAGCACCTCCACAAGACACCAATTACTAAACCCCATAGACTGTACCTTCTTAAGACCTCTCAAAATTACACTCTCTTGGCCAGGCGCAGTGGCTTATGCCTGTAATCCCAGCACTTTGGGAGCCCGAGTCGGGTGGATCACAAGGCCAAGAGATCGAGACCATCCTGGCCAACATGGCGAAACCCTGTCTCTACTAAAAATACAAAAATTAGCTGGGCATGGTGGTGCGCACCTGTAGTCCCAGCTACTCAGGAGGCTGAGGCAGGAGAGTCGCTTGAACCCAGGTGATGGAGGCTGCAGTAAGCCGAGATCGCGCCACTGCAGTCCAGCCTGGCAACAGAGCAAGACTCCGTCTCAAAAAAATAAAATAAAATAAAATAAAATTTAAAAATTACACTCTCTTTTACATTCCCTCTGTTACTACTTTGGAACATGTCCCCCTCATTTCATTACTGGATTAGAGTAATAGGTTAAGTCTTTTCCTCACCCATGACCACAAAATTCACTCCCCACGGAGCCTGTAAAGTTGTGTTACAACATGAAAATCTGATTCTGTCACACCCACCCCCCAACGCTTAAAACTCATCACTCAAGTGCCCGAGCCTTCAGAATCAAACTCCTTCAGTGGGCTCATGAGAAGGCTCCTTCATGAGAAAGATAGGAGCCTTGCCGTTCTACTCATATTTCAGTTATGCCATTCTACTTGCAACTCCCCAAACACTGCACTTTGCCCATATGTTTTTTCACAGGCTAGTTTCCATGTATGGAATTCTTCCTAATCCTTCCCCTTATATCTAATGCTTATTCAGAGCATAAGATGCATCAAAATGATGCCTCCTGCAGTACAGTGAGCGTACCTCAATCACAGCCCATAATATATTGTATTATAAACTGCTATATAGTTATCTGTTTTCTTGCCTTAGACTGTAAGCTCCTGGAGGGCAGGGGCTATATCTTGCCTTTGTATACCACACATCTAGCCAACCATTTATCATTTATCCCATGTCTACGGGAAAAAATGATAGTTGAAAGGATGCCTGAAACTAATTTATTAAGGCCAATGTAACAAAAAAAAAAAAAAAATAGGTAAAGAGTCAAAAGAAATGAAAACTCTCAAATATTTGTACAGATGACTTTAAAAATACATAGTGGTAGTATCTGCACCCTAACCACTTCCACCCAAAATGCATTCTAACAGTTGTCATTGAT